>NC_000010.11:102112792-102415822 GCF_000001405.40 Homo sapiens | reverse complement strand
TGGAGGAAGCTGAGTAATGGAGGGAGGGGACAGAAGGATATTGAGGGGCATTCCATGGAGTAGAAAAGAGGCTCAGCAGGGCTCAGTGGCCCCAGTATTTTGGGAGGCCAAGGCAGGAGGACTGCTCAAAGCCAGGAGTCCAAGACCAGCCTGGACAACAAGCAAGTCTCTACCAAAAATTTAATTAGCTGGATGTAGTGGTGTGCACCTATAGTCCTAGCTACTGGGGAGGTTGGGTGGGAGGATCCCTTGAGTCCAGGCAGTCAAGGCTGCAGTGAGTTATGATTGCACCACTGCACTTCAGCCTCAGTGACACAGTGAGACCCTGTCTCAAAATAAATAAATAAATAAATAAAAAAGACAGAAAAAGGCTGGTCTTCCCCCAGCTCCTCAAAGCCATTTGACAAGAACTTGATTTAAAATGAGCTCCACTGGCACCAGGAACAAGCTAAGTATGTAGCAGGAGGAATGGTGGCTAGACAGTGAAAGAACTTCCTGTCAATATGAGGCAGTGGGCAGAGATCCTAGAGCAGAATTAGGACAGGGAGCTGACGTGGATAACCTCCTGACCTGGATGCCTATGCACACTACAGGTGCTAAGCCCCCAGAGCAGGCCCCCCCATCTCCACCTGGGGTGGGCTCAAGGCAGGGCTCTGGGGTGGCTGTGGGGCGAGCAGCCAAGTACTCCGAGACAGACCTGGACACGGTGCCCCTGAGGTGCTACCGCGAGACTGACATCGATGAGGTGCTGGCTGAGCGGGAGGAGGCCGACTCGGCCATCGAAAGTCAGCCCAGCTCTGAGGGCCCACCAGGCACTGCCTACCCACCTGCCCCACGGCCCGGCCCACTCCCTGGCCCTCATCCCAGCCTCGGCAGTGGCAATGAGGATGAGGACGACGATGAGGCAGGTGGGGAAGAAGATGTGGACGACGAGGTGTTTGAGGCCTCTGAAGGGGCCCGGTGAGTGGGGAAGTGGGAGGGGGAAGTGGGAGAGGGAAGCGGCTTGCTCCTTCGCACTGGCCCACAGGCAGAGCCGGGCTCAAAGGGCCTGGGATAGAGATGGGTGTGGGGCTGGCGGGGCAGTGTGTATAGCAGGAGATTCTAGACAGAGGCCTGAGGCTTGGCAGAACACTGGGGATGTGGGGAGCAAAGAGGCCAGGGGTTCTAGCAGAACAGGGGGCAGGGTGAGAGGCCAGAGGCCACAGTCAAGCCCAGGAACACAGGAGCATGAGTCTGGATCCTGGATCCTGGTGGGAGAGTGGGGAGTGTGGGGACATTCCTTTCCGTCTCACACCCCAGTGTCGCTTGGAGCCTCATCTTCTCCTAAGATGTTGCTAGAAATAGAAATGGGATGGCAGAAGGGAAGCGGATCACGGAAAAGGAGGAGAAAGGGAGATTAGCAGGGAGGGAGGGGATGGGGTGCTGGGGACTGGTAGGGCTGGTGTGCCCCAGGGGGCACTGAATAGCTTGGCGCCCTACCCTAGAGGCTCTTTTTTGTTAGTGGGCTGGAGCCAGTGAAAAGGGGATGATAATCCCCTTAGCAGAGTCAGTGTGAGAGTTCAGTGAAATCCTGCCCCAGCCCTGTGATCTGGGCCCCTAATCAGAGATTCTCCCTGCCCCTGCAGGCCAGGGAGCCGGATGCCTCTCAAGTCACCTGTGCCCTTTCTACCTGGGACGAGCCCCTCGGCTGATGGGCCTGACTCTTTCAGTTGTGTGTTCGAAGCCATCCTGGAGTCACACCGGGCCAAAGGCACCTCCTATACCAGCCTCGCCTCGCTGGAGGCCTTGGCCTCACCTGGCCCAACCCAGAGCCCCTTCTTCACCTTTGAGCTGCCTCCCCAACCCCCTGCACCCCGGCCCGACCCACCAGCTCCCGCCCCACTTGCCCCTCTTGAACCGGATTCTGGTACCAGCTCTGCTGCTGATGGTCCTTGGACACAGAGAGGGGAGGAGGAGGAGGCAGAGGCCAGAGCCAAGCTGGCCCCAGGGAGGGAGCCCCCTAGTCCCTGCCACTCAGAGGACAGCCTTGGGCTGGGGGCAGCACCCCTTGGCAGGTAAGTAATTCCTTTTGTCCCTCAGACTTGAGGCCCCCAGGGCTCCAGAAACAGCTGCTGTAAGGGACAGATCCTGAGTGTGAGGATTGGTTTATATTCCTGACCCCTGAGTAGGGGTGGTTAAGGGATGCAGATCCTGTTTTCCTATTTGGAGGACTACTGCCATTAGCTGTGAGGGAGAGTCCCTCACAGCACCCCTCTTGGTCTCAAGTCCAGTGGCTTGAGAAAGCATGATTCAGCATTGAAGGATCCCAGGAGAATACCCTTCTTGCTCTCCTGGAGGGCCCTTTCTTCCCTTGGCAGAGTCTTTAGCCTGCTCAGAATTCTTGTGACCTTACCCTCACCCAGCCTGAAGGCTTCACCAAAGATGCAGCCACCAGCCTCTCCCACTGCCTCCCTCCCATGTCACCCCTGCCTAATCAGGCATCTCTCGTCCAGCTCCAGGAAGTCCTTTCACAGTCTAACCTTTCTGCTCTCCCCTCTGCCAGCTACCCTCTCAGTCATGGAAGCCATGGCAACAGGAGGGGGTGGCCAGGGAGACCGGGTTGCCTAGCAACCAGGAGTTTCCGGCCTCTGTCTCTGGGCTGACAGGTGGCTTTGCGAGTAGAGCAGCTGGGGTGGGAAGGGGAGGAAAGAAAGGGAATGAGGGTATGCACCCCGACCCTTAACCCCCTAACTCCAGAGCCTGCTTCTGTGTGGGCAGAGGGGGAGCACCAAGGAGAGGTTCCTCTCCCTAAAAAGCAGGAGGGGGAAAGCCTTCGGACCAGTATCCCTGCTGCCCTCAAATCTTTCCCTGGCCCTCCACAGTTCCTCCGTGGTAGCCCATCTATTCCAGCTTTGTCCATAGTCTAAGAGACAAAGGACTATGTTCTGTGTAGGGCCAGGGTGGGAACAGATAATCTATGTCTAATAGCAAATGTAGGCCCCTGGGAGCTTGAGGAAGCAGCCAGAACTCCCACAGCAGCAAGACGGATGTGGGTTAGATTTGAGGCAGGACTTCCACAGAGAGGTGGTAATGATGGAGTAGGCTGATGGAGAGAATCTAATCTCCTTCCCTGGAAAAAAGAAGAATGCTTTCCCCATGTCCCTCCACTCCCTCCCCTTCTCCATCTTCTGGGCCTGGAGGCAGAAGGAGGGTCTGGATGGCTCCTAAGGACCCTGCCCCAGCCTGAGCTGGTGTTCTACCCCGGCAGCGAACCACCCCTGAGCCAGCTGGTGTCCGACTCAGACTCAGAGCTGGACAGCACAGAGCGGCTGGCCCTGGGAAGCACAGACACCTTGTCCAATGGGCAGAAAGCGGACCTGGAGGCTGCGCAGCGCCTGGCCAAGAGGCTGTACCGACTAGATGGCTTCAGGAAGGCCGATGTGGCCCGGCACCTGGGCAAGAAGTAAAGCCACTAGGCTGGGACTGAGGATGGGGGCAGAGGGAATGCATCCTGAAGGCAGCTCTCCATCTAATGTCCCCTGGTCATTGGGTAATCCCCACCTGACCCCCTGCACTTCCCCTTGAGACCCTACCTGTCTCTCTGCCCTGCCCACAGCAATGACTTCAGCAAACTGGTGGCTGGGGAGTACCTCAAGTTCTTTGTCTTCACGGGCATGACTCTGGACCAAGCTCTCAGGTGGGTGTTGACCCCTTGGAGGACAGCCCCCACTCTCCGGGGTTCGTGTTAGGGCCCCAGGATGCCTCCTTTGAGCCCCTCTGTCCCCCACAAGCCGTCCTGACATCACCCTTCCCAAGATGGCTGGGCATGGCCAAGGGCCAGAGCTGCCTGGTAAAGGGACCTTGGGTAGGGGTGATGGGTGGAGGGTCAGGGTGCATACCCTCATCCCCTTTCTCTCCTCCCCTTCCCACCCCAGCTGCTGTACTCTCAAAGCCTCCTGTCACCCCAGAGACAGAGGCTGGAAACTCCTGGTTGCTAGGCAACCCTCTCTTGCCCCTTCTCCAGGGTGTTTCTGAAGGAGCTGGCCTTAATGGGTGAGACCCAGGAACGAGAGCGCGTGCTGGCCCACTTCTCCCAGCGATACTTCCAGTGCAATCCTGAAGCCCTGTCCTCAGAGGGTGAGGAGTTCCGAGAGCAGGGGTGTCCTTAGCTGGCCACAGTGGCAAAATGGGCTGGGCCCTGTGTGTGTGTACAGGAGCATGAGTGTGTGTACAGCAGGGAATGGATGTACATGCGTGTAGGCATGTGAACTTGCATGTGTGCAGACAGCGCTGTCATGGCTGCATGTATGTGGAACTATACATGTGGGCAGGCATATTGCTAGGGTTGAGTGTGTTGTGAAGAGGCAGGAGTTTGCATGCCTGTGCAGGCCAGTGCTTGGCTGGAGAGGGGATTCTGTTTGGCTGCACTGGTCTACAGGACTGTGCTGCGGTTCACTTTCTCGTGGTCCAGGCTTAGAGGCAAGGGAACGTTGGGGCAACTAGTACGTTGGGGCAACTAGCCCTCAGTACTTGAGGGAGCCAGGGACGGGTCCTTGCTGACGGATCTGCTGGAAGAGGAGCTCTTTGTGGGGAGGGTTTACTAGCGGGGTTCAGGAGGTAGGAAGTTGCCGGCCAAAGGGGGTGGGGATGAAATGGGAGGTTGGGGAAGATGGCTGTGGGAAGGGTCCCTGGGAGGCAGCCAAGGCTGAAAGTCAGCTCTCCCCTAGACGGCGCCCACACGCTGACCTGTGCGCTCATGCTGCTCAACACGGATCTCCACGGCCATGTGAGTGGAGGCGGGCGGGCAGGAGCCGGAAAACAAACCCCTGGCCAGACATGCAGGACCTGGGAGGCCAAGGGCCCTCCAAACTCACAGGCCTCCGTTCCCTTCCTTAGAACATCGGGAAGCGCATGACCTGCGGGGACTTCATCGGGAACCTGGAGGGCCTCAATGATGGCGGCGACTTCCCTAGGGAGCTGCTCAAGGTGGGGGGCGGGGCAGGGTAGAAGTCGCTGGAGGGGAAGGATGGAGGACCCAGTCGGCGACGGAGTCCAGAGTCGGAGGGAGGGCAGGGCTGGGGCTTGCCGACCCCCGGCTCCTGCCACGGAAGCCCGGGCTCTCGTGACTCAGCCTGGGGACCGCCCCCTCCCCAGGCCCCACGCGCAGGCTCTCCCGGAACATGCGCACATGCGTGCGGTCGCGACTGCGCACGGCGGGGGAGGGGACCCGGCTCTGGAAAACGCGAGCAGGCGGCCCCGGCCCCTGCGTTTGCCTTCAGTTCCCCTCCTCCAGTGTGCGCTGGGGTGGAAGGCGGGAGTTGCGGGGGTCCCTGCACGGGACAGGGATTGGATGGGGGTACACTCCACACTGCTCCCCCGCCGCGTGGACAGCCAAAAAGACCTTCCCGGTGCTGCTGCGCTGCAGGAACCCGGAGGGAGAGGGGCCTGAGAGGGACTAAGCTTTTCCAAGGTCTGGCAGCGAGTTAGCGCAAAGCTGGAGCTAGAAACTGCTTTCTGGCTCCCTGTGAGCAGGTCCCGTTCCCAGGCGCCAGCTCCATGGCCCGCAACCGAGGGCTCAGATACGTAGGGGCTGGTGCCGGTAGGAGAAGGGAGTGGCTCATCCAGTGGGTTCACTCCTCTCCCTGATCTGGTGGTAGTTTATCTAGAGAGGCCTGGACTCACTTGAAGAAACCCCCAGGCTAGGACAAAGGTGTCTCTGCTCCACTACATACATGTAACAGCACAGGATTGTCCTAGGGCGTTTCTGTGAGCTTGGGGTGCTGGGCTTCTGAGTTTGGGGTATATCTGAGAGGGAACGTCCATGGTGAGCTGGGGTGTTGCTTGAGTTGAGTTGCATCTGTGTGCCCGGGCGTCGTGAATCAAGGGTTTGTATGGCTTGGTGTGTTTGTGCTTTAGGGCTTACGATTCAGAGTGTGTGTTTGAGTTGGGGTGTAGGCTGGATGTTTATGTGTGGTGGGGTTTACATCTTCGAATTGGCCGTGTCTGAGGTATGCCATATGCCTCTGAGTAGGGGGTGTATCTTTGTGAGCTAAAGATTCTAAGTTTTGAAGTGTCCATCTGAATGGGTAGTGTCTGCGAGTTGGGGTGACCGTGAACTGGTGCGTCTGGTTTGTTGGGGTGTATGTCAGAATCGAGGTGTGTTACGTGACTTCAGATCTATATATGGGTGGGGTATCTGCGGGTGAGCTGGATGAGGCCAGGGCTGTTCCTTCCCTGCCTCCGTCCTCCCTCGAGGCCCCTCTTGGCTCAGTGGAAAAGGGCTGCAGGGAAGCGGTCCGACCTCTCCCCTCCCACCACCCCAACCCAGACCAGCCAGAAGGGAGTTCCAGACCCTGCCGGGTCCGCCCAGCGTCACAGCCCCAGGCCTAGCGGTGCTCTCAGCCTCCCTGGAGCTGCCACCCACGCTGGCCTCCCCAGGCTCCTCCCCGTGGCCGCGCGGGGAGGGCCCCCTTCGCGATCGGGCGCCTCCATTTCATGCGGTCCCCGCCCCCAGCCCTCGCCCTCCCTTTCCCGTCGGCGCCCCCCTCCCGCTCTAGCCAAGCCGCAGAGCAGACAGCGCCGCCGCCGCCGCCGCGCACTCCGTGCGTCCGTGAGAGCCGGGCCGGCTCGGGCCGGGCCGCGCCGCTCGCGCTGGCTGTCGGGGGAGCGGTCCGCGGGCCGTCCGGGCGGCCCGGGGGCCGAGGGCGGACGGGGGCATGGCCGGGGGCCGCGGCGCGCCGGCCGGGCCAGCATGATCGGCGTCAACAGCATCCACAGCAGCGCCGGGCGGCTGCGCTCGCGCTCGCTGTGCTCCGTGCGCTACGGGCGCACCCACCGCGGCGCGGAGACCCTGTGCTACGGCTGGCCGCAGCGCTCGCGCAGCCTCAAGCCCGTGCTCTACACCGACCTGGTGGTCAGCCGCCTGCAGAGCCGCAAGAAGAAAAAGGCGGTGAGGGCGTTGGGGCCGCGGCCCACGCCAGGTTGCGGGGCGACCGAGGGGGCGGCTTGTGGGAGGCACCGAGGGCGGTGCCAACCGAGGGCGGAGCCTGGTAGGGACAGAGGTCATGGGCAGCCAGAGGCGGGCACGGGCTGGGGGGGCAGGGAGGGCACAGACCCTGGGGCCAAGGTGGGCCTCAAAAACCGAAGAGGCTTTTCTAGATTGAATATGACTTGCGGCCCACCGATGGGGTTCAGGGCCCTCGAATGAGGTGTGATGGTGGGCCGAAGGGGGTCCTGAGACAGGGCAGGGGATGAACTAGAAGGCGGGAGGCAAGGATTGCAGGTTGGATCTTGGTGGCCACTTCCGCTTTCTGGCCAGAGAGTTGCGGAGTGAGGGTTAAGGGTCTGAGCCATGCTGGGTTTCGTCTGGGTGTGTGCTGGAAGGTCTATGTGTTGATTTGCCTTGGTTGTGCTGGGGGCGGTGGAGTGGGGGTTGGAGGCTGTGGGGTACACCCATCCCCAGATAGGGTGTGAACAGTGTGTGCCCAGTTGGGATGCCTGGTTTGCCTTGTGGCTGGGCATGGCTGTGGGCAGTGAGAGAGTCAGAGACTGTGGTTTGTTGGGAGGAGTGAAGGGGAGGCTGTGTCCCATCACAGGGAAGGTGCCTACGTCACCACTGCACCCAGCTCACATGCAGGCAGCATCACACGCCACACACTTAGCCCAACATGCACATGCTGGGGACACACCCACTCACGGACAGGCTGACGGAAGTACCCCACAGTTGGAGGTGCTGGCGTGGACCCATATTCCAGACCACTCTGGAGAAGAGGGGACCCCATGCCACTCCTGGAGCCTATTCTCTCTTCTGACCACCCCAGGACCCCCAAATGTCCCCAGGCCAACTGCACAGAGGGGAAGTGGCTGGTTCACATCGCACAGAGTTTGGGCTATGCAGGGATTGGAAGCTAAAACCACTGCTTTTTAGAGGAGTGTTCACTCTCCAGTGACAAAGTGTGCACGTGGGCAGGGCGTTGGACCACCCTGGCATTTGGCTTGGTGGGGCTGTCAGGGTTAGGGGGAGGCCTCAGCTTGTCTTGGTGTTGGGAGCCATGATAGTGTATTCTCTATTAGGGAAGGAAAGTGCTGAGAGGGCGAGTCCCCTATCCTGGGGTCGCAGTTTCCCCATATGCTATGTGTGGGCTCATCCTGTGGAAACAGGCCAGAGCGCGTGGTTGGGGGAAGGGGAATTTCTTGGGCTGCTTTTCCCGTTCCCTCCAGGGCTGTGCTTCTCCAGCCCAGGATCTGAGCAGGACAGCCCCTTAACAACAATAAAGATAATAATAGCAACAACCATTTACTGTGCGTCAGCCTTGTGCTGGGATGCCCTGTGCTAACTGCCTGTGCCCACATGTTACTACGTTTGTTCCTCTCCATGGATACTTGCCCGAAGTCATGCAGCTCAGGTGGTGGAGCCGGGTCTGGGTCTCCATTCTGGAGCCTGTATTTTTGGTCATTATATCTTGCTGCCCTTTCCCCTTAGTTCTGGCTCATCTCTCAAGTTAGAGGGGAAGGCTCTAAGCTCTGACACTGCGGTACTGACCCACAACCCCCTAATTTGTTCCCCCCACCCCCCAGGCCTTGTACAGCTCCATCAAGAATGAGAAGCTGCAGTGGGCCATGTGAGTCCCGGGGCTGCGTGGTGGGGCTAGGATGGGGCATGGGGAAGGGGCTGCCTGGGGAGGCTGAGAGAGCTGGGGTAGGCCCTGGGTGGGGGTAGGGGAGGGGAGTGAGAGGCCATGAGAGGCAGTGAGGCTGCCTCACTTCCTTCTTTGGAGATGTCTGCCTGGATTTGGGGTTCTGTATCTTGTCTCTAGCTGGGTTGTTATGACAAGTGGGTTGGGGTGGGAGGAGAGGTGCTGAAACATCAAAGGGAGGTCCCCTGGCAACCTGAGTGGGAAAGCAGAAGCCTCTGGAAGCAGGGCCTTGACCAGCAGCACAAGAGGCCCTCACAGGTCCTAGGGAGCCCAGATGTCACAGAACAAAACAAGTAACCATGCTGTCTGTTCTTGGAAGGCTCCAATAGAAACATAGATACTCGGCCAGGCGAGGTGGCTCACGCCTGTAATCCCAGCACTTTGGGAGGCCAAGGCGGGCAGATCACGAGGTCAGGAGATCAAGACCATCCTGGCTAAAACGGTGAAACCGTCTCCACTAAAAACACAAAAAATTAGCCGGGCGTGGTGGCACGCACCTGTAGTCTCAGCTACTCAGGAGGCTGAGGCAGGAGAATGCTGTGAACCCGAGAGGTGGAGCTTGCAGTGAGCCGAGATCCCGCCACTGCACTCCAGCCTGGGTGACAGAGAGAGACTCCGTCTCAAAAAAAAAAAAAAAAAGAAAAAAGAAACACAGAGACTCATAAGTAAGTCTTGGAAGAGTCTAGTCTTCTAGTCTGAGGGAAGAAATCCAGTTTGGGCCTTGGGGTCCCCAGTCTGAGGGTAGAGGCCTTATCTTCACAGTTCATAGATCATTCAAATTTGCCGTTATCCACTGAGACTCCCTCACTGTCCAGTTAGCTGGGAGTTCCCAGTCATTGGAGATCTCAGGGGAGGTGCAGCTCAGGATTAGGGTGCAGGGGGAGATCAGGGAAGGCTTTTGGAGGGTTGAGACTGGGGCCATGAAGTTGGGGCAACATTTGGGAAGAGGAAAGGGGAAGCTGGAATTTGGGAGGCAAAGGTGTGGTGGCTGAAATGAGTATGGGGTGGGGGACCAAGGGAGGCAGGCCTAGCTGGGACGGAGAAAAACACTGTTGGGGGAGATGCAGTGTAGGCTCCATATGGGAAGTAACAGGGAACTACCACAGGTTCTTGAGCAAGGGAGTGACAAGATAGAATCCGAAATTTTGTATCTGACTGAGCCTGTAGACCAGGATGTATGGGGTTGGGGTGGGGGCGGCACTAGGAAACTACTTCTTCCATCTGCTACCATTTAGCCCACAAACCGTGAGCAAAGCCTGGGGCTGGATGTGGTTGAGCCAGCGGAGGCAGGCCCGGGGCTGTCCTGGTGGAGAAGGGTGTGAGGGCTGCAGGTGTGCAGCAATGGAGAGGATAGTGCTGGCCCTACTTGCTGGGAGGAAGGGACAGTGGTGGCTCTAGGCTGGGGAGCTCTGAGGGAGGTGCCCTGCTCTGAGGAGGCACAGCTACACATTGTGGAGGCCTGATCTGAGACGGGAGACATGGCAGGACCCTCAGGTTGAGCCCCCCAAGCCACAAACACTGGGGGAGCTTTTCCAGGGCGAGCAGAGGCCAGAACTGAAGCGGGGGCCGCGGCTCCATGGCCAGCCCCCTCTGAGGTGATCACACCTGCAGAGACGAGGAGGAGCTGAGACGCTCTCTGTCTGAGTTGGCCGACCCCAACCCCAAGGTCATCAAGCGGATCAGCGGGGGCAGTGGCAGTGGCTCCAGCCCTTTCCTGGACCTGACTCCCGAGCCTGGGGCTGCCGTCTACAAGCACGGGGCCCTGGTGCGAAAGGTGCACGCAGACCCTGACTGCAGGAAGAGTATGTGGCCGAGTTGCGGGGGGCGGGCGTCTAGGGGATGGATGGGAGTGGGCCTGTTCCAGGGCCCCCTGACCTGTCTTCTCTCCCCGCAGCACCTCGGGGCAAGCGGGGCTGGAAGAGCTTCCACGGGATCCTCAAGGGCATGATCCTCTACCTGCAGAAGGTGCGGGGTCAGGCCAGGGGGCTGGGGCTGGGACTGAGTTGGCTGGTGGGTGTGGGGTGATGGGTGGGAATAGGAGGGGCTGGGCCAGGCTGCATTTGGGGCCAGGACAAGATGGACACCCCTGCAGGAGGAGTACAAGCCTGGGAAGGCCCTTTCAGAGACGGAGCTCAAGAATGCCATCAGCATCCACCATGCCCTGGCCACTCGTGCCAGTGACTACAGCAAGAGGCCCCACGTCTTCTACCTGCGCACAGCTGACTGGCGGGTCTTCCTCTTCCAGGCCCCGTGAGTGCCCTCCTCCTGCCCATCCCGGACCCCTTCCCCCACCTCCCATCCTGCTCCCCTCCCTGTCCCTGGATTTTTTCATTCCTTCTCAGGCCACACTTGAGCCAGGACTGGCATCCTGGGACAGAAACCCTGGGCCCAGGTCCCAAAGGGCTGTGCTTTCTCCCCAGGAGCCTGGAGCAGATGCAGTCCTGGATCACTCGCATCAATGTAGTAGCCGCTATGTTCTCTGCGCCCCCCTTCCCAGCTGCTGTTAGCTCCCAAAAGAAGTTCAGCCGCCCTCTCCTGCCCAGCGCTGCCACCCGCCTCTCCCAGGTAGCCCAAGCTCTGTCCACCTAGTGCCAGTGGGATGGAGGGTGTTAGGCTCAGGCCCACTGCACTCAAGGCTGCTGCGTGTGATCGTGGAGATGTCCCCTGCACCAGGATGCTGGCCACAGGGGTGAGCAGGGACTGAAATCCAGCCCCCACTGGGTCCCGCTTGCCGGCTGGGAACCCAAACATAGTGCTTTGTTTGTCCAAAGGAAGGGGCATCTTTTTTTTTTTTTTTTTTGAGATGGAGTCTCGCTCTGTTGCCCAGGTGGGAGTGCCGTGGCACGATCTCAGCTCACTGCAAGCTCTGCCTCCCGGGTTCACGCCGTTCTCCTGCCCCAGCCTCCTGAGTAGCTGGGACTACAGGCACCTGCCACCACGCCTGGCTAATTTTTTATATTTTTAGTAGAGACGGGGTTTCACCGTGTTAGCCAGGATGGTCTCGATCTCCTGACCTCGTGATCCGCCCGCCTTGGCCTCCCAAAGTGCTGGGATTACAGGCGTGAGCCACCGCGCCCGGCTGGAAGGGGTATCTTTTTAAAAATCTGCAGAGGCACTGTATAGGGCAGAGTGACCATGACCATGCCTCCCCCTGGCCGCTAGGAGGAGCAGGTGCGGACCCACGAGGCCAAGCTGAAGGCCATGGCAAGTGAGCTGCGGGAGCACCGGGCCGCCCAGCTGGGCAAGAAGGGCCGGGGCAAGGAGGCTGAAGAGCAGCGGCAGAAGGAGGCCTACCTGGAGTTTGAGGTGAGCCTCCCTGTCTGCCCCTCTGTCCACACACGCAGGCCCATACTAGGGTGAAGGGCATGAACTCTAACAGTGGAACCGGCCGGAGGTCCTTGGGCAGGTTGCTTAACCTAAGCCTCAGTTTCCTCCTCTGTGCAACAAGGATAACATTTGACATCCACTGGGGTCTCGAGGTGAGGCATGTCTCAAGCGTGCCATTTCCCCAGCTCTAGTAAAGGCTCAAGACACATTAGGTTATAGATGATGGTCCCAGGAGAGCCCAGAGGGGGCACCAGCCCGCATGGGACCATCTCACAGTCCTGGGTGGGCACCTGCCATCTTCTGCCCTGCTGGCGGCCCTCCCTGGTCCAGATGGTGGGGTGGGCAGAAGGCAGAGAAGAGGCTCTCACAGCCCCTGCCCCTCTGCCTCAGAAATCCCGCTACAGCACCTATGCAGCGCTGCTTCGGGTCAAGCTGAAGGCAGGCAGTGAGGAGCTGGATGCAGTGGAGGCAGCACTGGCCCAGGCCGGGAGCACAGAGGATGGACTCCCTCCTTCTCACTCCAGTCCCTCCCTGCAGCCCAAACCCTCCAGCCAGCCCCGGGCTCAGCGTCACAGCTCAGAGCCTCGGCCAGGGGCAGGCAGTGGGCGGCGGAAGCCCTGAGATGAGGTTTAGGGTGGGGAGTGCCTGCTGGGCACCTGAAGGATGACATGGCCCTGCCTGAGCCCGGGCCGGCCTCGGGCCACCCACGAGGGCCTCCCGGCCTAGGGCCCGACCGCGCCGGACGCGGTGTCCGGGGCAGGGCAGGGCTGGGGCCTGGGCCTCAGGAGCCTAGGCTAGGGGCACCTCCGAGAGCCCCTTTTTGTGATAATGTTTTGCACTTTTTCGTACAGGGTGGGCGGGGGCGGGAGGGGCTAGCGCCCCTGAACTTTTGATGCTTTTTTTTTGTGTGGGAGAGGCCTGATGCCGTTTCTGCTTTCTGCTGAGACCACCCCCACCCTGACACCATCAGTCCCCCTCTGTCCTGGGGCCTGGCTTGGACAGAGACCAGGATTTGGGGCTGAGCTGGTTTCCCCTCCTTCCTCCCCAAGGGCTTACTCTTTCTCTTGCTGGAGGTGGAGGAAGGGCGTCCATGCCAAGGCCCCATACCTGGGCCGGGGGCAGCACGGCCTGGCTTTCCCCCGCTTCAGTGGGCCTTGCCCTTTGTACAGCCTCCACCCCCATTAAAACTGCTCTGGACTTGCTGGCTGGGCCTCCTCCTTCTCTTCTCACCATGCCTGGCATGTGGGCAGGGTGGGTAGCTGGTTCCAGGGACAAGAGTCACATCAGGGGCTGCCATAAGTTGGGAAGGAGGGGTCCTCCCCTTCCCATGAGAATCCTTTATTTGTCCCAACTGAGGGGTGGGTGTGGGGTGTTAAATAAGATTTGAAATAGGTGGGGACGCTGTACAGGGGGTCCGGGAAGGGGGCTGGGGGCAGGCAGCAGGTCAGTGCACCTGAGGCTGGGGGTGCCCGTGGCAGAGCCCTCCTGGTGGCTCAGGGGGTGGGCCCAGCTTCTCTGCCTCCTGCTCCACTGACTGGCTCCCGTACGCACTGTCTTCCTTCACCTCTGCTGGGGGTAAATGGGGACAGGAATGGGATAGTCAAAGCCTCAGGCCTCCGGCCCTCCAGGTCCAGATCCACCTTCCAGGGAGGCCCCTTTACCTGTGCTGGGCAGCTTGTCTCGGGTTTCTGGACCCCTCAGCAGCCTCACTCCCTCCTCTAGGCCCATGTCAGACAGGGCCTCCAGTAGACCTGCCAGGTCCCCGCCAGCCAGCTGAGAAGACAGAGGAATGAGGTCTGAGTCATGGTTAGGGCATGTGCTCGGGAGCCCTGGGGCCAAGGAGGCACCTGGACTCAGATCGGGAAAGGAGGCTGGGGAGGGGGCAGGGCACAGGCCAACCCACCTCGTAGCTGCGCAGGAGGCTGCCACTGGGTGAGGTTGTCTGTCGGTACGTGTCTACCAGGCTGCGCAGCCCCAGACGCTCTGCCAGCTCTGCCCAGCTGCCCTGGGCTTCTGGCCCGTCTAGCAGCTGCTCCAGGTTCTGCAGAGCTGTATCACCAAGTGACAGTCCCGGCCCTTAGGGGGACACACATACAGACATGTCATTTACCTCCAGAGTTGGGTGGGGACATGGACACCTGAACACTGCCTTTCTCCCAAGGTAAGCGACAGACAGGACCATGAGGGGTGATGGACGGGGCTGAGGGTAGAGAAAGGGAGGCCTCCTTCAGAGGTCCTGAAGGAGAAGAGACCTCTGTGAGGAGTCAGAGGAGTCGGGCTGGGGATGCCTGATGCTTCTCACCTGCTGGGCTGGGCGGGGTCAGGGGTGGCTCCATGGTGTTCTGAGCAGCATTTAGCAGCAAGGTCTTCACCTGGGGAGACAGCCGCAGTTCTGACTACCTCCCACCTCGTCCTTAAGCCTGTGTCTTTAAGTCCAGATACTCTGGACCCCGTCACTCAGAGCACTTCTAGTCCCGGGCTGGCCTCACCTTGGTGCTGCAAGTGAGGTCAAGAGGCGTGTGGCCCCGGAAGCTGCTTCGGGTGTCCTTCTCAGGCCCTTCAGAGTCCGAGTCGCTATCAGAGGTAGGGGGTGAAGGCAGTGGGCACAGGGGCTCCTCGTTTTCAGCATGGATGTCAGCACCTGGGAGAGGGAGGCCGTCATGGGGCGGTATGGTGGGGGCCTACATTAAGGACTGCAAAGTCGGGGGACTGGGAGGCACCTCTCTCCCTTCCCCCCACCCTGTTCAAGTGCCCCTGAGGGTGAGACTGACCAGCCTTCAGAAGGAGGCGGGTGAGGGTCGGGTACCCCAGTCCAGCTGCCAGGTGCAGGGGTGTGTTTCCCGCAAAGGTGCGAGCGTTCACGTTGGCCCGGAGCTGGGGGTGCGAGCAGCGAGAGTTGACACCACAGCATGGTCCCCTTGGCCAGCCCCCCCCTTCACCATCTTTGGCCCCTCCACCACCCTTGGCCCCACTCCTTCCACAATCCTCAGTCCCACCTTGGTGACCAGATGGGTGACCAACCCCAGCTCCTCCATCTCTGTGGCTAGATGCAAGGCTGTTCGTCCCCCCTGCCGCTCTGTGGCCTCCACTTCAGCCCCACTGTCCACCAGCAGATCCAGGCACTCAGGGCTTCGGGCTCGGACTGCCAGGTGTACTGGATACAGTCCTAAGGATGCAGGATGCTCAACCTGCAGCTGTGACCCTTAAGGCAGCCCCTGGACCAGCCCTGACCATTCAATCTCGACACCTCATAGTCCATTCTGGGCACTGGCCAGATACCCTCCCTGGTCCCCGCCTGCCCCCTTAGTCAGGTGAGATGGGGAGCTCACCCTCAAAGTCAGGCATATGCAACAGCTGGGGCACAGCAGGAGCTCCACTCTGAAGCAGTGCACGCAGCAGCTCAGGAGCACCAGCGCCTGCCCGCAGCGCCAGATGCATGGCTGAGTCTCCATGCCGATCCAGCAGAGCTGGGTCTGCACCTACCCGCAGCAGAAAGCTCACCACACTCGTCTGCCCCGTGATCACCGCCAGGTGCAGGGGCGTCTGGGGATGAAAGCAGGGTGAGCCAGGCCCGAGACCCACTTGCCTTCCAACCCCTCCCACCTCCCCAGTAGGCGCCCCCGCACCTGGTGCAGGTGGTTGGTGAGGTTGACAACGCCGAGGTCCTGGGCGTGGTGGATGACATAGACTATCTGCTCAATGACACTGGTCTGCCCGTGGATGATGGCTAGGTGCAGTGGTCTGGGGGTTGGGGAGCGAGAGTCTGGCCCAGCCACTCAGAGCATCCTTCGCTTTCAAGGCCCCACCGCCCTCATAGTCTCCCTCGCTGGGGCCCATGGAACCCAGCACGTGGCCCAGGGCATCGCTGTGCCTGCACTTAACGTTTCGCAGCACCTTTTGAGGTAGGTAAGTGCTATGACTGTACCCCTTGCACGGTCGACCAAACTGAAGTTTGGAGAGACCAAGCAGCTTGAACAGAGCTTGTGAACACCGAGGCCGGACTTGAAGCCTGGCGTGTCCGAAAACTGCAGAGCCCGCCTCCGTGCCGGTCCCTTTCCTGCCCCCACCCCGCGCCTCGTCCGCCAGGCCCTCTGTTGCCTACGTGTCTCCGTTCTCGTCCTGCGCCGTCAGCAGGTGGCGCTGTCCCGCCAGCAGCGCGCGCGCGTCCGCGGTGACGCCGTAGTCGAGTAGGGCTCGGGCGCTGCGCTGCGCCAGGCCGAACAGGCGCGCGTTGTACTCTCGAGCTACGGGCCACAGAGGGCGTGGGTCAGGGCTAGGTCCTCAGCCCCGGCGCCCCGACCGCCCGTGCCCCGGAGTCCATACCTCGCTGCAGCATCTCCGGGGCCTGCGGCTCGCACTGGGGGGTCCTGGAGGGGGCGCTTGGCTCCGCGGCTTCCTCCCCGGAGTCCCTGCTGGGCACCGTGGCGGCCATCTGCGCCCCGCCCCCGCCTCCCGGGTAGCAGCCCATGGGGCCCGCGCCGGACTGGTAGGGGCTGTAGGCCAGGGAGGAGGGGAAGAAACCGAGGCTGCCACCTGTGGATACAGGCAGGGCTGTGGGAAGCGGGCACCAGCCATGACTCTCCCAGATTTTTTTTTTTTTTTTTTGAGACGGAGTTTCGCTCTTATTGCCCAGCCTGGAGTGCAGTGGTGTGATCTCAGCTTACTGCAACCTCTTGTCTCCCAGGGTTCAAGCGATTCTCCTGCCTCAGCCTCCCGAGTAGCTGGGATTACAGGCGCCTGCCACCATGCCCAGCTAATGTTTGTATTTTTAGTAGAGACGAGGTTTCACGCTGTTGGCCAAGCTGGTCTTGAACTCCTGATCTCAGGTAATCTGCCTGCCTTGGCCTCCCAAAGGGCTGGATTACAGGCGTGAGCCACCACGCCCGGCCTCCCCCAGATTTTTTTCCTCCACAGCTTCTCTTACCTTTACCCCTCCCTCCATCAGTACCCCCTCACCTCCTCCAGCTCCTCCGTAGCCCCCGGCTGCACCCCCAGAGCCTCCACCCATGTGGGAGCCACCCCCGAAGGGCTGGGAGAAGGTGGGCAAGGCCTTCCTCCGCTTCCGCTGCACCTCTTCCTTGTCTGGGGGCAGAGGAAAATGAGATTGAGCCCAGTTATTGTGTCATGCCTCAGGGGCCCTTCCCAGAAGAGCCCTCAGGGCCGGCTCCTAGGAAGCACCTCCTGGGACCCTCGCACTTCTGACTTGGCTCATGCATCCCCACATCTAGCTCTTGGGACCTTCTTCTAGCCCAGCCTGGCCCCCCGCCAGCACCCTGAGGTCCTCAGCCCAGCTCCACCTTCCACCAGAGGGTAATAGGTGAACTGTTTGGAATCAGACACGTCCCCTCCTCGCTTGCGTTTCAGTTGCAGAAACACTGTTACAGGCCGCTCAATCTTCATCTTGTGATAGGGGGGTGTCCGGAACACAATGGCATACTGGGGGGTGCAGGGAGACACAGGGTGTCAGTGAGTCCTTAGCCTAATTTAGCCCCCAGCCCGGGCCCGGGCCCTAGCCCTGGGTACCTGTTTATGCACATCTGTGGGAGAGAAGTCCCCAAAGGCCTGCCATCCATTCTCATCATCCTCATAGAACCGAACCTCAATGTCATCTACAAGGAAAACGGAAGCTTGGCCACAGCTCCCGGTGGAATCTCTGGGGCCATTTACCCTAGAGCTTCCCTGGCCCCAGTCTTATACTCGATGTCCTTGGTGCCCAAAGTGGGCTCCAGTCTCACCTTTCTGCACCTTGTCACAAAGCAGATAAACTTCATCTCCACCCCGCACAGAGCCTGCTGTCTTGTCCATTCGAGAAATCTTCAGGTTTGATGCCCCCGGAGATTCTATGGAGTGGGATATGGATTAGTTGAGATGATGCAATAGCCAAGGCCACATTTAAGAAGCTGGGGGCTTTGTATTCCTTATCTCAGCAACCCCTGGAGCTGCAGGAAACACCCAATATACACATTTACTAAAGACAGAAGCTTCGGGGGGGAAATGACTTGCTCAGGATCACTCAGCTCATATGTGGCAGGGCCAGGTTCTGAAACCTGGGTCTGTTTGACTGCACAGCTTGAGGTCACCCCTCATGCCACCTCTGCCACCAGGCCTGGCACCCCAGGCAATCAGGATACTCACTGCTGTCATGGATGGGCTGGGAGATGACTGGCTTCAGGGGCAGGGAGAAGGAGCCATCACTGGCTCTAAGGAAGGCAGAGAAGCGCAGCCGCACTATACTCAGATCCATCACCTTCTTCAGTTCTTTGGCCTCTTGCTCCAGCTCCCGCTGCTCGGCCTCTGGGCAGTAGGTACATGTGTGACCCCTGGGCTTCTCCCTCCCTGCTCCTTCCATGAGCACCTCCCATGACCCACCCACCCCCTGCACCCATACCCGACCCACCCCCTGCACCCATACCCGTAAGGCCCTGGGGCCTAGAGCGGAGCCGCTGCCTCTGAAGTTTTTGTATCATAGTCCCCATCATGTTCTTCTTAGTCACATGCAGGACACCCAGGTTGTTAAATCTGAGAAGAGAGAATCGGAGGCCTTTGGCCATGCAGTTCTTTCTTCCTGAGGCACCTTTCCCATTGCCAGGGCTCAGCTCAGCCTTACTTCCTCAAGGAAGCCATTGGAGTTTCTACTTAGGCCCTTGGGTTTGGGGCCAACCTACATCTTTCCCCTTGGTCAGATGCTAAGCTCATGGAGGTGGGCTGGGGCCTGGGACTGGCAGACGGGCATACCAGTGGGGGCCAGGCGTAGAGGGCACCTACTGGGCAGTCATGTCCTTGGGCCCCACAGAAACGGCGCAGATCCCCAGCTCCGAGCATTGCTTGCCCACCAGACTGTGGGCATGAGCACGAGGTGGGTCACTGTGTGTTACCAGGTCCACCTCGATCTTGGCTGGTCCCTCGTAGTTACAGATCTAGGAGAGGCAGGGACTGTCAGTCAGGGCCTTGGGCATGCTGTCCACTTAGCCCACCCTCCAGCACCATCCTGGCTCACCTTGACAGTGGGATAGGTCTTTCGGCCCTTCTCACTGGAGGCACCGGGCAGTCCTCCATGGGAGGGGCCTTCACAGCCATATCGAAATCGGAAGCCTCTCTGAAGGTCCAAGGGCATAGTAGCATTGTGATCAGGGAAGACCACCCAGGCCAGCAGTGACCGCAGTGCCTGGTAGTAGCCCTGAACCAAACTACAGCACTCTGATCAGCAGCAGTGACCATCCAATCCCCTGTGGCCTCCTTCGGCAATGGCTCCTCCATGGCCAGCCAGCTACCACTACCCCATTTGTCCCCAAAGCTGAAGCCATTCCACACCCTCCCTTTTGCTCACTCACCTGCTTAGGCTGTTCCACGATCACCAGGTAGGGGCCATCAGCTGGGGACAGAGAGACCTTGCTGAGCCACGATCTCCCAGCCCCTCCCCCAGAGAGAGGGCACATGCTCTCCCTCCCCCGCTTTAGGACTAGGGGAGGTTAGTGAACTTGCTGACCTGTTTCTGGGGCTGGCTCCTTGGGTTCCACAATGGAGGAGTTCAATTTGAAATCATCATATTCAATAATACCATCCAGACCCTGGTTTGGAGACAGACTGGGGGTGGCATCCGACTCTCAGCACCCCCCACAGCCCCACCTCCCATCTCCAAGTCTTCAGTGGTCACTCCCCCCTCCTCCTCAGACCCAAGAGAAAGCTCCTTTTGGAGGCAGAGTTGCAGACAGATGGACAGACTGGCAGGCTGAGAGCATCTGCGAGCATACAGGTGTAAGGCAGCAGAGGGGGCTCGGGCAGACAGGTGGACAGACACGAGGGGCAGCCGGCCGGGTCAGGGGCAGGCGGCATGACTCACTGGGTTGTAGCAACTCTCCATGTCTCTGGGCTAGGCCCGGCTCTGTCTAGTGGCTCCGGCCAGGTTCTGCTTCCCAGAATTTTAGACGCCCGCCTAAAGTTGGGAGGAGTGGCGTGGGGGAGGGGGTCAGATCTAAATGGGGGTGGGCGGGAGATGGGGGCCCAGATTTGGGGGAGGGTCCGACCTCCTCCAGCCGCCTGTCCGGGTGTGGCGGGTGAGATCCGGTGGAGAGCGAGATCCGGAGTTGGGCTTGGCCGGGGAAGGGGCAGGAAAGTTAGAGCAGCTTAGGAAAGTCCCGAAAATACCAAGGGGAGGCGGGGCCGGAGGGGGCGGGCCTGGAAATGACGCCACTGGCCCCGCCCTCGCGACGGGAGGGGCGGGAGGCCCTCGACAGTCTACGGGCTCCCGCTGCTTTTCAGCGGGCAGAGGTCTAGGAGAATCCGGGAAGCCCCGGTGGGGGTTAAGCCCCCTCCTCCCTCCAGGGCAGGGAACAGGAGGGTCTTTCACGGCCGGGAGGAGGCTGGCAGTCTGGGGCCAAGTCCGCCTCCCGCTCCCCTCCCCCGGTCTGGAGCAACCTTGGGATTTTCTGCCAGGAGGGAGGCCACGGCTGATAAACCCCGGGGGCTTTTGGGGGGACATTCCTGCTGTCGGACGGCCTCCCCTTCGAACAGCCTGTAGGCGGGGGCTCTTTCCTGTGGGAGGCCCCGGGGTTCTGCCCCGAGAACGCGATTCTGGGGCTGCGGGAAAAGTGTCTCCTCCTCGGAGTGGGCTCTTTTCTCTCTCTCCCAAACCTCACAACAGCAGCTGGTCCCACACCGCACCGGTTCTGGGCGCGCAGGCGACAGGGAGATCTCTGCACGCTCCCCCCCCCCCCCCCCCACCTAATACAAGAGTGTGTCTCCATCACAGCTCCACAAGTGTGTTTCGGCTGTAGTGCTTGGTTGCATGTTGTGTGTCCATGGCGTCAACATGAGTGTGCAAGCGAGCATGTGTGTAGATAGGTGAATCCCGAGCTTCTCAGTGTGGGTGTGTGTCAGCGCCTGTCTTGATGTACGGACACGGGTGAGCGTATCTTGAGTTTGTGCGTGAAGGGTGTGGGTGCAGGCACCAGTGCACCGGTGGGCACGTCTCCGTGTGCATGTGTGTGCGAGTGCGACTGCACGGACGCTGCCGTGTGTGCGCCAGCACAGGTACAGGTGTACGTACGGGTCCGCGTATCTTTGTACAACGGTGTCGACGTGGATCCGAGTGTCGTCGCCTGCGCGCCCTTTCCGGCTGTGTGCAGCTGCTGCTCTCCAGCCCCAGGCGCTGTCCGCTAAAGGCCCTCCTCCCTCTTTTCTCTTGTCCCGGCCACCCAGGGGTCTGAATCCAGCCACTCACCGTGGCGGCGGCTCTGGTTGCGGCTTCTCTCCGCGCCCGACCCACCTGGGACCGGTCGCGACACCTCGCCTGCCAGCAGGGCTCAGGGCCGGGAAAGCCCCTTCTCGGCCCCCCGGAGGGGGGAATTCCCATGACGTTTCCGTGCGTCACGCCTCGCGCCCTTTTTCATTGGCTGAAAGTTTAACTCTGGACTGGCGCAGCCAACCCGGAGCGACTCGGGCGCGCCCCTGAGAGGGGACAGGCTCACTCAGGGCGGGGAGCGGGGTGACAGGACACCAGGCGCGAGTTCGGCCGGCCAGGGGACCGCCGAGAAGGTACCCGCTGACCCAGCGCCACCCCGGGCCGGGAGCTTCCGCTGCCTCTCGGCTTTGGCTGCGCCTAACGCTTGGCTTTCTCTGAAGCGGGGGATCCCCAGGGGGAAGCCGACGGCCCCAGCCCTCGGGGCCCCCACCCTGAGCGGCGCGCTGCCGGGAAGTTAGCGGAAGAGGAAGGAAGTTATTCTTGCGGTCGGTCCCGGGCGCCCTCTGGCGGCCTCCCTGGGCCCGCGAGTAGACTCCATTCGGCCCCGGCCCCTCTCTCGCTCCGTCTCATCAGCCTCAAGGCTCCGGGAGAGACAGTCCGGACCTCGAACTTTTTTAGAAGTGACAGGTTCCCAGCGGGCCAGGGCTCAGGAGCTCTGCTCAGGAGAAGGGAAATGAAGTGTTTATCCACCAAGGAGATCTGGAATATTAGAACTGAAAAAGGCATCCAGAGTTTAAACAGCTCAAATTTCCACCGATGTGGGAAATCGCCTCTTTTTTTTAGTCTCAGGCTGGAATGCAGTGAGGGGATTTTGGCTCACTGCAACCTCTGCCTCCCGGGTTCAAACCATTCTCCTGCTGCAGCCTACCGAGTAGCTGGGATTACAGGCGGCCACCACCACGCCCGCCTAATTTATGTATTTTTAGTAGAGTTGGGGGTTTCACCACGTTGGTCAGGCTGGTCCCGAACTCCTGACCTCAGGTGATCCGCTGGCCTCCGCCTTCTAAAATGTTGGAATTACAGTCGTGAGCCACTGCGCACGGCCTATTTATTTATTTATTTATTTATTTATGTTTTTGAGACAGTGTCTTGCTCTGTCACCCAGGCTGGAGTACAGTGGCGTGATCATGGCTCACTGCAACCTCGAACTCCGGGGTGCGCCGATTCTCTGACTCTCCTGAGTAGCTGGGGCTACAGGTGCACACCACCATACCTGGCAAATTTTAAAATTTTTAGTGGAGATGGATCTCACTGCGTTGCCTAGGCTGGTCTTAAACTCCTGGGCTTAAGTGATCCTCCTACTTTGGCCTTCCAAAATGCTTGGATTTTGGATTACAGACGTGAGCCACTGTATGCTGCCGAATTGCCTCTTATAGACCTTCCAATTTCCACCTGAACACTTCTAGAGGCAGCGAGGTCAGGACAGAAATTCACCAAGCACGGAGTACATGACTGGACCTCTCTCTGGTCAGTAGCGTTTCTCCTTAGCAGGTGCCATGAGTAATCTCCCTGCCTGGAGTCCTCCTCCCTTAGGCTTATGGTAGAACATAAACTATCTCGGGTCTTTCCTGCAGCTTGCCCCAGACGTTTTTAAGAACAGAATCACAGGCCTGCACTGGCACTAAGTAAAGAGAGACTATTATGGCTCTCGATTTGGGCTGTTTCCTATTACTTCCCCACCCCTCTTCATCTTGCCTGCAAATATAGTGTCCTAGTTGCTAGGTTCGGGTACTTTAGAAGTTCTTATTCTCCCTCCCAACAACCCTAGGAGGTGAATATTACTTTTACTGATGAAGAAATTAAGGCTCAGAGAGGTGGAGTAACAACCAAACACACAGCTAGAAAGGGACAGAGCCAGGATTCAAACCCAATCTGTTGACTCCAGGATGAAGCTTTCTCCCCTAAGTTTATATAAAACAAAGCAGCCCTTTCCACCTTACTGTGGGCCTCTCAAACAAATATCATAAGATTCTGCCAAACAATTTGCTGAAATCCAGATATGTTGTCTACTACGTTTCTCTGGTAAGTCAGATTCCTAACCTTAAATTAAAATGGACTAAGGCCGGGCATGGTGACTCACACCTGTAATTTCAGCACTTCAGGAAGCCAAGGCTGGTGGATCACTTGAGCCCAGGAGTTCGAGACCAGCCTTGGCAACATGGTGAAACCCCGTCTCAAAAAATTGAAGGGGTGGGTTGCCCCTCCACACCTGTGGGTGTTTCTCGTGAGGTGGAATGAGAGACTTGGAAAAGAAAAAGACACAGAGACAAAGTATAGAGAAAGGACTCGAGGAACCAGCATTCAGCATATGGAGGATCCCGCCAGCCTCTGAGTTCCCTTAGTATTTATTGATCATTCATGGGTGTTTCTCTGAGAGGGGGATGTGTCATGGTCACAAGACAATAGTGGGGAGAGGGTCAGCAGACAAACAAAGGTCTTTGCATCATAGACAAGGTAAAGGATTAAGTGCTGTGCTTTTAGATATGTATACACATAAACATCTCAATGCTTTACAAAGCAGTATTGCTGCCTGCATGTCCCACCTCCAGCCCTAAGGCGGTTTTTCCCTATCTCAGTAGATGGAACGTACAATCGGGTTTTATACCGAGACATTCCATTGCCCAGGGACGGGCAGGAGACAGATGCCTTCCTCTTGTCTCAACTGCAAGAGGCATTCCTTCCTCTTATACTAATCCTCCTCAGCACAGACCCTTTACGGGTGTCGGGCTGGGGGACGGTCAGGTCTTTCCCTTCCCACGAGGCCATATTTCAGACTATCACATGGGGAGAAACCTTGGACAATACCTGGCTTTCCTAGACAGAGGTCCCTGCGGCCTTCCGCAGTGTTTGTGTCCCTGGGTACTTGAGATTAGGGAGTGGTGATGACTCTTAACGAGCATGCTGCCTTCAAGCATCTGTTTAACAAAGCACACCTTGCACAACCCTTAATCCATTTAACCCTGAGTTTGACACAGCACATGTTTCAGAGAGCACGGGGTTGGGGGTAAGGTCATAGATTAACAGAATCTCAAGGCAGAAGAATTTTTCTTAGTACAGAACAAAATGGAGTCTCCTATGTCTACTTCTTTCTATACAGACACAGTAACAATCTGATCTCTCTTGCTTTTCCCCACAAAAATACAAAAATTAGCCTGTCTCATAACTAGGTCTCTAAATAAATAAATTAAAAATTAAAAATTAAATGTATAATGGAGTAAATTCATCTTGGTATACTCTAGCTTAGTAAACCCGTGCTGGTTACCACTGATCACATCTATCCTTTCAAAGTGCTCATAAATTGCCACCAAAATCAGCACGGATTCTTTGAGTCTCCACAACATCTCTAAAAGCACCCCTAAGGGTTGAGCTATTTTAGTTACAACAGTCTAAGGCGTAATTTATCTAAAGATGAACAAAACAAGACCTTTATTAGAGAACATTTCAAACATACAAAGATTTTCACTTTGGGAGGCTGAGGCAGGCAGATCACTTGACCTCAGGAGTTTGAGAACAGCCTGGGCAACATAGGGAGACCTCATGTCTACTTAAGTTAGCCACATGTGATGGTGAGTGCCTGTAGTCCCAGCTACTCGGAAGGCTAAGGTGGGAGGATTGCTTGAGCCCAGGAAGTTGAGGCTGCTGTGAGCCATGTTCGTGCCACTGCATTCCATCCAGCCTAGGTGACAGACAGACGCTGTCTCAAAAAAAGAAGAGTGGAGAGAATAGTATAATGAGCCCTCGTGTGCCCCTCTGTCAGATTCAACAATTCCTAATGCATGTTAGCCTGGAGATTTAAACTAACTCAAAATAGCTTGTCACTTGCTAGAGCCTCATCTATCTGGGCTTAAGAAACCTCTTTGTTAGGCTGGGCACAGTGACTCATACCTGTAATCCCAGCACTTTGGGAGGCTAAGGCGGGTGGATCACTTGAGGTCAGGAGTTCGAGACCAGCCTGGCCAACATGGTGAAACCCTGTCCCTACTAAAAGTACAAAAATTAGCAGGGTGTGGTGGTGGGCGCCTGTAGTCCCAGCTACTAGGGAGGCTGAGGCAGGAGAATCGTTTGAATCTGGGAGGTGGAGGTTGCAGTGAGCCGAGATCATGCCACTGCACTTCAGCCTGGAAAACAAAGTGAGACTCCATCTCAAAACAAAGAAGAAAGAAAGAAAGAAAGAAAGTTCTTCATTGCATGTTACACTAATTTTCATCCTAATCGTCATCTGTTTCCGCACCCAGCTCTAGCACAATGCCTAGCCCAGAGCAGATGCACCACTAATTTATTCCATTCATTTACCGATAAATAGTGAGAGCCCACTCCATTAAACAACACCGCTGCTTGCAGGCAAAACTCAAACAGATATATATCAGTTGGTAATAAGTGCTACAAAGAAAAATTAAGTAGGTAAAGGATTGAGAGTGACAAGGATTTTCTAGGTATCAGTCAAAGCAGGACTCTCTGATAAGGTAACAATTAAACAGTGACTTGAAAAAGTGAGGGAGTGAGTCATGGGGAATATCTGGAGGAAGAGTGTTCCAGGTGGAGGGAACAGTAGGGCCAAGCTCTGATACAAGTGTTTGGCATATTTGAGGAACAGCAAGAAAGTTAGTAGGTGGAATAAAGTAATAACTTTGGGTTTTGTTCTGATCAAGATGGAAAGCCGTTAGAGAGTTCTGAGCAGTGGAGTGAAAATTGTATAATGTATCCTTTTTTTTTTTTTTTTTTTTGAGAGAGGCTCTCATTCTGTTACTCAGGGTGGTGTGCAGTGGCGTGATCATAGCTCACTGCGGCCTCAAACTCTTGGGCTCAAGCAATCCTCCCACCTTAGCCTCCTGAGTAGCTAGGACTACAGGCACATGCCACCATGTGCAGCTAATTTTTGCATTTTTTTGTAGAGATGGGTTTCACCATGTTGCTCAGGCTGGTATCCAACTCCTGCGCTCAAGTGACCTGCCCACATTGACCTCTCAAGGTGTTGGGATTATGGGTGTGAGCCACCATGCCCAGCCTAAATTTTTATTTTTTAGTTTTTTTTTTTTTTTTTTAGAGACAAGGTCTTGCTGTGTTGTCCAGGCTGGGGTATAATGTGTCTTAAAAGGATCCATTTGGGCTGCATGCCTGTAATCCCAGCACTTTGAAAGGCCGAGGCAGGAGGATTGCTTGAGCCCATGAGTTCGAGACCAGCCTGGGTAACATGGTTAAACCCCTTCTCTACAAAAGATGCAAAGATTAGCTGGGTGTGGTGGCATGCACCTATATTCCCAGCTACTCAGGAGTCTGAGGTCAGAGAACTGCATGAGCCCAGGAGGTGAAGATTGCAGTGAGCCTAGATTGTGCCACTGTACTCCGGCCTGGGCAACAGAGCGAGACCGTCTCAAACAAACAGAAAAGGATCCGTTTGGCTGCTGTGTAAAGACTATCGAATGCAAGGACCTAGGAGGAAGGAGGGAGACCAGGAGTCCAACAGACAGCGGCTGAGGCTTGGGTGCTAGTGGATGATGAAGGTGGTGGGAAGTAATCGCAATTCTAGATAGATTTAAAGATAGAAGTAACAAGACTTGCTGAAGATTAGATGCAGGATGTGAGAAAAGAGGGGGTTTTGGCATAAAAAGAATGGAATTGTCCTTTAGTGATGTGGGGCACACTGAGAGAGGAGCAGATTTGTAGGGGGTATCAAGAATTTTTCCTTTTACTTATTTTTATTTCTCTTTAATTATTATTATTATTTTTTTTTGAGACAGAGTCTCACTGTGTTGCCCAGGCTGGAGTGCGGCGGCGCCATCTCGGCTCACTGCAATCTCCGCTTTCCGGTTTCAAGTGATTCTCCTGCCTCAGCCTCCCGAGTAGCTGGGATTACAGGCACCCGCCACCACGCCCGGCTAATTTTTGTATTTTTAGTAGAGACAGGGTTTCACCATGTTGGTCAGGCTGGTCTTGAACTCCTGACCTCGTGATCTGCCCGCCTTGGCCTCCCACAGTGCTGGGATTACAGGCGTGAGCCGCCGTGCCCAGCCTTTTTTTTTTTTTTTTTTTGAGACAGTCTCACTCTGTTGCCCAGGCTGGAGTGCAGTGGCACAATCTTAGCTCACAGCAACCTCTGCCTCCCGGGTTCAAGCGATTCTCCTGCCTCACCCTCCTGAGTAGCTGGGATTACAGGCCCCTCTCAATGGGAGCCCTGGGGCTGAGTGACTCTGCTCATTCACAGCCACTTGTCTTCCAACCAGTGAGCCCTCAACAAAGGTAAATACCCATGGCTCCAATAACCACAGCTTTTGTTGTTCCTAGTATTTTTTTCTATTTGGTGGCGGGGCAGGGAGGAATGCCCATTGTAGCTCATTCTATATTTTGTTCTTTCTCATATCATTATGTGTGTAGAAAATTCACATATTTTTCTTGGTTGTGGGCATCTGTTTCCAGTTTTTATAAACTCCTACTAAACTCTGAGCTCACTAGGTAATAACCTGTTTCCTCAGGTACTTAGCCTTTTATTTCACATGAGAAGCTACAGAAAATGTGTTTAGCTTTGGAGGGTTTCTATACCACCACCACCACTACTTTTATTTATTTATTTATTTATTTATTTATTTATTTATTTATTTATTTATTTGTCTGAGACAGAGTCTCGCGCTCTTGCTCAGACTGGAGTGCGGTGGTGCCATCTCGGCTTACTGCAACCTGTGCCTCCCAGGTTTAAGCGATTCTCCTGCCTCAGCCTCCCGAGTAGCTGAGATTACAGGTGCCCACCACCACTCCTGGCTAAATTTTTTTTTTTTTTGAGAGGGAGTCTCGCTCTGTTGTCCAGGCTAGAGTGCAGTGGCACAATCTCAGCTCACTGCAACCTCCACCTCCTGGGTTCAAGCGATTCTCCTGCCTCAGCCTCCTGAGTAGCTGGGACTACAGGCGTGTGCCACCGTGCCCGGCTAATTTTTTTTTTTTTTGTATTTTTAGTAGAGATAGGTTTCACCATGTTAGCCCGGATGGTCTCGATCTCCTGACCTCGTGATCCCCCTGCCTCGGCCTCCCAAAGTGTTGGGATCACAGGTGTGAGCCACCACACCCGGCTTATTTTTGTATTATTAGTGGAGATAGGGTTTTGCCATATTAGCCAGGCTGGTGTCAAACTCCTGACCTCAGGTGATCCGCCCACCTCAGCCTCCCAAAGTGTTGGGATTACGTGTGTGAGCCACTGCACCTGGCCTCACCATCACTACTTCTGAATGGAAAAAGTGTCATACCAAAGAACACAAGGTTTAGAGTGACACTGACTTGGGTTTGATTCCCAGCTCCCTAAATTCCATGACTTGGCCTCTGAACCTATAGCCTCATCTGTAAGAGGAGAAAATGCCTCTAAAATGTTGTTTGAAGGTTGAGGTGGGAGGATCACTTGAGCCTGGGGGTCAAGGCTGCAGTGAGCTGTGATTGTGCCACTACACTCCAGCCTGGGCAACAGGGGGAGACCCTATCTCAAAAAACAAAACAAAAACAGCCGGGTGCAGTGGCTCACACCTGTAATCCCAGCACTTCGGGAGGCCAAGGTGGGTGGGTTACCTGAGGCCAGGAGTTTCAGACCAGCCTGGCCAACATGGTGACACCCCATTTCTACTAAAAGTACAAAACATTAGCCAGTGCCAGTTGCGGTGGCTCAGGCCTGTAATCCTAGCACTTTGGGAGGCCGAGGCGGGCAGATCATGAGGTCAGGAGTTCGAGACCAGCCTGACCAACATGGTGAAACCCTATCTTTACTAAAAATACAAAAATTACTTGGACGTGGTAGCACGCACCTGTAATCCCAGCTACTCAGGAGACTGAGGCAGGAGAATTGCTTGAACCCGGGTGGTGGAGGTTGCAGTGAGCCGATATCGCGCCACTGCACTCCAGCCTGGGTGACAGAGCAAGACTCTGTCTAAAAACAAACAAACAAATAAACAAAAACATTAGTCAGTTGTGGTGGTGCACACCTGTAATCCCAGCTTCTTGGGAGGCTGAAGCACAAGAATTGCTTGAACCCAGGAGGCGGAGGTTGCAGTGAGCCAAGATTGCACCACTGCACTCTAGCCTGAGTGACACAGTGAGACTCTGTCTCAGAAAAAAACAAAAAACAAAAAACAAAAAATCCCCCTCCCCACATTAAATAAAAATAAAATGTTTGAGCAAGGCACTCAGTACTGACACATATAGGCGCTCTAGCGATGCCAGTGCTCTATGTTAGGGTCTTAGGTCATGGAACCATCTCTACCTTTCCTCCTGACTTTATCTGCTATCCTGGATTTCTGGTGGGAGATGTCATTAAGACCAGCATTTCCCTCCAGACTATGTTATTACTTTTCCCCAAGGTTTGGTTACTTCCACATCACCAAGCCATTCTTCTTTGTTGGTCAGGATTAAGGCTTACTTATTAGTTCCTCTTGCAGCTTCCTTTGCTTTCTGAGACAAGATTGTCCATAATACAAATCACGCATATCAGCTGGTCTTTTGTTTTTTAAATATATTTTTGAAATATTTTTAAAAATAGAGATGGGGGTCTCACTATGTTGCCCAGGCTGATCTCAAACTCCTGGCCTCAAGTGATCCTCCCACCTCAGCCTCCCAAAGTACTGGGATTACAGATGTGAGCCACAGCACCGGGCCTCAGCTACTTTTTAATAACAGAATGCAACTTCCAGCAAATGTTTTTCTTTGCTTCCCAGCAGGGAGACGGCCAGTTTGCAATTGCTCCAGCTTTTTTTTTTTTTTTTTGAGACAGAGTCTTGCTCTGTTGCCAGGCTGGAGTACAGCGGCACCATCATAGCTCACTGCAGCCTCAACCTCCCAGGCTCAAGCACTCCTCCTGCCTCAGCTTCCCAAGTAGCTAGGCCACAGATACATGGTCTTGAACTCCTGGGCAAGCGATCCTCCTGCCTCAGTCTCCCAAAGTGCTGGGATTACAGGCGTGAGCCACCGCACCCCACCCCACTCCTGTTCCCACTTCTTTCCTAATTTTTGAGATTGGTTTTATAAGGAACATTAGAGCTGTCCTATTTCTTTGTTCATAGGATGGCCTTCAGACTTATTTGCAGCAGTTAACACTATTTCTCCCATAGGGAAACACATGGAAGCTTCTAAAGGCAGAGCTTGTGGGGCTCAGATGGGAGAACAGAGACACCACAGTTGAAGCCAAATGCCCCAGTATCTAGCTGGCTGTAGATCCAGGCTTTTCTGCACACACATAGAGCTTTCTGCCCCTCCTAATTTTCCCAGGGGCAGGGTTGGGCAAGACTTCTGGTTAGTATGCAAACCAGGCATGGCCTGGACTTCAGGAAGAAGGAAGGGAAGAGGGAGAAATTAGCCTAAGAGCTTCCGGTTTCATATCAGTATTTTTCCACTTCAGGTTGTTCCCACTCTGAGGTGCCTTTTTCTACACTGAGGGAGGCGTTGCAGAGGTCCAAATGCCCAGCCATGTGCATGTGCTGAGCAAAGGGAAGCCTGGTGCTGGAGAATCATACTGCCAGCTGGGCCCCAGTGCAGGGGGTGAGTGCCCCTAACTCTCTGTGATGGAGGCCAGCTGGAAGTACAACAGGGCCACACTGTTCTCTGTGCCCCAGGGAAGGGAAGGCACCATTGCGGAGGTGGAAACCAAGATGATGTGGATGCTTCACTTGGGAAAGCTTAATACCCAGCATTTTGTATCCCACCATGAGAGGGGAAAACACCTTCAAAGTGTTTCTATTTTCTCACTCAAAAACAATCAACACAGAAGACTTCTGTGACCAAATGTGTGTGTGTGGGAAAACCCCCACACACCAGGCAAGCAATCAGCTCTATAGTAGACACCAGCTGGGTGGCCTCCAATTCAATTCTGACACTATCTAATTGGAAATAGTGCCAGGTCCCATAGGTTGAGGGCTCATTCCCCAGGACTGTACTCTACTTCTTTACAAAAATGCTTTTTTTTTTTTTTTAAATAGAGACAGGGTCTCGCTATGTTGCCCAGGTTGGTCTTGAACTCTTGGCCTCAAGGGATCCTTCTGCCTCGCCTCTGAAAGTGCTGGGATTACAGGTGTGTGCCATGGTGCCCGGTCATTGCCTCCACTTCTGATGCCAATTGTTAAGTTTCAGGTGGTTTTTCCTGTATTTCTTACTGACCAGCTATAAATTGGGCTTCGCATGACCCCCTTCTTGGGTTTGGGTTCAACTAGTTTGCTAGAGTAGCTCACAGAACTCAAGGAAACACACTTACCAGTTTACTACAGGGAATATTATAAAGGATACAAATAACCAGCCATGAAGACATACATAGGGTGAGGTCTGAAAGGGTCCAGAGCCCGGGAGTGATGTCCCCGTGGAGTTGTGGTGCGCCACCCTCTGGGCACAAGGATGCACTCGTTTGGCTTCCTGTAAGCCTACATGTTCAGCTCTCTGGAAGCTCACCAAACCCTGCCCTTTTGGGTTCTTAGAGAAGCTTCCTTACATAGGCACGGTTGATTAAACCATTGGACAGTGGTGATCAACTTAACCTTCAGTCCCTCTTCCCTCCCTGGAGGTTGGGGGCTGAGCCTGAAAGTCCCAACCCTTTAATTCTGCTTTGGTGACCAGCCCCCATCCAGCAGCTACATAGGGGCTGCCAGCTATCAGTCAATCATATATTAAAGGACATCACTTTGGAGATTCTAAGGATTTTAAGAGTTATGCCAGGAAACGGGGTGAAGACCAAATATCTATTTCACAGTATCACACACCCATAGCACCTCCACCCTGCAGGGGCCACACAGCCTGCCCCATACACACTTCCCACCTGTCTTACCCTGATGCCAAGGGAAAGGAGAAGAGGGGTCCTCTAATCATGCTGCAGTGAGTGAGGTTTGAGGTTTGTGGGGCTGGGAAAAGTTACCCCTTTTCAGTTTGGGGTCAAAATGAATGCCCTGGGCTCCAAACCCATGACTGCAGCTGTGGGCAAGATACCCTTCCCAGGGCTGGGTGCAGTGGCTCATGCCTGTAATCTCAGCACTTTGGGAGGCCTAGGCAGGAAGATCATTTTAGCCCAGGAGTTCCAGACCAGTCTGGGCAACATAGTGAGACCCTGTCTTTATAAAAATTACACAAAAAATTAGCCAAGTGTGGTGGTGCACACCTTAGTCTCAGATACTTGGGAGGCTGATGTGAGAGGACTGCTTGAACCCAAGAGTTTGAGGCTGCAGTGAGCTATGATTGTGCCACTGCACTCCAGGCTGGGTGACAGAGGGGGGCTCCAGTGCAGTGGCACAATCATAGCTCACTGCAGCCTCGAACTCTTGGGCTCCTCTGAAACCCCAACAGCTGTTTTGGTCTCTTGGATGGTGAGACACATCTGAGAGAAGACTTCTGAATAACTACAACTCAGCCCTCACTCCTCTTCCCTCTCACCTAGGCCAGGTTGTCTCACGTGTCTCCCTTGTTACAGTTGTTAGGGAAGATTACGACAACTGCCCGAGCCACTGCCCAAGCCCCTGGGCACACCTGTGATGACAAGGGTACACCCTGTGGCAGGGCAGGGGTCAGCAGCAGTGAAGGAATCCTGACCCCCGGCCTAGCATCTGGCGGGGTGGGGGAGGGGGGTGGTGGTGTTAGGTAGGCTCAGCCTCTGCTCACACCAAGTCCAAGCCCTGCGCACCCGATAACATGGTGCCCTGACCCACAAGCTCAAGAAGGAAACCGGAGGGAGAGACAATGATGCTGGTACTAAGACATTTATTATATCATAAAAAGTCCACTGTTGTTCTGTTTTTCCATATGTACATGCTCCTGTGGGCAGTCCCCCACCCAGCCCCCACCTGCCTACCCTCCATGGTGCCAGTCAACTCTCCAAACTGACCAACTAATTAGTAAAAGAGGAAGAACTGGAGGAGGTGGCCCAGGGCTAATGGGAGTGGGAAACAAAGTGCAGAGTGGTTGGGCTTAGTTTTCAATGCCTGACCGTGGGCAGGCACTGCAGGGCCGGCACACGGATGCCTCCCCAGAGCTGCCGGGCTGGAGGCAGAGGCTGCAGATGACAGCTGAGTTCACTCTCAGGCTGAACCCCCAGGAATGGAGCGCAGAGGAGGAAAAAGGTCCCACAGCTGATTGGGGGTCTTAGCTGGGGCTATCAACATTCTCTTTTTCAGGTCCCCATCCAAGTGGCAGCAACAGCAGCTCTGACTTGGCCTGAAGAGCTTGTGGCCCGCAGGACAGCCAGAAGTGGGGTCAAGGAAAGCCTGGTGGGAAGCACTGGTCCTGATCTCTGAGTGACCTGCCTTAGTTGACCTCAGAGGTGGGTATGGGATCTGTGGGGCGGGGTGTGGCCAGGAGGGGCACTGGTGAGGTGGCCTCGATGAGCGCAGGGTTGAGGATGATGGGCAGAGTCATAGGTGGCACGCCCACCTGCAGTGGGGAGGCCAAGGGCTGCAGGATCAGTGGGGGCTGAGCCAAGGGTGGAGGCCCGTCGGGGGTGGGGCTCAGCCTGCTGGGGCTTGAGGCCACTGGTGATCCTGGGGAGCTGCTGCTGGCGGCTCGGGGGCTCTCGGGCTTCTCAAAGTCTGTAGGGAAAGCAAGGTGGTTACAGTCAGATTCCCTTGTTGGTACAAGACAACTCTCACATTGCCCAGCTGGCTGCTTATAGAGTCTCTGTTCCTCCTTGTTCCAGTAAGCAACACGGCCCCCCACCAGCCTAAAAAGTTGGGAGTCTCCCCTCAAAACTCATTTCAATGTTCAGCTACCTTCTATCTCCTTTGCCAGGCTACTCTTTTTTTTTTTTTTTTTTTTTTTTTTCGCGACAGGGTCTCACTATCACCCAGGTTGGAGTGCAGTGGCATGATCTCAGCTCACTGCAACCTCTGCCTCCCGGGTTCAAGCGATCCTTCCACCTCAGCCTCCCCAGTAGCTGGGATTATAGGTGTGCACTACCACGCCCAGCTAATTTTTATATTTTTTTGGTACAGGCGGGGTTTCACCATGTTGGCCAGGCTGGTTTCAAACTCCTGACCTCAGGTGATCTACCTGCCTCAGCCTCCCAAAGTGCTGGGATTACAGGTATGAGCCACTGCGCCTGGCCGCCAGGTTACTCTCTACTAGAATCCCTGAAAGGAAACCTCTGCAAATTCATTCCAAGTCCCTGACCCAGCCTTCTCTTCCCAAGCCTGAAGACTGCAAGCAGCTAGTTCCTCATAGCTTATGGTCCTGTCATTTCCCATGGGAAGAGCGGCAACAGTTCTCTCTAGTGGCCTTCTTCCCTCGGCTCACAGACCCTGCTCAGCAGCATTCCCACGCCCCCTTGGGCCTCCTCTTAGGCCCCCTGCTTGCTACTCAGTGCCTATCAGGCTAGGCTAGAGAGACTCACCACAGGCCCCCAGCTCAGATGGAATCTCTGGGGGCGGTGGATGGCCAGGTGTCCTAGTGTCGCCAGCAGCGGAAGTCAGGTGGGCTGAGGCGAGAGGCTTTTGGCCTTGAGGCTCCATGGGCATGGGGTCTGGAGACGGTAGAGAATTGAGATGGCACCTCTTAGTGCTTTCTCTCTCCAGCAGAGCCCTAGCTACCCAACAGCCTTTCTACCCACCCAGGGCACAGACAATAAATTCAGCTTTGGGGACTTTTTTTTTTTGAGATGGAATCTCGTTCTGTCACTCAGGCTGTGATCTCGGCTCACTGCAACCTCCACTTCCCGGGTTCAAGTGATTCTCCTGTTTCAGCCTCCTGAGTAGCTGGGACTACAGGCACCCACCGCCACACCTGGCTAATTTTTGTATTTTTCGTAGACATGGGGTTTCACTATGTTGGTCAGGCTGGTCTCAAATTCCTGCCCTCGGGTGATCCACCCACCTCGGCCTCTCAAAGTGCTGGGATTAGAGGTGTGAGCCATTGTGCCCAGGCAGGAGACTCTTTTTGATAAAGCTGGGCTGAGCCCCCTACCCTGGATGACGGTCTGCTTGAAGAGTTCATCTCGTAGGTGAGGGAGAAAACAGTCAATGCGTTCCCAGGTGATCTCCCAGAGGGCCGAGGGGCCGCCTCCCCGTGCATCTGCACTGTGGAAAATCTCCGCTGTGTCCATCACCAGAAGCATGTTCTTCAGAGACTCAGGGATCGCCTCTGACTGCAGGTGGCAGTGGGACCATGAGAATAGGAAAGAGGGCATGGGGGGAGTATGGTAAAGGGAGGTAGCTACCAAGGGGGAAAGGGCAAGTCCTTCCAACAGGTGGGACAGGAGGCAGGCAGCAGAGCTGAGGTAGAACATACCAGTAAGTCGCTGGAGCCTGCGTGCATGTACTTGTCCATGAAGTCCAAGATGGTGAGCCAGAGGGCCGCAAAGGTAGAGAGTGACAGCAGTGGAGACAGGTGCTGCAGGAAGACCTATGGCCCACCAGCCCCCTTCAGCTGAGGGGACTGTAGGAGCCTCTGGACCCCTCTCTGAGGCTGGGTAGCTAAGCCTGTCCTATCTTGCATGAGAATCTTAGATCAGAGATGGAGGAATCTCTGATTTAAGATTCAGAATCCTCTCAGGTCCCTAGGTCCTGCTTAGTGTCCATAGCTGGGGGGTTGTGAGCACCTACAGTGCATCTCTAGGTCCTGCCAGAAGCCCTGGCTTCCCTCCTCGGGAAAAGGCAGGTATGGGAGAGAGGGTGGGTATAGGGTGGTGAGCAGTACCTTAGAGAGCAATGTGGAAGCCCTCATCCGGGTCTCCTCCATCCCACCCACATCTGCAGGGCTGATGTTCTCCAAGAGCTTGGTAAGTAGAGGAAACAGCACCTGGTGGGGGTAAATGTGCAATGTCTCCCTATGAGGTTCAGCTAGGCAGCCTTGCCCCAAGGAAGCCAGGAACTGGATGGGCATAGAGCTGAAGGGAAGGTATGATGCAGGCTGAAGACTCACATTAGGGGCTCTTCAGGCTGCCTGGCTTTCCTTTTCTTAGGATTTGAACTTTATCTTAAGACCAGTAGGAAGTCCCACCTTGTTAAAACAGGACTCCCATTCCAGGGCATCTAGCTTTTGCAGATCATGTACAAGTAGTGCTCGCTGCAGATAGGTCAGTGCCTGCATCCGTACCTGGCGCCGGGCATCGCAGCACAGGCAGGCAATACCTGAGAGCAAGAGCAGGGTCAGGATCCTTCAGGCATCTTGATCCTGATGCTCCCCAAACTCCCTACCTCTGCCCCTCCTGGTTTACCCTGCAGTAAAGGGCACCAGCAGTGGGCCCAGAGGGTGCGAGAATCAGCTTCAATCTTCTGGCCACCTGTCTCCAGGTGGCGTTGCTCCTCCGCCCATGAGCTGTAGATAGAGGCTGCCCGCGTGTGCAGGGTGTGCATCAGGTCTAGCAACTAGGATCACAGGAGGGGGCAGGATGTGAGTGGGGTTAGGTCTCGTGGATCCCTTTCCCCCTCCCCACTCACTGTCCCTAACTAAGTCCTCAAGGTGTCCCTAGCACCAATCATGCCATACCTCACCCCCTCGCTACTCTTTCCCTTGACTTGACTTCCTGGTTGTTCCAGTCCTTGTAAAGGACTCTCCAAGTCAGAGATTACTCATGAGAGAGAGAGCCTTAGGAGGTGTGTGGACTGAGTATTTCACAATCCTTACTCACAGTGAGAAAGATACTTTCTTTTCAATTCTATTTCACACCTGCTGATGACAGAGAAAGCCTCATGTTGTTAATTTAATTTTATTTTTTGAGGCAGGGTCTCACTCTGTCACCCAGGCTGGAGTGCAGTGGCACAATCACGGCTCGCTGCAGCCTCGAACTCCTGGGCTCAGGTGATCCTCCCACCTCAGCCTTATGAGTAGATGGAACTACAGCTGTGCGCTGCCACAGCCAGCTAATTTTTTGTATTTTTGTAGAGATGGGGTTTTGCCATGTTGCCCAGGCTGATCTTGAGCTCCTGGGCCCAAGCAATAGTCCTCCCAAAGTTTTAGGATTACAGGTGTGATTATACCATGCCCGGCCTAATTTTATTTCTTATTTTATTTTTTGAGACAGGGTCTTGCTCTGTGCAAAACTGGAGTGCATGGCACCATCATGGCTCACTGCCTCCTGGATCTCCTAGGCTCAAGAAATCCTCCCACCTACTCAGCTACTCAGCCTCCCCAGTAGCTGGGACTACAATGTGTGCCACCATGCCCAGATAATTTTTGCATTTTTATTTTTGTAGAGGCAGGGTCTCGCTATTTTTCCCAGGCTGGTCTCGAACTCCTGGCCTCAAGTGATCCTCCCGCCTCAGCCTCCCAAAGTGCTGGAATTACAGGTGTGAGCCACTGTACCTGGCTGTTAATCTCATTTTTAAAACAGAAAACCTCAGGCTCAGAGGCTTTGATTGGGCAATAGTGTCTGGCCAGATTTAATACATTTTTACTTTCGTTATTTTTCTTTTCTTTCTTTTTTTTTTTTTTGAGATGGAGTCTTGCTCTGTCGCCCAGGCTGGAGTGCAGTGGCATAATCTCGGCTCACTGCAAGCTCTGCCTCCCGGGTTCACGCCATTCTCCTGTCTCAGCCTCCCGAGTAGCTGGGACTACAGGCGCCTGCCACCATGCACAGCTATTTTTTCTATTTTTAGTAGAGACGGGGTTTCACCGTGTTAGCCAGGGTGGTCTCCATCTCCTGACCTCATGATCCACCCGCCTCGGCCTCCCAAAGTGCTGGGATTACAGGCAGGAGCCACCAAGCCCAGCCACTTTTGTCATTTTTGTATGGTTATTCTATTTAAGGCAATTGGTTCTCCATCAATTTAGTGATATAAACTCTGCTCACATAATTAATTTTATATGCCTTTGAATAGACACAGGGTAACTCTGGAAGGATAGACAAGAAACTGGTGACAGTGGCTGCCTCTAGTGAGGGGAACTCAGAAGCTGGGGACAGGAATGGATTGGAAACTTAGTTTTATCAGTTTACCCTTTTGTATATTTTGAACCTACTCAAAAAATAAGTAAATCTTAGTTTAAAAATAAATTTAAAGGCCAGGTGTGGTGGCTCATGCCTGTAATCCTAGCACTTTGAGAGGCCGAGGCAGGCGGATCACGAGGTCAGGAGATCAAGGCCATCCTGGCCAACATGGTGAAACCCCGTTTCTACTAAAAATACAAAAAATTAGCCAGGCATGGTGGCACGCGCCTGTAGTCCTAGCTACTTGGAAGGCTGAGGCAGGAGAATCGCTTGAACCCGGGAGGTGGAGGTTGCAGTGAGCCGAGATCACGCCACTGCACTCCAGCCTGGGTGACAGAGAGACTACATCTCAAAAAATAAATAAATAAATAAATAAATAAAAATAAAAATAAATAAATAAATAAATTTAAGCAAATAAAGACTTACAGGTAAGGTTTTGGGTAAGGGAATATTGTGAAGATGGTGGTCCAGGGCCTGGGCTGGCACACATGGGCCCTTCCCCTCAGCCCTGGCTTTCCCTGGCCGCCCCAGGCTCCCAGTATCAGGTGCAGGGGAGGAGAGGAAGTAAAGGGTGCCATACTTACGTCCTGACTGACCTGTAAAGACACCGTATGGTAGCTGGCAGGCACGCCTTCGTCCTCATCATCATCACTCTGCCCGCCCCGAGAGGCATGTTGGCTGGAGGTTCGAGGCCGGCGAAGCATTGATCCCTCTTTGGATTTCTTCTTGAAGCGGTTCCCTTTGCTGTCATATTTGTGACTCTTGCCACGTTTCTCCTGGGACTTGCATCCTGAGCAGAGCCAGACTCAGGTCACATTTCTGTGTCTATATAGGCATAGATACCCTGCCTTTTCTCCCCTCTCAGCCTCTCCCCTGCATAATTGCATGGCTACTCCCCAGCTGCCCCCTCATCAGCTGACCCACCGCCATTCAGACTGGCCTCCACAAAGATCCGGAGAGTCTTGACGCAGAGCTCAAAGTTGTCAGGTGTGATGTGGGCAGCATCACGCACAATGAAGGACAGCGATTCCACACACTTAAGCAGAGACTTAGTGTCGTGTGGCCCCAAATCCAGTCCCACTGTTAGGCTGTATTGATTGATCAGGGGTGAAGGGCCTGGGCGGCTGGGCCCTGGCTTGGAGTTATCAACGTCATCCTTCCCAACCTGTAAAGTACACAGAGGAGCTGGGGACACAGGCTTGGCCCCTGTGTGAATGTCCTTGCAGAGGACCAGGAATTCTTCCCACAGGTCAAGCAGGAGAGACTCAATTGCTGCCCATATTGTCACTCACCACTAACCAACCACTGTTGACCACATCGGCATCTGTGGCTGATCGGTGTATCTTGCCCGGCCTGCCATGGTCAGTGTAGACCTCTGAGTCGGAAGTGTACCCTCGATCCAGGCTCACGTCATTCTGATGGTAGGATGGGAGCTCACTATCTGACTGGGCCCCTATGGTAGGCAGGGAGAAGGGCAGAGTCAGGGTGGGGATGGGGCACTGGGATGAGGGATAAATCAGGCTCTCAGAAAAAAGATGCTGAGGCCTGGCCTCCCCTCTCTCTGGCATAGTTTAATTTCTGTCACCAGAGGGCCAAAGGATGGCCGGAACAGTTTCTCTGTTGACCAAATAAGGTGGCAGGCTAATCTGGGTTCCTGATGGCATCTAGTGGCAGCTGTAGCACCACTCTAGGGAGTGGTGGCAAGGACAAATAAGCAATGCAGAAGGCTATGAAGCCAGGCTTTCCACTGTCCTGAGGACTGTTTTCCCAGTTTCTGGGATTTAGTGATGTATCGATTTAGTGATATAAAGTCTGCTCACAGAATTCTATTTTCCCAGAATTCTGGGAAAACAGTCCTCGGGACAGCTCAGAAACAGAAACTGGGAAACAGTCCTCAGGACAAATCAGTCCTCAGGACAGTAGGAAGCCTGGCTTCACAGCCGTCTGCATTGCTTATTTGCCCTCATGCTATTTAACTTATGGGTACTAGCCAGCGGGCACTGGAAGCTCTGGAAGTGATGGCAGGAGCCAGGGCTGTTTAATCTGCTGAACACAGTAACCTGTGTTTTGTTTTCCTGTCCCAACTCCTGGGGTGTAACTGTTTATCTGCCAGCCTGAGTCTCCCTGGGAAAGGGCTTACCGGCATCAGGTGCATCTGCCCTGGCTGTGGCCTGCAGAGCAGCTGGAGGCTTCACACCTGAGCCGATGCACTCCAGCAGTGTGAAGAGTGTGGCCCAGTCATCACCTGAGTGGATGTTGGCTGCATTGGTCTTCAGGAGTTCATGGAGCCCATACGCAACCTGGTGGCTGACTCGGGATAGCACACTGGGCTTCATCAGTAGCAAAATGCGCAGGGAGAGCAGCACCTGGAGTGGGGTTAGGGCAGGGAGCGGGGAAGCGGGGAGCTGTGTGGGCACACAGCTTCCTGTCTAGTTTTCTTTCCCACCAGTCTCCTTAGGCCAGTGAAGACAGTTTGGCTAGGACCCAATTTAGGATACTGCTCTGGTCTTTTTTTTTTTTTTCAAATAGAAATATATTAATTATATTATTTGAGACAGGGTCTTGGTCTGTCTCCCAGGCTGGAGCACAGTAGCACAATCACAGCTCACTGCAACCTGAAACTCCTGGGCTCAAGTGATCCTCCTGCCTCAGTCTCTGGAGTAGCTGGGACTACAGGTGCATGTGACCACACCTGGCTAATTTTTTTTTTCTTTTTTGGAAAGATGGGGTCTCGCTATGTTGCCCAGGCTGGTCTTGAACTCCCAGGCTCAAGCGATCTTCCCGTCTCAGCCTCCTGAAGTGCTGGGATTATAGGCATGAGCCACTGCACCCAGCCTCAAATACAAATTTTTATTGAGAAAATTATAGGCTCATATGCAGTTGTAAAGAAATAATACAAAAAGGTCCCTTATACACTTTGCCCAGTTTATCCCAATGGTAACATTATGCAAAACTATAGTATAATATCATAATCAAGATACTATCTGATCTTATTCAGATTTCCTGTTTTACTTGCATTTTTGTGTGTATTAATTTCTATACAATTTTATTACCTGTGTAGGTTTGGGTATCCACCACAAAACAACATACTGAACAGTTCCACCACAACAGTATCCCTCATGTTGCCTTTTTCTTTTTTTAGAGACAGGTTTTGCTCTGTCACCCAGGCTGGAGTGCAGTGGTATGATCATAGCTCACAGCAGCCTCAAACTCCTGGGCGCAAGTGATCCTCCTGTCTCAGCCTCCAGAGTAGCTGGAACTACAGGCATGCACCACCATGCCCAGCTCATGTTGCCCTTTTATAACCACACCCACCTCCTCCTTCCTGCCCCCATCCCTAATCCTTAGCAATCTGTCTTCAAATTCTTTTTTTTTTTGAGATGGAGTCTTACTCTGTTGCCCAGGCTAGAGTGCAGGCAGGATCTCAGCTCACTGCAACCTCTGCTTCCCATGTTCAAGTGATTCTCCTGCCTCAGCCTCCCAAGTAGATGGGATTACAGGTGCGAGCCACCACGCCTGGCTAATTTTTGTATTTTTAGTAGAGATGGGGTTTCACCATGTTGGCCAGGCTGGTCTCGAACTCCTGACCTCAAGTGATTCACCAGCCTCAGTTTCCCAAAGTGCTGGGATTACAGGTGTGAGCCACTGCGCCCAGCCTGTCTTCAAATTCTAAAGTTCTGTCATTTCAAAAATGTTATATAAGTGGAATTATATATTACATAACCTTTTTAGATTGGCTTTTCTTTCACTCAGCATAGTTCCCTGGAGATGTCTGTTGCTTTAAATTGCTGAATAGTATTCCATGGTGTGTATGTACCACAGTTTATTCACCTATTGAAAGTCATCTGGGCCGATTCCAGTTTTTGGCTATTACAACTAAGGCTTCTATAAACATTCATGTACAGGTTTTTATGAGAAAGTAAGCTTTCACTTTTCTGGGATAAATGTCCAAGGGTGCAATTGCTGGGTTGTATGGTAATTATATGTTTCATTTTATAAGAAACTGCCAGCAGAGTAGCTGTACCATTTTACATTCCCACCCAGCAATATATGAATGACCCAGTTTCTCCACGTCCTTTCAGCATTTGGTATTGTCACTACTTTTTATTTCAGCCATTCTGAAAAGTGGGTAGTGATGTCTCATTGTGTTTTTATTTTTTGGAGTCTTGCTCTGTCACCCAGGCAGGAGTGCAGTGGCACGATCTCAGCTCACTGCAACCTCCTGCGTTCAAGCGATCCTCCCACCTCAATCTCCTCAGTAGGTGAGACTACAGGTGTGTGTGACCACGCCCAGCTAATTTTTGTATTTATTGGTAGAGACATGGTTTCACCATGTTGGCCAGGCTGGGCTCAAACTCCTGACCTCAGGTGATCCACCCACCTCAGCCTCCCAAAGTGCTGGGCTTACAGGTGTGAGCCTCATTGTGGTTTTAGTTTGCAGTACTCTGATGGTTAATGATGCTATCTTCATTTCATGTGCCTATCTGCCATCTGTATGTGTTCTTTGGTGAAACATCTGTTCCTATGTTTTGTCCATTTTCTATTAATAATTGGATTGTTTTATCACTGTTGTGTTTTGAGAGTTTTTATATTACAGATACCTTTCTTCAAATATGTGATTTGCAAATATTTCCTCCTCGTCTACAGCTTGTCTTTTCATCCTCTTCACATAGGCTCTCATAGAACAAAACTTTTAAAAATATTAATGTAGCCCAACTTATCAATTTTTCCTTTTCTAGATTGTGCTTTTAATGTCAAGTCTAAAAATTATTACTTTTTTTGAAAGAGAGTCTCCCCCGGATCTGTTCCATCCAGACAGTGTTGAGGCAAGAGACAGATCCACAGGACTGCCAAACATGCTAAAAATTCTTTGCTTAGCTCTAGATCCTGAAGATTTTCTCCTGTTTCTAAAGTTTTTATAGCTTTACATTTAAATCTATGATCCATTGGAGTTAATTTTCCTGTAAGGTATGAGGTTTAGGTCAAGGTTCATTTGGTTTTTCCTCCTATGGATTTTAATCACTCCACCACTTATTGAAAAGGCTATTCCTCCTCCACTGAATTGTTCTTACATCTTGGTCAAAAAATCCACTGAACATATTTGTGTTGAGCTTATTTCTGGTCTCTCTATTCTTTTCCATTGATCTACGTGTCTGTCCCTCCATCGACACCACATAATCTTGACTACTATAGCTATACAGTAAGTCTTTTTTTTGAGACAGAGTTTCGCTGTCCAGGCTGGAGTGCAATGGTGTGATCTTGGCTTACTACAACCTCTGCCTCCCAGGTTCAAGTGATTCTCCTGCCTCAGCCTCCTGAGTAGCTGGGATTACAGGCATGCCCCACCATGCCTGGCTAATTCTGTATTTTTAGTAGAGACGAGGTTTCTCCATGTTGGTCAGGCTGGTCTCGAACTCCCAACCTCAGGTGATTGCCTGCCTTGGCCTCACAAAGTGTTGGGATTACAGACGTGAGCCACTGTGTCCAGCCGAGAGTAAGTCTTTTTTTTTTTTTGAGATGGAGTCTCGCTGTGTTGCCCAGGCTGGAGTGCAGTGGCGCAATCTTGGCTCACTGCAACCTCCGCCTCCCAGGTTCAAGCGATTCTCCTGCCTCAGCCTCCCGAGTAGCAATCAGGCGCTCACCATCACGCCCAGCTAATTTTTCTATTTTTAGTAGAGACGGGGTTTCACCACGTTAGTCAGGCTGGTCTTGATCTCCTGACCTCGTGATCCACCCGCCTCAGCCCCCCAAAGTGGACAGTAAGTCTTAATACCAGAGTGATTCTTTTTTTTTTTTTTTGAGACAGAATCTCACTCTGTCACCCAGCTGGAGTGCAGTGGCGCGATCTCAGCTCACTGCAACCTCCGCCTTGAGTTCAAGCGATTCTCCTGCCTCAGCCTCCCAAGTAGCTAGGATTACAGGTGTGTGCCACCACACCCTGCTAATTTTTGTGTTTTTAGTAGAGATGGGGTTTCACCATGTTGGCCAGGCTGGCCTTGAACTCCTGACCTCAAGTGATCTGCCCGCTGTGGCCTCCCGCAGTGCTGAGATTACAGGCATGAACCACAGCAACCGGCCCAGAGAGAGTGATTCTTTCCACTTTATTCTTTCTAGCTATTCTAGAGCTTGTGCCTTTCCATCTAAATTTTAGAATAAGCTTACCTATGTCTACAAGAACCTTTCTGGGATTTTTATAGGAGTTATGTTGAATTTACAGATCAATTTGGGGAGAAGTGACAAAGTTACTATGTTGAGCCTTCCAATCCATGAACATAGTATGCCTCTTCATTTATTTACATCTTCTTCAATTTATTTTGTAGTTTTGTAGTTTTCATCATACAAATCTTATACATGTTTTGTCAGCTATATATTAAGTATTTCACTTTATTTGGAACCCTTGTAAATGGTATTGTATTTTAAATTTCAGTTTCCATATTGTTCATTGTTAGCATGTAGAGATATAATTACTTTTTGTGTATTGATCTCACATCCTGTGACCTTGTTGAATCCACTTATTAGTTCTATGCTTGTTGTTTTTTGTAGTTAAGCAAAGAGATCTCAAGAGGGTCATAAGCATGACAGGAAACCAGGTATAGGGCTGAGACTATTATAAGGCAGTAGCAGGCCAGTCCTACAAAGCAGATTCATAGGAGGCTGAGGTGCCAAACACAAGCTCCATGCCTGAGGCCATTCCAGGCTCACTCCCAGTACCACCCGCTAGACTGCACCAGCCCTGTGGTTGGTCACTGGACTCATGCTATGGGGCACTAAATGTACTCTCTGTCTCAGGCCATATTCATAATTGACAACTGTGGCCTTAATCCCTTGCATACCTGCCCACTCTCCAAGATGCATTCTGCTTACCTGAGCACTGATCTCTTCTCTCCGGAGAAGCCGAATGGCCAGGCGTAGCAACCCCACCACTGCCCGCTCCACAAGGAAGCAGAAATCTTGTGCCTGAACACAGAGGTGGTATAGATGGTCTCGAACAGTCTGCCACACACAGCCCACACGATCCCTGTGTAGACATAAAGGAATGAAGATAGTCTCAGCCAGAGGGGCCACTGGGCAACAGGTCCCCTAGGCCTTTCAGGACTCATTGGTATTATACCCTAAGTAGACAGGTATGATGAGTAAGCTTCTCCCCTGCTGCCTACAGTTCCCCAGAGCCCACTCAGCAAGATGGCTTCCATCCCTTTGGCACAAGCCCAGCATGGGGTCTGCCTAAAGACTACGCTCATCTTACCTGTTCTCCAACACAATCCTTAGCAGCATCTCTAGGCAGAAAGCAGCATCTTCCTCATCATATGTCTCTTCATCTGGTGTCACTGAGACCAGAGCCTGAAGGGGAACAGCAGCAGGAAAGTAGGCATGGAAAAGAAGCCAACCACTGGCCCTGCCCTGACAGAAATAATACTGTCCCTGTCACCCCTCCCAGATTCAGCCAGTTGTTCCATGTTTCCTTTCTTCATCCTTTACCTTCATGAGCTCCTGTAGTGACTCCAGCTGGAGGAACTTGCTTTCTGTGATCATTTTTTCTGGGTCACATTGCTAGAGAGGGCAAAAGAGAGAGGGGGTCTTTGACAAAGGCTGAAGAGAACAGAATGTCCCCAAGAGCCAGGGGGAGAGGGCAGAGTCAGCCCTGGTTACAAATCCTGGATGATTTATTCTTCAGTTCACCAAGTAGCATCTAATAGGAAGGTGTTTAGGCTTTCTCACCAGGGGTGGATGGGCAGTTACCTTTATACACTCTAAGGCCACTCTCTTGGCCTCTTGGTTTTCAGTGGATGGGCCCCGAACACTAGACTGCTCAGGACCACTCAGTGTTAGCCAGCTCACAAAGCTCAGCACTGTTGACTCTCCTCTGTAGAAAAAGGGCACATGGCCTGGTGAGCCCCAAAGTTCTGACTCTCCCTCCCCAAGCCCCTGAGCCTCTGGTCTGCTCTTACCGGTTTGATGGTGTCTCTTCCCGCTGTAGAGAGATCTTGCCATTGGGATCCACGAAATCTTCTACCTGGAAAAGTAAGTCAAAATAATTTCTTTCCATGTGTCCTTTGCATTTGTGCCCGCCTCCACCCACCAAAGTTCTCTGGATTTCCTCCTCTAGTCTTCTGCCCCTATGCTATTGTGCCAATTGGTGACTGGCAATGGCATCTACCAGCCTTCTTTTACAGCTATCCCCCAAGATCTGTGGTCTTACATTTGAGGCATTCCTGGTGAGCTGTGGCAGGCATCAGGCCCAACATTACTCTCAACCACTTACTTCTATGTACAGGTAGCATACAATGTTGCAGCTCTTGCCTTGTTATCGCTCACTAGTCTCCTACTAAGAATTACCTCTATCATAGCCTTGGGCAGTAGTTGGGCTCGGAAGAGCTGCAGCATGGCCTCCATGATATTCTTCCAGCCCTCCCGCAGGATGTCACCATGACGATGGGCCAAATGGAATACTGTCTTGGCTGCAATATGGGCTTTAGGGTTGCTTCCAAATACACTGGGCAGGTTCTCAATAGACTGGAAAAGAGGAAGAGAACAGACTTAAGGCCGAGCTAATGTCTGGAAAGGAAAATCTCTTAGGTCTCTGCCTATGATGGTTCCCTCAGGTCCTTTTGTTGGCTCTGCTTCAATCCCCCATAATACTGGTGGGAGTGGGTTAACCTAGTTAAGGCCTTCCCCACTCCTGTATCTCCTTTCCCATCCCCATTACATGAAGTAACACTAGTTTTATCCCAGAGTGTGCAAGACAGAAATGGCCTAAGCTCTGGTATATTCAAGTGGGGGCAGTGAGGGAAGACGCTGAGGGCAACCAGGTCTGTTGATAAGGGTAGATCCATGGCTAAAAGAGAGGTCCTCCTTTGGAGCTCCAAGTACACAGTTCCTGCACCTGCTCACCTCACTGCTGAGAGCTGTGAATTTGCATAGAGAGATGATGAGATTGTCAAACACATCGCTGAGGCCATAGTGGGCGGAGATCATGGCGCACTTCCTGTAATGTTACCCCCCATCCCAGAAACAGAGTCACTGGAAGGCCAAGCAGCCCTTCCAAGTCCCTGAGCTTGCATGGGGCTCTTCCCCAGTCAGTCCCAGGAAGAAACCTTTTAATTTTGTTTCTGTTTAAGACTGAGCCTACCCAAGCTTCAGCCTCCCTCCAAAAACTCAGGGGGAACCCCATTCTAATGAAGTAACAGTAGGAGTCAGAGAGGCATGGAGAAAACCATGTTAGCTCACAGAGCTAGTGGGAGGTGAAGACCAAGGCCAAAGCTGGGCTACCTGAAGCCTGAGATGGCTTTCTGGATGATTGTCTCCTCAAGGCTTTTGTCAAAGACATAAGAGAGAGCAGCAATAGTGGGGCCCCAGGTCATGGTGAAGAGGTCAAGATCATAGCTGGCAGTAGGCACACGCAGGAATATGCCCTCAGGGGTGGCACCTCGATGAAGCAGCACATTCCACACATAGTTCTCCCGAACCAAGCCTGTCTGCTCCTCAGGCATTACAATTTCCTCATTCCTGTCAGGAGGTAAGGGAAGGAGCAGTTGCACTGCTTTGAACCTGACTAGTTCCAAACCAAGACTAGGAGTTCATCCATACTAGCACTCTCCACTGATGAGAGGTCATCAGAACTGCAGCTCAGTGGTCTGCTTTCCACCCACCAGTGGGAGCAGACAGAAAGAAAGGAAGTGTCCCATAATCTCAAAGCCCTATCTGTAAGTGAGGCCTTTAGTTCTATAGTAAGATCACACATTCTTACTAGGTGTGATAAAATGAACAATTCTACCTTTTCTGATTTACAGTAAAAAACTAAGTGGCCCATTTCTGACCTGTAACCTGGGCCTCACACTCCAGTGCCCATCTTGGGTTCTCTACCAGCCAGCATCTTGTAATCTATACAGGAAAATGTACCTGTTTTAAGTTCAGAAAATGGGGCCATGATATCCTACTTAAGAGCAGCACTTTGGACCCTGGCTTAGAGTACTAGAGTCCCAATATCATTTGGGCTTCTTTAAGGAAGAAACAGTTGGCAGAGAGGGGGCTGCCCAACTAAGTCCTGAGGCTAAATCCAGGGCATGTGAGTCACTGCAGTCTGACATGACTCTAAAAACTGGGAAAGGAAGCAATGTGCTTCTTCTTAACAGAGATACTGCACTATTCTCTATGTATACTCACTTGATGGCATGGTACATGTCCTCCAGGATGTCTTGCTCAAAGTCCTTGCCTCCATTCACACCTTTCAGATTTTTGCGAAACTCCTAGAGACAGGCCAGTAAGTTTTTTCCCCTTGTGTCAACACTGAAGCCCCACCTAAGGAACTCCTGGGTTTTCAGTAAATAGGACTTAGGAAAAGGTAAGCGAAAAAACCCACTTCCCCACCCCAGTCCCTTTTCTAGGTTGGCCAGCCCTTCCTGATTCCCTTGGACAGAACCCCATCCATCATGCCCACTGGAAATCCTATGTCCTTCCTGCTACCTCCCAAGCTGTGCTGGGTCTTCTTTGCCTTGACTGGGACCCAAGCTTACCTCCAGGGTCATGGGTGCATTCTGTTTACGAACATTGTGGTTGTGCTGGTCAGTATTAAGCATGATGACAGCATAGGCCAGGGAAAAGCAGGCATCGCTATTGGCAAATGGGGAGCCATTACAATTCTGAAAAAGCAAAGATCCCGCCTGTGTCAATGCCCTTCTCTGGCCAATTAAACCCTCACTACCAACCCACTGGTCAGTGCTAGTACAGAGGAGAGGTACCATCCAGAAAGTGGCCAGTCTCTTGCCAACTCCTTAACAGAAGCTGATCTCTTTGTGGAAAGGTCACTAATTTTGCTCTCTGACTTTTTAAGAGACAGCAGGCTGGGTGCGGTGGTTCACGCTTGTAATCCCAGCACTCAGGGAGGCCGAGGTGGGCGGATCACCCGAGATCAGGAGTTCGAGACCAGCCTGACCAACATGGCAAAACCCATCTCTACTAAAAATACAAAAATTAGCCAGGCTTGGTGGCAGGTGCCTGAAATCCCAGCTACTCAGGAGGCTAAGGCAGGAGAATTGCTTGAACCCGGGGGGTGGAGGTTGCAGTGTGCTGAGACTGCGCTACTGCACTCCAGCCTGGGTGACAGAGCGAGACTCTGTCTCAAAAAAAAAAAAAAAAAAAAGAGACAGCAGCTGGATTCTTCAGCCCTCAGTCAAACTGACCTTGGATCCTGGGCTCAGCCCCTGACACTCAAACTCACCATCCAACGCTCTGTGAATGCCTCCAGCAACCTCTGGATGACTGGTGCTTCCCCAGGCAAACGGAAGGCTTCCAGGTAGAGGCGGAGGGCTTCGTCCAGTCGCAGACCCTGAAAACTGAAGGTGCTATAGGGAAAGAAAGGAAGAAGAGGCTGAAAATGTGTAAGCTGCACATGTCAGGCTCTTTTAGTCACTGTCCTCCTAACCTACTCTTACTGGAAGAGAGGAGGCTGAGGTCTCTAGTAAAGGGGCAGTATCTCCTGTTCATCCCTAACACAACCCCTAGCCTTAATACTTTTCACATCCACGGACTCTTGCCTAGAACCCTCACCCCCTGGAACCCTGCTCTACCCCTTTGGAATGGACTCCATGCAGAATGGAGGGGGCTCCCCAAACTATCTCGTTGGAGTCCCTTTCAGGTCCAATAGATATAAATGATGGGTAGAGGAAGAACATTGGCTAGGGTCTCCAGAAGAAATTTATAGAGACCGCTTTGAGGTAGGGATGTTCTGTCCCTTTAAACTGATCACTAACCATGTCCCACCTTTTTTTTTTTTGAGCCAAGGTCTCACTCTATCACAGCTCTATCACAGTGGCATGATCTCACTCTATCTCACTCTATCTCACTCTATCACAGTGGCATGATCACAGCTCACTGCAGCCTCGAACTCCCAGACTCAAGTGATCTTCCTGCCTCAGCCTCCTGAACAGCTGGGACTACAGGCACATGCCACCATGCCCAGCTAATTTTTGTATTTTTTGTAGAGACAGGGTTTCACCATGTTGCCCAGGCTGGTCTTGAACTCCTGAGCTCGAGTGATCTGCCTGCCTCAGCCTCCCAAAGTGTCAGGATTACAGGCATGAGCCACCATACCTGGCTATATCCCACATTTCTTACAGCTTCCTCACCTCACAAAGCTCTCCAACAGGTCAATGTTTTTGCGGTCACTCACAAACTCTCCAATCATCTTCTTGTCCAGCCGAGGGTTCTCTCGGAGCCACTGAGCAACCTCTGTGTTGTCCATTGGGATGGTGAGGAGGCCTTTCTCTTGCAGAAACTGAATCCCCTTCTTTGGTTTCTGATTGAACTGCTCTGTGCCAGTGATTAGCAGCTGCATGAGAAAAACTAGAGGTATAGAAGCTACTTTGCCTCTAAATTAGACAAGGCCAGCCTGGAGTCCACCATAGCCCACCCACAGTTGGTCAGCTAAAAAGCTCCTAGGATGTGGTTCTTAGTGATTACAGAACTAAGGCTAGATCATAATGGCCTTAGCTTCCCCCATCTTCATGTCTAATTGAATTGGCTTACGAGCTCTTTTTTACTCCTTTCCTGAGTGCTCAAGATACATAAAACAGTTCCTCTTCTCTAACTTAGGATTGGGGGAAAAGTAGAAGAAAGAAACTAGGTAATTCTTCTCTCCAGTTTTATATCCATCCCTGACATTTGTTGATAGCCAGCCTCTTGTTTTTAGCCTAGCTTAGCTTCTTTGGTTGCCTAGCTTAATGCCCTGGGTTTGAAAGACAAAGTGGACTAACTGTGGAGGCAACTCATATTTCTGTATGTCCAGTCACGGCCAGGTACTCAAGGGCACACATGAACCAAAGTCATTTAAGCTGGCAATAAGAGAAAGAAAGGGTTAGGTTTTTTTTTTCTTTTTCCGAGATGGAGTTTCACTCTGTTGCCCAGGCTGGAGTGCAGTGGCGTGATCTCAGCTCACTGCAACCTCTGCCTCCCAGGTTCAACTGATTCTCCTGCCTCAGTCTCCCGAGTAGCTGGGATTACAGGCATGCACCACCATGCCCAGCTAATTTTTGTATTTTTAGTAGAGACGGGGTTTCATCGTGTTAGCCAGGCTGGTCTCAAACTCCTGACCTCAGGTGATCTGCCCACCTCGATCTCCCAAAGTGCTGGGATTACAGGCGTGAGCCACTGCGCCCGGCCAGAAAGGGTTAGGTTTTCTTTGTGTTAAGAAACCCAAAGTACAGGCCAGACATGGTGGCTCACGACTGTAATCCCAGCACTTTGGGAGGCCAAGGTGGGCAGATCACGAGGTCAGGAGATCAAGACCACCCTGGCTAACACGGTGAAACCCCGTCTCTACTAAAAATACAAAAAATTAGCCAGGCATGGTGGCACACGCCTGTAGTCCCAGCTACTTGGGAGCCTGAGGCAGAAGAATTGCTTGAACCCGGTAGGTGGAGGTTGCAGTGAGCTGAGATCATGCCACTGCACTCCAGCCTAGGCAACAGAGAGAGACTCCGTCTGAAAAAAAAAAAAAAAAAAAAAAAAAGAAATCCAAAGTACAAACAGTTATTTGAACCTTACTATTTGAACCTTACTAAAGCACCAGAATGAATATCAATTTCCCTTTATTGCCAATCATCTTGCAAGAGCTGGAGATGACAGTAACCTTCAATGACCCACAAGACACCAACTCCCAAGGCTCCTGTCACTGCCACTAGTGACACTTGGCTCTCAACTGGTACAGCATTTGCGCAGGGGCATACATAGGGTATGCTCAACTACATAGCTTAGGAGTAAGGGAAGGGCTTCAAATGGGAGTTGCTGAAGTCCCAACAAGCCCAAAGACTGGCCTCAGGAAGCTGTACAATGAGGTGCTAGACTCTCCTTCATCTTCTGAGATGGAAACCCTACAACACTGGACACCCAGACAGAGGTGGACAGAGGCTGGGGAATACATGTATGTACCTTCTTTTTGTTTTTAATTTCAATTAGTTCCCGTGGATCTGGCAGGAGACAGGAAAATCGGGGTGGCTTCCGGGCAAACTTTTTGTCAGCTAGGAGTAGGAAGAAGAGGGGGGAAATATCTGTAACACCTTTTTTTACCCAGATAAGGACTTTTGGAAGGTCACCAATATACTCCCCAGTTTCAAGAAGGAGCCTCAGAAATCTTGTCCTCACCAGTCTTCCACTTCCCTGGAAGTCCTATCAACTGAGGGTCCATATGTTTGCTTCCCTCTCTCTGAGTCTGAAGGCGAGGCGGGCTACCAAGGCTTGCTTAGTTACTATCCTAGGTGTCTGCTCCCTCCCTCTGCTCTTCACCAGGCCCTCCAGGTGAGGAGCTTAGGGTCATGGACACCCAGTACCCACCCCCAGAGTCAACAGCTTCCTCCAGATCACTGCATCCTGATTTCCCATGTTCTGGTGGCAGCCGCCCTCCACCTGGCAGATGCAGGCCTGGGATGTCTGAGGCCATGCCTACAGCTTTCCCATCGCTGGCAGTTCTCTCAGCTGGTAAGAGAGAAGAAGATACGTGAAGACTTATAGGGTATGAAGCCAAGCAGAGCTGCAGGATAGATCAAATCCCAAGCCCAGAAGACCTGCATGGTTCCTGCACAGGGCGCCAGCCCTGAGCAGGACAAACCCAAGCCAAAATAAGTAGTCCCTGTCCCAGCCAAGCATTAGATTCTCTAATTTAATGAAGAGATTACCCAGTCACTTTCCCTGATCTTCTGCAACCTCAAATTTCAAGGGGGAGCTAGAGAGGACTAATTAGAGTGGAGGCAGATATTGGGGATGAGGGATGGTGGGACCTGGAGCTTTCAGAGACAGAAATCCTATATTCTTTAATCTCTGTTCTCTTCTCTTGCCATAAAGAAATAATAATTCTGTAAAAAACCAAAGTGGGGAGGAGGAAAAAGGGAGAAGGCTATGAGTTCTACTAATCTGCCTGACTGGCCTGTGATTTAAACTGCCAAAGCCCAGAAACAGAATTGGGAGCATCCCAGGGGAAGTGATATGGGGACAGGAAAAACGACTCAGAGAGTAGAGAAGGGATAAGCATAGAACACTGGGTTCATCAAAGAAAGAAATGCCTCTCACTATTGCTAGCTTCTCGGGTGCCATCTACTATCTCACAGCTTGGTCTGGCTGTCTCCTTCTTCTCTTGCTGGGTGAGGCTGTTGAGGACTTTAGCCTGGCAGTGGGCCTCGGTGCTGTCAATCACTGTCAATAGGGCATCAAGAGATAGTAGGTGTGTTGTATAGAGTTGACCAGACACAGGGAAGGCATTCTGGAAAGTAAACAGATCAATTGGACTTGTAGTTAGGAGAACACTTTACACTTTGATCATTTTCTAAAATTTCCAAAACTTCTTCTAACTTGTACATTGCCCTTAGAAAACGTCTTTCTGGCCGGGCGTGGTGGCTCATGCCTGTAATCCCAGCACTTTGGGAGGCCGAGGCGGGTGGATCACAAGGTCAGGAGATCGAGACCATCCTGGCTAACATGGTGAAACCCCGTCTCTGCTAAAAATACAAAAAATTAGCCGGGCGTGGTGGTGGGCACCTGTAGTCCCAGCTACTCGGGAGGCTGAGGCAGGAGAATGGTGTGAACCCGGGAGGTGGAGCTTGCAGTGAGCCGAGATCGCGCCACTGCACTCCAGCCTGGGCAACAGAGTGAGACTCCATCTCAAAAAAAAAAAAAAAAAAAAAAAAGAAAAGAAAAGAAAATGCCTTTCTTCTATTTCCCAGCTCTCAAGTGTTCCCCTCTCTGTATGTAACATCCTCACTACCACCAGGGAGATTTCCTTTATAATGCGTTTTTTCCTAGAAGCCAGTTATAGTGCTCAGCACCTTGGACAGCAGCTTTGTGAGTTCCTCAAAGAGGTTGGAACAGTAGTAGTCACAATCATAGTTGATGTAGAGCTCTGTGACAAAGCTGGGGATGCGCCAGAGCTGCACAATGGCCTCCAGTGCCATCTCCTTCATCTCATAAGGCATCTTGGGGTTCTCCACAGTGATGATCTCCATAAGCTTTTTGATGTACATCTGGCAATAACCCAGTAATTGCCATTTGGGTGGGGAAAGGATTCAAGATAGGAAGAGAAAAAATTAGACAGGAAAAACATTAAACAGGATGCAGAAGCCCAGCCTAGAGGCATGTATTAAGAGACACCCAAAGGTATTCCATCCCCTAAATATATCTCTTCTTTGGCCTCCATGTTGGGGGATAAGGCCTGGCTCTCTACCACATACCTGGTCCCAGACAAGTTGCCTCTTGCCCTTTTGTGCTATGTGAACATGACCTGGTCCTATTTAGAGTTCCTTTTAGCAATTTAGTGACAATGCTGGCTTGACTTACCTACCTGTGTTGCAGAGTAACTGCTGGGCAGAAGAGCTGTCCCTATTCATGGTAAGGTTACCTGGCAGTTCTCATATTTGGGGTCAGCCAGTTTCCTTTGGTCTCCTTTTAACTTTTCCACAAAAGAGGCCAGTTGATTGAACCGAACTCTGGAGGCTAAAAGGACTCTCCTATAGGAAGTCCCTAAATCCTACCCCTGTAGCATGATAGAGCTGGCCCCACTGAAGATGCCATATATCTCCCTATTTTTTTTCCCCCTTTTCTTTCCACATCAAGAAACTCACCTCCATTTGGAACTTGAGGTGCTCTCGCATGCTCTCAAACAGTAGGAAGCATACTCGCAGGGAAGCAGCATAAAGGTTTAGTCGCTCTATGCTGAGTAGCTGGAGATGAGAGCAGGGTAGGCCATGAGTTTTTTTTTTTTTTTTTTGAGGCGGAGTTTCACTCTGTTGCCCACGCTGGAGTGCAGTGGCGCAATCTCAGCTCACTGCAACCTCTGCCTCCTGGGTTTAAGATATTCTCCTTCCTCAGCCTCCCAAGAAGCTGGGATTACAGGCGCACGTCACCATGCCCAGCTAATTTGATATTTTTAGTAGAGACTGGGTTTCACCACATTGGTCAGGCTGGTCTCAATCTCCTGACCTCGTGATCCGCCCGCCTTGGCCTCCCAAAGTGCTGGGATTACAGGCGTGAGCCACTGCACCCAGCCCGGCTGTGAGGTTTCTGAAGCTGACTATGGCTCAACCAAGAGAGGCAGAAGAGGCAAACTGAGTGAAGGTGTCACTGAGGTCCATTGCTTCCAGGGAACTCTACATCTAGCCATTCCTATATTTCTCTCTGGCTGCCAGAGTCCCTGGGGAACTACTGGAACCCTCTTACTAAAACTACTAGCCAACTGGGAGGGAGATGCTTTCCTAGGTCCTATACTCTTTGCGTAATCAGCCAGACCTCCCTGTGTTCCCCTGGCCCTTGAAAGAGGCTCTGAGACCCTCTAGCAATCTTGTCTTACCTGGAATAAGTGACGGCACATCTCATCCTTGATGAGGCCCAAGAGGGTCTGGCACTGGGCTACAGGGGCTGACTCAAGGGCCACTGTCAGCAAATGCAGTCCCATGTGAATCATAACCTCTGAGTTATGGCGGTCGTGTGGATTGGTGAGGGAGATGAGGAAGCGGAAGAGCTCGCGGATGCAGGGAAGACCATAGGGGACCAAAGCTGTGCCTGGGGAAGGCCAGGAGGAGAGTGAGACTGCTATAAAACAACTAGTCTGCTGGCTTTGCCTAGCCTGCTCTGCATTACACAAGGCAATTTTAGGTAAGTGATTCTCTTTGAAGAAAAGGGCTGGGCGTGATGGCTCATGCCTGTAATCCTAGTGCTTTGGGAGGCTAAGGTGGGAGGACTGTTTGAGGCCAGGAGTTTGAGACCAGCCCAGGCAACACAGAGAGACCCCATCTCTACAGAAGATTTTTTAAAAGTAGCCAAGTGCAGTGGTGCATGCCTATAGTCTCAAATACTTGGGAGGCTGAGGTGGGAGGATTGCTTGAACCCAGGAAGTCGAGGATATAGTGAGCTGTGATTGTGCCACTGCAGCAATCCAGCCTGGGCGACAGGAAAAAAAAAAAAAAAGGAAAAGGATTTTTTTTTTTTTCCTGGGGACATGAGGGGACTAGTCTACTTCTGGAGGAAATCAGAATTGATGATCCTACCTTTCTGTTAAAAGTCCTAAGCTTTTTTCCCTTCCTTCTTGCTTCCTATTGCCCATCAAACTTCCTCCCTGTAGTATAAGTTAGGGAAGGGCTCCCTCCATGCCAACAGTCTATGGCTTGACTCCATTTCCTGACTAGAAAATAGCCTAGAACTTGGAGCAACAGGCAGTAGTCCAATATCTTGGTTTAAGACGGTCTAGGCTCAGGCAGCTTAGTAGGTAGGATGGGGGAGGTGAATTGGCAGAGCCTACCAGAATACCCACCTTCTTTCTGGGAGGACTGTGTAAAGCGCACGCCCCGGGGATTGACGTAATCCATGTCATGGACAGAGGCAGAGTCAGAGTGGTCGGCAGGGGACGTGCACTCCTCTAACACTTCAGGGATGGACTCCACAGATGCTGACTGGGACTTTTCCACATGGGTCCCTTCCTGCTATGACCAGTAGCAGGGAGATATGGGAAGAGGGATGAGGCAAGAGCAACTTGGAACTTACTCCCCTGAAGTAGCTGTCTTCCAAGCTGTCTCTAATGGGCTACAGATGTAGGGCCAACTCAGTGGTTTATGAATCACCGCAAGATGGCTCAGGTAGGAGTATGATGAAGGACTCAGAAAAACATCTCCTGAGGCTTCACTGACCTACAATGACTAGAACCTTAGAGACACAGAGCCTCTCACAGGCTTAGGATTTGGATCATTACCTTCCAGAAAAAGCAATGGCCAGCTCCTTCCCTTTTGTCAAGTACTACCTATATGCATAACTTGATAAATCTCATGAGCTATCTCTCACAGTGAGTCATGCTGTGGGTTTTCAAGGCAGTACAACCAATTCTGAGAAGCAGGAAAGATCAGAGCTTCTTTTGAAGTTACCCCAAGCTTCTTTCGAGCCAAGTCCTGCATAAAGGATCCAAAGGATCAAGCCATTTCCCACAGTGGAATACTGAAGAGGGACATTAAAAATCAAAGCCATACCTGGAGGTCAGGCTGCTCGGGAACACCTAGCTCACTGCTTCCAGGCTCTGTAGCTGTGCTGTACCCTGGAGAGCCAGGTTGCTCTAGATCAGTAAGGTCTTCCTTGGAAGTGGTTTGGGAGGAGAATTCCAGGCCACTGTCTGTAGAGGGACTGACCACTGCTGAGGCAGCTTCTGAACTTGCAGAGGAGATGGGAGTGGGCACATCAATGAAGGGCATGCCACCTGCCAAGAAAAGTATGTGACGCTTGAAGGAGAAGAAAGAGGCTGTGGGCAAAACAAACCCTCTATGGTACTAGGGTCTCTGTTTCCCAGATTACATGCTTATCTTTGCATATATTGGTCTCTAAAGTTGTCAGAGAACAACCTTAAGTCACTGCATAGTTGCTGAATGGTCACACTCTGATTTGACCTGGAGTTTCCCTTTTTGTTCTCAGCGCCAAGACCAAAGCCCCTCAGTTGGTTGGTCTTCAATTTCAAAATCCCTAAGAGAGAAAGGAGCTCTTCTTTTGTCTAATCAGAGGAAGTAGTCCAGGGCACTCACCAGTGAGGTTAGATGATAAGGTGGTTCCATTGGGAGTGGGCAGCTCTGAACCTGGTGTGACTTTGGTCATATGGCGTGGGGGCCGAGGGGATCTCTTCTGTTTCTTCCATTTGGATGAATCACTCATGCCTCCGGCTCTCATTTTCAGCTGGAAATATCATACCCCATTAGCAATGGTATTCAAACTAAGACTCTATCCCTATTAATCTCCCTTCATTTAGTCCTACTGATCTCTAGAAAACAAGCTATACCCCATATCTTTGCTAAAGTAAGACTCTAGACCATCAGTTCACATTCCTACTCTTCTAACTTGGCTTCTACATTTACCACTTCACAGGTTGGCATGGCAGCCTCCATGTAGAAGGTGACATTCTGTTTCTGGGCTGGTCATTGGTAGGGCCAGTCCTCACACTTATCACTCTGCTTCTCTGGGTCCTGAGTGTTACATTAAGCAGGAAATCCCGAGCCCTATGGATGATGCATGACCCTCTTGCAGAAAGTGTAAGGGCAGGGTTTCCTTTGCCCTGACACTCAGTTCTACAGGTGCATGGTCTCTCGGCTTTCCTCCTCAACTAGCTTGTAGAGCAGCCTCCTACTTGTAGTTTTATCCAACTATAAGAGCCTATTCCTTCCTGTCCTGGTTTTCTTACTGGTATGTGAGCTGGGCCTAAGCCATAAACATATTTTTTTTTTTTTTTTTGAGATGGAGTCTAGCTTTGCCACCCAGGCTGGAGTGCAGTGGCACGATCTCAGCTCACTGCAACCTCTGCCTCCTGGGTTCAAGTGATTCTCCTGCCTCAGCCTCCTGAGTAAATGGGATTACAGGTGTGGACCACCACGCCTGGATAATTTTTGTATTTTTAGTAGAGACAGGGTTTCACTATGTTGGCCAGGCTAGTCTCTAACTCCTGACCTTAGGTGATCTGCCTGCCCCAGCCTCCCAAAGTGCTGGGATTACAGGTGTGAGCCACTGCACCCAGCTAACATATCTCTTACTCTCTGGAATTTCTGTATCAGATTGGTCAAAAGCTCATTCCTTGGAGTTAAGGAAGGAGTGGCCTCCCAGTTTCTTTGTGGAGTTCAGGATAGAAGGTCATGTCACGCTGCTGCTGTGCTCTCTGCTGCTCCCAATTTGTTATATCAATGAGACTACCTGTCCCTCTGGCCCTCTCACTATTGGTCTTTCCAGATGCAGTTTTATGTTGTCAGATGGTAAGGCCACTGATTCCTTGACTCCTTGCTCTGTTGCACTCCCCTCTTGCTGTATTTCTGTTCTTCCTATAGCTTACTTTTAGTGGCAAGGGACAATCTCTATCACCTGTTTGTTAACTATTCCCTAGGATCTGTGTTTTTATGTATTTCCTCCATTCTAAGTTCAAAGTTACTTTGTTTAGGCCCCATTTTTTTTTTTTTTTTTTTTGAGACAGAGTCTCACTGTGCCACCCAGGCTGGAGTGCAGTGGCGTGATCTTGGCTCACTGCAAGCTCCGCCTCCTGGGTTCACGCCATTCTCCTGCCTCAGTCTCCTGAGTAGCTGGGACTACAGGCGCCCGCCACCAAGCCTGGCTAATTCTTTTTGTATTTTTAGTAGAGACGGGGTTTCACCGTGCTAGCCAGGATGGTCTCGATCTCCTGACCTCGTGATCCGCCCGCCTTGGCCTCCCAAAGTACTGGGATTACAGGTGTGAGCCACTGTGCCCGGCCCAATTTGTTTTTTAAGCCCTGATGTTTTCTCAGTTGGGTTTGAACTCAGTCCCTCTACAAAGTCATTCTAAACTATTCCTAGACTGATAGACCATTCTTGGATTGGACCATTCCTGGATTGGGCAATGGCAACACTCTTCCAGAAACCATTAGAATGACTCTAAAGAGAGCAGAAGCACTTTTTCTCTCTGCCTCTTCCTAAAGGCTGAATATATCCTATTGTCCATGGCCTGTTCAATTCCTTTTGATAGTGAGGGATTGACTCCCTTCCTCAAGCTCCCCCAAGCTCTCAGAACCTGGGTAATCTTTGATTCCTTGCTTAGAAACCACACAATTCTTCCATTCCTACCCATAGCTCCTTCCAATAAAGATGAGGCTGAACAGCTGAGCCCTTCCTTCCCCCAGCTCTTAGTAACATAGCAACAGCCTCATACTGGATTTATACTTCTAGATGATCCATCTCCAAAATGCCTGCAGTCATATGCTTAGAACTGAGCTTCAGGCGTACTGACCGCTATAGCTAAGGAGGAAGCAAAAGGATTCTCTCCCCAGGAACCACTGGAGCTCAACTGGATCAAGTTCATAGTAAAAAATGTTATGGGAGAAGAGTCCGCCAAACATGCAAAAGGGCAAGAGGCCAAGAGATCAATGAGAGACCTCCTGGCTCTACTGGCAGTTATCATTGAGCTCCCAAAAGTACTAAGAACTGGATCTACTTTTATGAGGTAGCCTTTCTCTCCAGGAGGCTCCCCCATTTCAGGGACTCCAGGCAGTCCTACTTCCACTGAGAAGCCAGTCAGTCATTGAGATTCCTTCCCATACGAGGATCAGTTTTTCACGTTTCCTTCTCTATCTTCTGCAAAGCTTGCTCCAACCTGATCATTTCAATTAGTGTTCTCAGCCTGCTGGCTGGAGTAGGGGCCAAGAGGCTGCCAGTTCTCACGAATGCCTCAGCCCTTAAAAGGTATAGCTATTCTCCCTCTCCTAAGGTCTGAAGGTGTGGGGTGGGCAGTAGGTATTCATGGAATTCTACGCCACCTTATCTGTATGACTCTGTACTCCAAAGGACAGTGTAAGCTTTACAAAAAAGGAGCAGGTCCCAGGTTAATAATCATGGCAACATGCTGGATAGCCACTAATGAGAGCTGCAGCTTGAGACTGTGCAAGCACACAAATGAAATGACACAATGCATTCAAAGAGAACACGGGCCAATGGACTATCTAGCTAGGTGTACATACACAGAGTTTTTTACTTTCAGTGACCTGTATGTCCACAACCACACCTTCAGCATGCACACTCTTGTGATGGACAGCCCAGACAGCCCACACCTCCTTCTCTCCCCTTTCTTCCTAAGGCAGGTATATGCAGATTAGGGTAATCTTTAGCTTGGATCCCTCCCCTAAGCTCCCCTATACCTTGACTTTTAGAGGACAGAGGGCATCTTCACAGATCCCAAAGTATTCCCAGTGTCCTGGGCTATCCTGGCACCTGGCTTCTTTCCATCAATCTAGAGTTCTAATCCTTGGAATGACCTCTTTAATGGTAACCAAGAAAAAAAAAAAAAAAAAAGATCCCAACTAGATGGACTACCCTTTCCCTCCAAACCCAGTCCAGGTAATCCAGATAGAGCTGAGGACTGTGCTTAAGCTCTCTATGCCAGCTCTGAGACAAGGATAAGGTAGAAGGGGGAAGGGTCTTGCTTGAAGGTCCCTCACGGTTTCCCTAGAAATGGTAGATCTTAAGCCTCCCCACAAGGTAACAGCAGACCCCAGGCTTTCTAGGCTAACTATGTGATGTTCAAGTCTTCCTTCTCCTGTATCCAGGCAACCAGATGCCCCAGGAGAATTCCCAACACTGCAAAGCTACAATCACGTGCAACTCTTCCAAAGCCGTGCTGTGTTACTAGGGAGGAGTAAGTTGTGCTCTACACAATGGAAATGGGACCCAGGTGTTATATATAAAAAATAAACATTGAAAGAAATAAAAAGGGGAAGGGAAAGAGAGGGAGAGAGACCTTGAGGTTCTTAAAGAGTAGTACCCTCTCTAACTGGTTCAGGGCTTTGGTCTGCTCCCCACTACTTAGCTCCAGTTTGTTGAGGAGACATGGAGATATCTGCGAAAGACAGGCAAACGCACGATTTAACAGTGAAATAAACTCAGACACATACCAACAGGGAACAGGGCAGGAATGGGGATGGATGACAGGGGAGAGGAGAAGGTCAGGTGCATGCATCACACAGCTAAGGGTCATCTCCATAGGTAGACCCTCTTAGGGCTGCAAGCGGAATCCTCATCAGAGGCCCGTGAAGTCCAGGGCTTCAGTTCAAGATAGAAAGAAGCCATTCTTTTGACCACTATTCTTCTCCTAGCAGTTTAAGAACCCTTTGGTTCTTAACTTGACTAATCTCTTCAATACAGACTAGCACAAGCAAGAGCCCAGTCTAATTCAGCATTGAGGTAGGATTTGGGACATAGCCTCTCTAGGCCTTCTACCTGCGGATAAGGCTAAGTCTTGAGGGGATGGCAGGACTTTCATCTTTGTCAACAGACATTTTTAGCCAAGACTGATGGGTACCATGCAGTTTCCATGAAGAACTGGCTCACCAGCTTACATGGTGGTTCAAAGATAGGCCAGAGCAGAAAAGCTGAGGAAGGGATATATCTGGAAGAGAATACATTTCTCACGAAAGGAGTGAGAGCTACTTCTAGATTCCAAGCAGACCTGTTTAGGCAAAAGCATATCTTTGCTAAGCAAGGTTACCCCAAGGCACTGAAGTTGGGAGATTAAGGTTTGGATGAGGGACAGCAGATCAGCTCTCAGATCATACCTTCTTCATGTTGGTCCCCACATAGTTCTTGGGTTCTTCTTTAAACTGAGGTAACCTATAAGATAGAAAATCCATCAACTGTCATTAGGGATAATGACAAATGTCTCCCTCCATGCCAGCCACAAACCAAAGGTGCTCTGAGCCAGAGCATGCCCTGTGTCTTAGAAAAGGCTACAAAAGAGAAGCAGACTAATTTCATCCTTTTCAGAGCTTCATCAAAGAGCCACAGGAATCGGGGGATGTGTGACATGGACAAAAGGAGGTAGTTGTGAGAGCAAGGTAAGTGCCCTTGGAGTGTGGAGGCTCTTTTTATCCTGAGACTGATTCCTTCCTGCTTATATTTACTTGGCAAATACTGCTGCCAAGAGATGGGGGGAGGGCAGTCTATCAAAACCCTAGGAGAGTGGGCAAAAGAGAAGAATTAACAGGCAGGTTGAAGTTTTGAAACCAGTAAATTTGAGCCTGAGGAGCAAAAAATTCTTTGCAGCAGGATCCAAGGGCAGTCTAGTCTGTAGATAATAAGGATTATTATCTATAGATTTGAGAGCAAAAAGAAATCCCAGAGGAAGGTTTAAAGCCATTGCCTCAGCTCTTCTGTGAGTCTGTTGAAAGGAGGTGCAGGAAACAGGCCTAGTATGAAAAGGCCTCCTAGGCCCTAGGCTAAGGGCCTTACCAAAGGGTAACCAACCATCTTGGTTTGCCTGGGACTGAGGGGGGTTTGCCAGGATGCAGAACTTTTAGTGCTGAAATCAGGACAGTCCCAGGCAATTCACAATTGCTAGTCACCCTAATTTTGGCCCTCTCCCACAGAAATCATGATCCCTTGAGTTTGGCTTCCTCTCTGGGTTCCCTTTCCCAGCTGCTACCTGCACAGAAACAGACACAAATTTGGGAAGCAGAATGAGGTCTGCTGGCCTATATTAAATAACCCTCTGCCTCCCCGTGAGGCCAAATCAGCTCCCTCCTCCTTCTCCCTTGCTCAGTAACCCTGGGCCCAGAGAACTACCCCCCATCCATAATCCCAGTGGCCTCTGATGCGGCTGTGGGGTTGGCCAGGTCCCTGACGTGGCTGTGTGGAAGCAGGCAGACTCAAGAGGCCTGGGCAGCCGGGCTGAAGCAAACAGCAGCAGGTTTACCTTGTGAAGAGCAGCTGCACCATGTCTACGAGAGTGTGCTCTGCGGATTTTCTCAATAACTCTGCACAGGCAAAAACAAATAACACAGGTGTCATTACTTGCTGTGCTATTATCAAGAGGGTTCTCAGAGCAGACTCCCCTCCAAACCTTGTTTACCAAGGATTATGCCAAACTTATTAAAACCAGCTCCAGCTCAGCCTGGCAGCCAGAACTTCACTGGCCCACTAGGTGGCACTACTGAGTCAGGGAAAAAAGGGGAGGTATAGATGTGTTCTAGGGGGTTGCAGGTTGGTGTCAATCCCAGAAACCCCAAGAGAGGGTGATTTGGTGCCTGGGCTAAGTCAATCTGGGATCCATCCCAACTCCTGCCCTGGCATAATGGGCTGAGGTCTCTATTCTAGCTTCACAATAGCCAAGTACAGACATTTCTTCTAGACCCCTATGATCGCATGAGATAGATGATGGAGAAGTCCTGAATTTTCCATCTCTCTGGGAAGACAGCCTCCTGTATTCATACTCAGACACTGGCCCCAGGAATGGTGAAGGGGCTAATATCCAAGCACCTACCACTGAGCCTCATTTCAAAGCAGATCCGGAAGCAAGACTGCATAATCTCACACACAGATTCATTGGTTAGGTGGGCACCCACTGGGGTTAGCAGCAGAGTCCGTAGAACCTATCAGGAAGAAAAAGGAATTACTGTGATAAACAAGGTACTGAGAGGTACTCAAGGGTAAGAGAGAGGGGTTAGCAAGAATGCTGACCTCACCTCAGCTTGGTAGAGAGGTCTCCAAGAAGCTTGTCCTTGGAATTGTTTCTTCACTTTTTATGACCCTGACATATTTCAGAACTGATTCTAGCCCTAGCCCATGAGCCCAAGAGATGGACGGCACAAATACAGTCGGCCAGAGGTACAAGTGTATTTAAGGCTTCTGGTATTTGACATCACTTCATATAAAGCTTTTACTGATTTTCCTTAGAAAAAGCTTTTACTTTGGGTACCCCAGCTGCTTGTCTGGAAACAAAGTAGCTCCCCTAAGCCCCAGTGGAGTCAAAACACAGTTTCATGCTGTGGGCAGAGTAAGTAGAGTCTGCGGCACCAGCCCCTGGCCATTAGCCTAATTGCTATTTCCCTCTCGCTTACCTGAAGGATTTTCATCAGGACAACTTCATCACTGGCAGGATCCGTGCCCACAAAACGAGCATGGGTGACAGCATCTGCCATGTTCTCCATGCCCTCTGCTGTGCCCTCATGGGTGGGATCTGCTCCAGCGAAAAAGGAAAGATTAAGTGATGTGGAGAGGAGAGAGATAAAAGGTAAGGCAGCCTGTCTAGCTTTGAGAGACAGTTTTTCCTCTTCAGTTCCCTAACCCGTGGCTCCTTGAGCTACCTGAGAATTTTTGCCCACAACTGATTTTTTTTTTTTTTTTTTGAGACAGAGTCTCACTTTGTGGCCCAGGCTGGAGTGCAATGACGTGATCTCAGCTTACTGCAACCTCCGCCTCTTGGGTTCAAGCGATTTTCCTGCCTTAGCCTCCCGAGTAGCTGGCATTACAGGCGCCCACCACCATGCCCAGCTAATTTTTTTTGTACTTTTAGTAGAGATGGGGTTTTGCCATGTTGGCTAGGCTGGTCTTGAACTCCTGACCTCAGGTGATCCACCTGCCTCGGCCTCCCAAAGTGCTGGGATTACAGATGTGAGCCACTGCACCCGGCCCCATAACTGGTTTTAATGAGCTCCTCAACACAAAATCCACTGGGTAAAACTGTGGTTCTCAATTGCTGGACCCATACCACAAAGTTTTGATTTTGTATGCCCAGAGTGGGGCCTGAGAATTTGTGTTTCTAACAAGACCCCAGTTGAAGTTAAACACCACCGAGCAGGGGACCATACTCTGGGAATCACTAGTATAAATCTACTAATTTCATAGACGAGGGGCCTGGAAACAAGAGTTTTTGACTCAGAACAAGAACCAGGTAGGGCCAAAGCTTGTGGCCTTTTCTCCTTTCATCTTTCAACACAGCTTCTCTCTCTGGTTGCTTTTGGAGTTTTGTGTTCAGGCGCAACTGAATTAGGGGAGCAGGAGGAGGAAATGAACACTCACTGCCGCCAATACTCATATCTGAGTGCCACATTACAGCAGATTGAAGACTTTTTTTTTTTTTTTGGAGATGGAGTTTCGCTCTTGTTGGCAGGCTGGAGTGCTATGGTGAGATCCTGGCTCACTGCAACCTCCGTCTCCTAGGTTCAAGCGATTCTCCTGCCTGAGGCTTCCCGAGTAGCTGGGATTACAGGCATGCGCCGCCACGCCTGGCTAATTTTGTATTTTTAGTAGAGACAGGGTTTCTCCATGTTGGTCAGGCTGGTCTCGAACTCCCGACCTCAGGTATCTGCCAGCCTCGGCCTCCCAAAGTGCTGGGATTACAGGTGTGAGCTACCATGCCTGGCCCAAAGACCTCTTCTTTAGTTTCATTCTTATTTAAAATAATATGACGACGAGCAAGAATCCTGTTTCCAGCTTAACAGGCATTAGGAGAGAAAAAAGATAAACTAAACAGGACTGGAGGCTGACTAGCTGGGGGGTAGGCAGGAGGGAGAATTTCAGCTGTACAGAATAAGAGGGGAGAAGCTAGAGGTCAGACAACCGGCACCACGCTGGAAATGAACACAAATGCTATTAAGCAGGGAACTCAGCTCCCATTCATGTATTAAATAGCCACGAGAAATAGCCAAATAAGTTGTCACCATCAAGGGTCTTGCCTAGCTCCTGCCCTAGGTCTGCTCTGAAGGATCCTTTCCAGAGCTGTTTAGTTCTAAAGGGGGAGCCTAAGTAGGGGGAAAGGGCAGGCATATGAAAAAGCTTTGTGAGTGACAGAGAAAGTTGCTCCAGAGGTGGCATGGTGTAATGCAGGAACACCCCCTAATTTTAGTCACAGGAATTATAAGATTGTTGTTATTTTTTCTCTCTCTTTCTTTTGAATTGAGACAGAGTCTCACTCTGTCATCCAGGCCAGATGGAGTCCAGTGGCATGATCTCGGATCACTGCAACCTCTGCCTCCTGGGTTCAAGCAATTCTCCTGCCTCAGCCTCCTGAGTAGCTGGGATTACAGGTGCCTGCCACCACACCCAGCAATTTTTGTATTTTTAGTAGAGATGGGGTTTCACCATGTTGGCCAGGCTGGTCACAAACTCCTGACCTCAGGTGATTCACCCACCTTGGCCTCCCAAAGTACTGGGATTACAGGCTTGGGCCACTGTGCCCAGCCCATTTTCTCTTTCTTGGTACCTGAAATCAGAGAGTTCCTGAGCCTAAAGCTCAGGGGATGGCTGAGAACCTAAACTTTTTTTTTTCTTTTTTTGTTTTTAAATAGACAGGGTCTTGCTCTATCGCCCAGGCTGGGGTGCAGTGGTGCAATCATGGCTCACTGCTGCCTCGACCTCTGGGGCTCAAGTGATCCTCCTACCTAAGCCTCCTTAGTAGCTAGGACTACAGATGTGTGCTAACATGCCAGGAGAATTTTTGTATTTTTTATAGACATGGGGTTTCCCCATATTGTCCAGGCTGGTCTTGAACTCCTGGGCTCAAGTGATCTGCCTGCCTGGACCCCCAAAGTGCTGGGATTACAGGTGTGAGCCACTGTGCCTGGCCCCCAAACATTTCTCTTGCAATGATAAGCCAGAAGTCTTTTACTAATTGTGAATGTTTCCTCTTTTTCTTCTGTCCTCATTAGCCTCCGACACCACATCAAGACTTTCTTTGTCCTATTTACAGTGTCCTTCTACTCAGCACTGGGAGTAGTTACTTTAGAGGTCATGCAGAAGGAAGCCAGTTTCATGACATATAATAAAATGGGGTGACCCAGCTCCTCCTATCACACCACCTCTCCACGTTTCTCCCGATCAGCACAAAAAAATCCCATACTCTCAGGGCCTCTATCTCATAGCCCTGCCTGACAGTCCCTACCCAGGCCACCAGGGCCCACATAGGAAACCCAGGTCCTTCTCAGTGTTGTGTAGCATTTCAGAGATAAGTGAATAGTAGCCTTGTTCCCATCTCACAAGGCTCCTGGGGATCCATTTCTTCCTCTCTTTCAGTAATCTCTCTTGTTAAGGTGTCTTTTAAATTATTACTTTGAATCAGACACTCCTTCCATCCCCCAACCAGAATAGATTCAGAGAGACTCCATTAATGGGGTTTAAGCTCTACTGATCTCTTTGTAGTTCTTGTCCCCTGAGGTTGAATGAAGTAGCAAAGTTAATTTTCTAAACAGGCAGTTATGGGCTGGGCACGGTGGCTCATGCCTGTAATCCCAGCATTTTGGGAGGCTGAGGTGGGCAGATTGCCGGAGCTCAGGAGTTCGAGACCAGCCTGGCCAATACAGCGAGACCCCATCTCTACTAAAAATACAAAAATTAGCCGGGCGTGGTGGTGCATGCCTGTGGTCCCAGCTACTTGGGAGGCTGAGGCATGAGAATTGCTTGAACTCAGGAAATGGAGGTTGCAGTGAGCCAAGATCACACCAGTGCACTCCAACCTGGGCAACAGAGCGAACTGTCTCAATAAAAACCAATAAAAAATAAAAATAAAAAGGCAGACTAGAGTGACAGGTCTTTGACAAGAACCATAGGCAAGGCTTGCTAGCAACCCATGAAATCCATGGCACAAAAATTCTGGTCTGGCAGCTGTATGGGGCCAAACAAAAGGCTAGTCCTTGGAGGATCTAAAATAATCCCTGAAACCTTGGATCATAGGAGCAAGAGACAGGAGTTTTCTTCTAGAAGAGCAGCCTAAACCCTTCTTTAAAATGTCCTCCTCTTCTGGCTACTCTGGAACCAACTTCAGGGAAATCTGCCAATCCCATCTCCTTTGCTTTCTTGGCTTTCATACACTCCTTCCTGCTCCTTTTCTCATGCCCACTGCAATAACCACCTCCAGCATTCTCCTTTCCCACCACAGGAAACTCCAATGACCAGGTGGCCTGAGGTCTCCAATGACCAGCCTGTCTGCCAAGTCCAGGAAGAGGAAAGAGTAACACCAACAAGACAGCAGAGGGAAAAGGCACAGCAGCGGCAGCCACTGGAGGCTGTGAAGAAAGATGACCTGCAGGTGGTGCTCAGGGCAAGGCTGGAAGTGGCTGGGCCTGATTTTGTTTAGGAAAAGTATGAAGCTGGGACTAGGGTGTCGGAGAGGCTGATGCACCTGTTCAGAAGCTAGTTGGTACCCAGGATTCCTGCTCAGGATCCTGAATGCATCAGCTAAGCAAATCCAACATTTCTAGAATAAAGGGTTTTCTTGCTCTGAACTGAAGACTATTTTCTTTTCTGGCTAGCTAAAGCCTGAGCCTTATCTTTTCTTGTCTCCCTGCTTAAGAAACAAAGACAGCTGCCTGTTTTCTATATTCTTCATCCTTGTACATGGGCTGCCAATCAGGGAAAATGAATTCCCAAATTGAGTGTCAAGACCAACTAAAAAAGAAATCCAAAGAAAGACACCATGAAGAAATTTAGAGATAAACTACAGATTAAGGGAAATATTTGGCCTAGATTAGGAGCAAATAATTGTAATGCTATGAAAGGCAATGGGTTAATATTCCTACCATACAAAGAACTCCTACAAATTGACATGAAAAACAAACCCAACTCAATTAAAAAAAGAAGTGAAGGACAGGAAATTCAAATGTTCAGCCTCCAGGAAATAAAAGCAACAAAAGGCTGAGTGCAATGGCTCACATCCGTAATCCTAGCACTTTGGGAGGCCAAGGTGGTGGATTTCTTGAGCTCAGGAGTTCAAGACCAGCCTGGGCAACATGGAGAAACTCCACTTCTACTAAAAGTACAAAAACTAGCTGGGTGTGGTGGCGTGTGCCTATAGTCCCAGCTACTTGGGAGGCGGAGGTGGGAGGATCACCTGAGCCCGAAGGTCAAGGCTGCAGTGAGCCGTGATTGTGCCACTGCACTCCAGTCTGGGTGACAGAGCAAGACCCTGTCTCAAAAAATAAAAACAAAATATCATTTTTTACTTACCAAGTTGGCACAAATAAAACTGATAATATTCAGTGCTGATGACAGGGTAAGGAAGTAGAAATTCTCAATCACTGCTGGTGGAAGTATAAATGATGTAACCTTTTGGGGAAGCAACCTGGTAATAGCTATAAAAATGCAATATGCACGTGGTCTTTAATCCAGAAATTCCAAGTTCAGAAATCTTTCATACAAGAGTAAAATTAGCAATAAGGGGCCGGGCATGGTGGCTCATGCCTATAATCCCAGCACTTTGGGAAGCCGAGGCGGGTGGATCACAAGGTCAGGAGTTTGAGACCAGCCTGGCCAATATGGTGAAACCCTGTCTCTACTAAAAATACAAAAATTAGCCGGGCGTGGTGGCACAAAATGGTGAAACCCCGTCTCTACTAAAAATAAAAATTAAAAAAATTATTAATAAGGACATGTGATCAAGGATGCTTATATTAGCATTATTTATGACTTCAATAGGAAACAATCTTAAATATTAAGAATGAGCACATGAATTGTGTTATATCTATATTACACTATGGAAATTATAGAGCTAGTAAAAAAAATCATACAAGGGGCTGAGGGGAGAGAGAAATGGGGAGTTATTGGTTAATGTTAACTCCCCATTATGTTAAGTTTCTATTTGGGGTAATAAAAATGTTTGGGAAATAGATGGTGGTGACGGCTGCACAACATTGTGAGTGTAATTAATGCCAATGAATTGTAAACTGAAACTGATGGAAATAGCAAGTTTTATATATATTTTCTACAATATAAAAGAATAAATCAGATGAATAGTTATATCATGTACATTTAAGTTAATACTATCTGCTTTTTTTTTTTTTTTTTTTTTTTTTTGAGACGGAGTCTTGCTCTGTCACCCAGGCTGGAGTGCAATGGTGTGATCTTGGCTCACTGTAACTTCCGCCTCCCGGGTTCAAGTGATTCTCCTGCCTCAGCCTCCTGAGTAGCTGGGATTACAGGCACGTACCACCCTGCCTGGCTAATTTTTGTATTTTTAGTAGAGATGGGGTTTCACCATGTTAGGCTGGTCTCAAACTCCTGACCTCATGATCCGTCCGCCTCGGCCTCAAAAAGTGCTGGGATTACAGGCATGAGCCACTGTGCCTGGTCAAGTTAATACCATTAAATGAAAAAAGAAAATATGTAGCACATAATCCTATTTTTATTTCATTTTATTCTATTCTTTTTTTTTTTTTTTTGAGACAGAGTCTCGCTCTGTTGCTCAGGTTAGAGTACAGTGGCGCGATCTCTGCTCTCTGCAAACTCCGCCTCCCGGGTTCAAGCGATTCACCTGCCTCAGCCTCCCCAGTAGCTGGGGTTACAGAAGCCCGCCACCACGCCTGGCTAATATTTGTATTTTTAGTAGATACGGGGTTTCACCATGTTGGCCAGGCTGGTCTCAAACTCCTGACCTCGTGATCCACCCGCCTTGGCCACCCAAAGTGCTAGGCTTACAGGCGTGAGCCACCGCACCCGGCCTTATTTCATTTTAAAAAGGAATGGTACTTCATTTATAAAGACATAGAAAAACATAAAGATTCAAACTAGGCTGTTCACACTATTTGCCTAAAGAAGGAGGAGGAACATTGAGAAAGTACAGGAAGGACAATTAACTTTTCTTTTGAACATCTCTATTGTCTGTCTTCTTATAATGTGCATGCATTATGTTTGAAAAAATAACTTTAAAAATAAACCTAACCAGGCCAGGCACAGTGGCTCACACCTGTAATCCCAGCACTTTGGGAGGCCAAGGCGGGCAGATCATGAGGTCAGGAGATCGAAACCATCCTGGCTAACATGGTGAAACCCCGTCTTTACTAAAAATACAAAAAATTAGCTGGGCGTGGTGGTGGGCGCCTGTAGTCCCAGCTCCTCGGGAGGCTGAGGCAGGAGACTGGCATGAACCCGGGAGGTGGAGCTTGCAGTGAGCCGAGATCACACCACTGCACTCCAGCCTGGGCGACAGAGTGAGACTCCATCTCTAACTAAACAAACAAACAAACAAACAAACAAACCTAACCAAACTTCCAAGAGTAAGGTACCATACCCTTAACTCTTTCCAAAGCATAGAGAAGCCAGAGTGCCAAGGAAAACTTCTTCTCTTGCCCTTCCCACCCTGTACAACGTGAGTCAGCTAGCATGATGAATAACCAACAACAATCCTATTTCTCTTCTACAAGAAAAGAGGTGACTGGAAAAAATTTCCCACTATCACCAGCTCATTGCCTAAGGCCTGGGCACCCCAGGAAAGGTGGGAAATGAAGTGCTGTGGTCATGCAACAAAGCCTGAGCTCTTACCTATGAGTGCATAGGACAGGAACTTGTTGACAGAGGTGAGTGCCAGTCCAGTGATAGGGCCAGTGGTATCTTCAGAGCGAATCACTTCCAGAAAAGGTCGAAGGAATACATTGGGCTCAATTTCTGAGAGTTCTGCAAGAAAATACACAGAAATGAAGAGGTATCATCTAAGAGAAAACTAAACCCTGGAAAAAGTTTCTTGTTTGTGCCATGAGGCTAGAGGTCTTTGTTGTTGGGTCAATCTTCTTCCCTCTGGATTACCTTGAATCAAATCCCAGACACTGTATCATTTTATCTGTAAAATTTTCAGCATGTAGATCTAAAAGATTAGGAATCTTAAAAAAAGAACAAAAACACAATATTATCTTTTTTTTTTTTTTTTTGTCAGACAGAGTCCTGCTTTGGAGTGCAGTGGCATGATCTCAGCTCACTGCAAACCTCCACCTCCAGGGCTCAAGCCCCTCAGCCTCCTCAGTAGCTGGGACTATAGGCGTCTGTCACCATGCCCGGCTAATTTTGTATTTTTAGTAGAGATGGGGTTACACCATGTTGCCCAGGTTGGTCTCGAACTCCTGAGCTCAAGCAATTGTCCCTGCCTTGCCCTCCCAAAGAGCTAGGATTACAGGCGCGAGCCACCGTGCCTGGCCCACAATATTATGCTTAAAGAGTTAACAAACAGTTAAAATGGTAAATTTTGCATTATATGTATTTTATCACAATTTTTAAAAATTAACAATAATTTTTCAATATCATCAAATATTGTGAGTCAATTTTCCATGCCCATTTCACCACCCTCCCCTGTGATATAAATAGGTAACGTCATCTTGGGTAGAGCCAATGCGACCCTTAGGTCCCAAGGTGGGCTCCTGTCTTTATGTCCTTTGCTGTTATGGTCAGGGTCACTTCTCTTAGAGAAAGAGTGCAGCATATTCCAGGAGGGTGAGAGGAAACTCTGAGGTTTATAATCCCTTGCTGAGAAAAAAGTTTAACAAGAACAAAAGGCTGAGCAGTCTCTTAGTCATGGAGGCAGTCTGTAATCTTGGAAGTTCGTAACCACTGTCCGGCCTGTTTCCTGCCTAGAGTTAGCAGAGAACTAACTGCTCTGAGATGAAGGGGCAATTGATAATCTTTATTTTACAGATGAGAAAAGGCTCAGATAAGATACATGATTAGTCCCAAATCACACAACTAATATGCAGAGCTGGGATTTGAACCCAGCCTATGTGGTTTTAAAACTTGTAAAACCCCTTCATCTATTCTACCTAAATAGATGAAATTTTACTCCTGAATTTAGAAGATTCCATTCTAGGTCAAAGAATACTACACTGTACTTACTCCCTACCTTACTCTGACCAGAATTTAAATTTGTTTTTCTAGATTGTGCTGTGCTTTCATCTTTCAGAGACCAGCTCCCTAAAAGGCTTCCTAAAGAGACCAAAAGTGTTTAGGGATGTGATCTAGGCTGCCCCACCTTTAGAGACAAAAGGAAGCAGGGTTTCCTAAGCACCTTCATTTTCATGCAAATATAGGGAGCTGCCTACTCAGTTCCTACCACCCCCACTCCTCCCTGGGTAAACATTCCCTGGGCCCGGCTGCTCCTCAGATTAACGCTTTAATTAATTGGCAGATTGGGTAGCATTTTCCAAGCTTGTCTGTACAGTGATCACATCAGCTGTAAAAAAAACCTGCTTCTCTTCCCCTACTACCCCCACCTAGAGATGTAAAATTTACAGAAAAAACCTAGAGAAGAACGTGTGTGTGTGTCTGTGTGTGAGTGTGTGTGTGTGTGTGTGCGTGTGTGTGAAAAACTGAAATACATAACGTACTTTTAAAAAGCACATAAAAGGGCCGGGCACGGTGGCTCATGCCTGTAATCCTAGCACTTTGGGAGGCCGAGGCGGGCGCATCACGAGGTCAGGAGATCGAGACCATCCTGGCTAACATGGTGAAACCTGGTCTCTACTAAAAATACAAAAAAATTAGCTGGGTGTGGTGGTGGGCACCTGTAGTCCCAGCTACTCGGGAGGCTGAGGCAGGAGAATGGTGTGAACCCAGGAGGCAGAGCTTTCAGTGAGCTGAGGTCACGCCACTGCACTCCAGCCTGGGTGACAGAACAAGACTCCGACTCAAAAAAAAAAAAAAAAGTACATAAAAAAATGTAAAGTCATCTAGTCTTGCTGCTTTAGGAGCATGAATTATGTACAATTTGGTTTGTTATCTTAAAAGTGGTCATGAGGTATATTTGACATATAAAAGTCTAGAGGAAAAAAATCTTTGAGAATCGGGACAGGTACAGATTTTCTGTGATTTCATTTAGTTGCTACAACTATATACTTGCTTCATGTCTTCCTTCACGGTAAAAGAGTAGGGCAGTTTTATATATGGGGTCCACACTTCTAGGGTGATGTGCATTCAGCCTCTTTTTGCTAATTTGGTAAAATTAATTCTTTTCTTTAAATGAATGATTTATACAGCATGTAATTTTACAGCCAATTTTCAGACTGGCTTCCTTCATTCAACATGATGACTGAAATTTTTCCAAGCTATTGCATATATCAATAGCTTGTTTCTTTTTACTGCTGAGTAGTATTCATTGCCTGTATGTATCAGTTTCTTTATCCATTCACTGGTTGAAGGACATGTGGGATCTCCAGTTTGGGGCAATTATGAATGGAGCTGCTATAAACATTTGTGTATCAGTGTTTGTGTGAACACAGGTTTCCACTTCTTTAGGGTAAGTACCCAGGGGTAGGATTCCTGGGTCAAAAGGTAAAGGTGTGGTTAGCTTTACTGTCAAACTCTTTTCCAATGTCATTTTATCACTTTGTATTCCCACTAGCAATAAGAATTCTAGTTTCTCCACATCCTCTTCAGTACTTTGTATTTCAGTGTTTTTACTTAAGCGATTCAAGTATGTATGTAATAGTAGCTCCATGTGGTTTAAATTTGCATTTCTCTAATGACTAATTATGTTGAACATCTTTTCATGTGCTTATTTGCCGTCTGTATATCCTTTTGGGTGACATGTCTGCTCAAGTCTTTTATCCATTATTAAACTAAATTGTTTTCTTACTATTGAGTTTGGAGACTTCTTTATTCTGAATTCAAGTCCTTCAGTAGTGATACAGTTATTTCTAAGTATTTTCTCCCAGTCTTAAGCTTATTTTTTCATTCCCTTAACATCTTTCATAGAACAGACACTTTTACTCTTGATGAAGTCCAACTTATTAATATTTTATGGATTGTGTTTTGGTTTAATGTCTAAATTGACTCTGCCTAATTCCAAGTCACAAAGATTTCCACCCTCCCATTTTCTCCTAAAATGTTTACAGATTTATGTTTTTCACCTATGATCTATTTTCAGTTAATTTTTGCATAAGGTGTGAGGTTTAGATTGAGGCTCATTTTTCCTTTGCCTAAGAATTTCCTACTGTTTCCAACATATCTCATTAAGTTGTCTTTGCACCTTTGTCAAAAATAAATTGACCAGGTTGGGCACTGGTCCCAGCACTTTGGAAGACTGAGGTGGGTGGATCCCTTGAGTCTAGGAGTTCGAGACCAGCCTGGGCAACATAGTGAGATCATCTCTACAGAAAATAATTAAAAAAACGGCCAGGCGTGGTGGCTCACGCCTGTAATCCCAGCACTTTGGGAGGCCGAGGCAGGCGGATCACAAGGTCAGGAGATCGAGACCATCCTGGCTAACACGGTGAAACCCCGTCTCTACTAAAAATACAAAAAATTAGCCAGGCGTGGTGGCGGGAGCCTGTAGTCCCAGCTACTCAGGAAGGCTGAGGCAGGAGAATGGCGTGAACCTGGGAGGCAGAGCTTGCAGTGAGCGGAGATCGTGCCACTGCACTCCAGCCTGGGCAACACAGCGAGACTCTGTCTCAAAAAAAAAAAAAAAAAAAAAAAGGCATGGACCAGGAGCAGTGGCTCATGCCTCATGCCTATAATCCCAGCACTTTGGGAGGCTGAGGTGGGTGGATCACCTGAGGTCAGGAGTTCAAGACCAGCCTGGCAAACATGGTGAAACCCCATCTCTACCAAAAAATACAAAAATTAGTGGGGCATGGTGGCGCGCACCTGTAGTCCCAGCTACTGGGGAGGCTGAGGTGAAAGAATATCTTGAACCCAGGAGGTAGAGGCTGCAGTGAGCTGAGATCGTGCCACTGCACTCCAGCCTGGGTGACAAAGTGAGATCCTGTCTCAAAAAAAAAAAAAAAAAATTAACCAGGTATGATGGCATGTGCCTGTAGTCCCAGCGACTCAGGAGGCTGAGGTGAGAGGATTGCTTGAGCCTGGGAGGCTGAGGCTGCAGTGAACTGTGATCATACCACTGCACTCCAGCCTGGGGTGACAGAGTAAGACCCTGTTCCAAAAAATAAAAATTAAATTGGCCATATTTTTGTGAGTCTCTTCTGGGTTCTGTTCTGTTTCATTGATCTATGTGTCTAAGTCTGACAACACGACACTGTGTTAATTATTATAAATATATACTAAGTCTTTTTTTTTTTGAGACGGAGTCTTGCTCTGTTACCCAGGCTAGAGTGCAGTGGCTCGATCTTGGCTCACTGCAACCTTGCCTCCTGGGTTCAAGCGATTCTCCTGCCTCAGCCTCCTGAGTAGCTGGGACTACAGGAACGTGCCACCACGCCCAGTTAATTTTTTTGTACTTTTAGTAGAGACGGGGTTTCACCATGTTGGCCAGGATGGTCTCGATCTCTTGACCCTGTGATCTGTCCGCCTCAGCCTCCCAAAGTGCTGGCATTACAGGCATAAGCCACTGTGCCCTGCCGATATATACTAAGTCTTTTTTTGAGACAGAGTCTCGCTCTGTCACCCAGGCTGGAGTGCAGTGGCATGATCTCGGCTCACTGCAACCTCTACCTCCCGGGTTCAAGTGATTCTCATGCCTCAGCCTCCTGAGTAGTTGGGATTACAGGCACACACCACCTCGTCTGGCTAATTTTTGTATTTTTAGTATAGACGAGATTTTGCCATGTTGGCCAGGCTGGTCTTGAACTCCTGACCTCAGGTGATCCACCCGTCTCGGCCTTCCAAAGTGCTGGGATTATAGGCGTGAGCCACCATGCCCGGCTTATACTAAGTCTTAATAACAGTGGTGTGATTCCTCCAACTTCATTTTTTTTTCCAATATCATTCAGTGTTCCAATTCCTTTGCCTTTCCATTTCAATTTAAGACAAACTTGCCTTGTTGGAAGTTTGAAAGGAATTGCATTGAGTCTATAGATCAATTTGGGGAGACATGATATCTTTGCTATGTTGTGCCTACCAATTCATGAACTTGGTATGTCTCTCCATTATTCAGATCTTCTTGGTTTCTCTCATCACTGTACTGATGAGCGCCACCACGCCCAGCTAATTTTGTATTTTTAGTAGAGACGGGGTATCTCCATGTTTGTCAGGCTGGTCTCAAACTCCCAACCTCAGGTAATCCGCCTGCCTTGGCCTACCAAAGTGCTGGGATTACAGGTGTAAGCCACCGCACCCAGCCGAGGCTCTGTGTGTAACCCTCACACAGCATACAATTCAGTCAATGGACTAGTCTCACTCCTATCAATAGCCAGATATATGATACCCAAGACCTTCATCTGTCAAATTAGATAGTTGAAATCGGCTGGGCGCAGTGGCTCACACCTCTAATCCCAGCACTTTGGGAGGCCGAGGTGAGTGGATCACTTGAGGTCACGAGTTTCAGATCAGCCTGGCCAACATAGTGAAACCATGTCTCTAATAAAAATACAAAAAAAATTAGCCTGGTGTGGTGGCACGTGCCTGTAATCTCAGCTACTTTGGAGGCTGAGGCATGAGAATTGCTTCAACCTGGGAGGCAGAGGCTACAGTGAGCCGAGACTGCACCACTGCACTCCAGCCTGGGTGACAGAAGGAGACTCTGTCTCAAAAAAAAAAAAAAAAAAAAAGAAGAAGGTTGTTGGAATCTATGACTGCTAAGATATGTTCATTCCAGTACTTTCATTTGGTAAGTCAGTGCTTTATAGAAACCTACTGATGAAAAACTAGAAGGGTTAAACTTTTTAATGAGCCCACCAGGAACCTTCATTATCATGTCACTTCCCTACCTCTTCCAAAAAAGAGAATCATGATATATAAAGTTAACTTTCCTTAAAGAGTTTTGTCTAGGGAGAACAAGAGTTTTGCTCTCTAGGTTCAACTGTTGATTGCCAGGAGCATAAGAGAAGCTCTAACAGGAGCAACTCTGCAACAAGTGGGGTTGGGGGCAAGTTGAACTCCTAGTGGGGCATCACTAGTAAGGATATTTCTTTCTTTCTTTCTTTCTTTTTGAGACAGAGTCTTGCTCTGTCACCCAGGCTGGAGTGCAGTGGTGTGATCTCGGTTCACTGCAACCTCTGCCTCCTGGGTTCAAGCGATTCTCCTGCCTCAGCCTCCCAGGTAGCTGGGATTACAGGCATGTACCACCAGGCCCAGCTAATTTTTATATTTTTAGTAGAGATGGGGTTTCTTCATGTTGGCCAGGCTGGTCTCAAACTGCACTCCTGACCTCAGGTGGTCCACCTGTCTCAGCCTCCCAAAGTGCTGTGATTACAGGCGTGAGTCTCCACGTCCAGCCTTTAGTAAGGATATTTCTAATTTAAGGGGTAACTTTTTGTAAACATGTAATTTAAAAACAAACAAATTTGAATTTATAATCCTGGTGAGATGTTCAGATGGTTATCTAGAATAGTGCTTGTCAAATTATCTGTGATGAAGAGCAGTTTTTTCTTCTTTATGTCAATCCACTGCAGACCCATAGTTTTTTTTTTTTTTTTTGAGGCGGAGTCTCGCTCTGTCGCCCAGGCTGGAGTGCAGTGGCGAGATCTTGGCTCACTGCAAGCTCCCCCACGCACCATTCTTCCACCTCAGCCCCCCGAGTACCTGGGACTACAGGCGCCCACCACCATGCCCGGCTAACTTTTTGTATTTTTAGTAGAGATGGGGTTTCGCCGCGTTAGCCAGGATGGTCTCGACCTCCTGACCTCGTGATCCGCCCACCTCGGCCTCCCAAAGTGCTGGGATTACAGACGTGAGCCACCTCGCCCAGCCCGTGCAGACCCATAGTTTTATAAAATACAGTTAATTACTAGAAAAATTTTAAAAACATAAAGTCCAATTTTTTTATTACTAGAATCAACATACATGTAACTACTGTCACATTGTTATAAAATTTTTAAAATACTTTCAACTTCTGTATATATCTCTTTGTGTATAAGCAGCAGTTTGTAGGCTGCATCAGTTTTCTAGGGAACTGTTACTCAGAGATTAAACCATACCCTACAAAAATAAGTCATAATTTTTGACTGTTCAGGAAAATCCTCCAAATCCTAGGATATTACAGCTAAAATAGGGCCTGAAAATAATTTATAATGAGGTAACTGAGATTTAGGGAAGTTAAGTAATTTGTACAAGGCCAGTTAGTATTGGAACCAGGACTAGAAGCTAAGGGCTCTAGGTAGAATCATGGGCTTTCGTGGACGATTCAAATCCCAGTTCTGCAACTTAATAGCTATGTGACTTTAATTACTTAAGTGTTCTGGGTCTCTAATTTTATTACTTGTAAATGGGTATTAGATAATTTAAATAAATTACATTTAAAATAAATAATAATAGCAACTAACATTCACTGAGCGTATACTATGTGCCAGGCATGGTATTAAGCAATTTACACACTATCTCATTTGATGCATGTAAAACACTTGGTACAATGCATGGAATAAAGTGTATAATAAAGATAACTAAGATATTGTTCTAGTTTTTAGCTCTAGAGTCACAGCAGTCCAGTGTTCTCTATATTGTATACCAGTTCATTTCTTTCTTTTTTTTTTTTCTTTTTTTTTTTTTTTGAGACAAAGTCTCGCTCTGTCACCAGGCTAGAGTGCAGTGGAGTGATCTTGGCTCACTGCAACCTCCACCTCCCCGGTTCAAGTAATTCTCCTGGCTCAGCCTCCCGAGTAGCTGGGACTACAGGCACATGCCACCACACCCAGCTAATTTTTGTATTTTCTAGTAGAGATGGGATTTCACCATGTTGGCCAAGATGGTTTTGATCTCCTGACCTTGTGATCTGCCTGCCTCGGCCTCCCAAAGTGCTGGGATTACAGGCATGAGCCACTGCACCTGGCCACCAGTTCATTTCTTAAGATTTAAGTAAATATATATATAAAAATTCTACCTTTGACTCCTAAACCATAAAACAAACACAAGTTAAGGATAAATACTGAGATAACGGGTGGTTGATATTTACGGTACAATTTGGGATAGCACTTTTAATTTCTGAGGGCTTCAGCTTTCTCCAAGGTATCAGAGAAAGAACAGGCTTCCTTTTAATAAAATGAATTATTAAAGTACTCATTAACATTTATTACCTGCGCCATGCCAAGTGCTATGCACTTTACATACCTTCACTCTTCATAATTAACCCCATTTTGAAGATAAAAATGAGGCTTGGAAAGGATAACGAGATGTCCCCACCAGCTAAGATCATAGCACTAGCTAGTAGTGGAAACAGGAATCAAATCCAGGTCCATCCAACTCCAAAAGCTCTGCTCGTAGCCATCCGACTTTACTGCTTCCTACAAGGCTAGAACAGAAAGGTTTCTGGTGTCCTATCTCACGGTTCAGCCTGGCTGGGAACTGAGATTCAATTGTCTGGATCTTCTCCAGAAGAGTGAAAACTGCCTGAGTCCTTCAGGAGAAAAGTGCCATGATTCTGCTCATAGTAAGCAGGCTGAATAATTTCACAACCAAGGAGACATCTGACACCCCAGCCAAGCAGCCAAAATTCCCGCCCTGGAAGACTGTCAACCTCAAGGCACAAACAGTCCAGTAAACACAGAGTGCAGATTAGGTAGAGAGGTGCTCTGAAGGTGACTGGTCCATGTTCTAAGATGAGCCAGTCATCTGGGGGAAAAAGGGCACAAGGAGGGGAAATCTAACCCCCCATTGGAGAAAACACTTCGGATCCTTCCAGAATCAAATCCGGATCCAATTTCTGGACAGTCAGTGACAAATTACAACAAGAATTATTAAATTATTTCTGGAGAGGCTCATGAGTCACTTCAACCCAAAGCAAAGTGAAGCCCTTTGGAGATGTCTTGGTGGTGGTCTGCTCATACTGTACTCAATACGACTGGGCAGGGTGCTTCACTCCCCATATTATGACATTAAAACAGAAGTGTCAATTTGGCCCAATGTCTGTCTGAGAATCTGCAGATGTCCCACACCTCTTGTCTTCCCAAATGATGAGGTGACCTCTCCAAAATGGGGATGAATCTTGACTTTTTTTTTTTTTTTTGAGACGAAGTCTCGCTCTGTCACCCAGCCTGGAGTGCAATGGTGCAATTTTGGCTCACTGTAACCTCCGCCTCTCCGGTTCAAGCAATTCTCCTGCCACAGCCTCCCGAGTAGCTGGGACTACAGGCGCAAGCCACCACGCCTGGCTAATTTTTTGTATTTTCAGTAGAGACGGGGTTTCACCGTTATTAGCTAGGATGGTCTCGATCTCCTGACCTCGTGATGTGCCCGCCTCGGCCTCCCAAAGTGCTGGGATTACAGGGATGAACCACTGCGCCCAGCTGAATCTTGACATTATTTTCTCTTCTCATGTCAGAGCTGCTACCATCTCTGATAATCTATGTCAAAGGCCTCAACATGTGGCCTCAAGCACTGCCCTTGGACAAAACAGAATACTCTCCTAAGCTACAAGGGAACAGCCACCATCCTCCCAGGAGGCTGTGTTCTCCAGGCCGCAGCAGCCTTTTCTCATTTGGCCAGCATTGGGCTGGCACATTCCTGAGCCAAAATGCACACATAAGCTGCTTTCCCTGGTAGCAAAGCTCTTCACTCCTGAGTGACTCTTATCAGGGGCAGTTGGGCATTCTCAATTGGATTACGCTGACAAGGAAAAAGGCCTGCGGTATGTTATTTCAACACCATTTGGCTTCAGAAATGCCTGTCTCGACCTTTTTGCCCTCAGAGTCTACTTCTCTCTTCTTGCTTTCTAGAGGGTCACCAGCCTGCTCCCATGCATGTTCTTTACCCTGCAAATATTGGCCCATGTTCCTGGAGACAGAATGCCATCATTCACAAGATGGATCATGTATAACAGACTAATAAATCATAGCATGATAAAAAAAGAAATTAGTTCATTTACCCCTCTAACATTTCTGTATCCAGAGACAGACGACAAAAGCTTTTTGGTTTTAGGCTTTTCTGTCTGTATCTGTACATTCCATTTTAGGAGAAAGTGTTAGGTCTCATATGCTACTTTTCTGACTATGCTGTACACCCCAGGAATATATTTCTTGCAAAAGTCAAGATTGATAGTGATCTACAAAAATGTCTGATGTATGGTAAGCTCCGTAGGAAGAAGCTGTGTTCTTTTTGGTCACTAGAGGACATCAAGAGTAGTGGTCCAGGCCAGGTGTGGTGGCTTACACCTGTAATCCCAGCACTTTGGGAGGCTGAGGTGGGAGAATCACTTGAGCCCAGCAGTTCGAGACCAGCCTGGGCGACATAGTGAGACTTCAGCTGCACAAAATATGAAAAAATTAGCCAGGCATGCGCACCTGTGGTCCTGGCTACTCAGGAAGCTGAGGTGAGCCCTGATCATACCATTGCATTCTACCCTGAGCAACAGAGTGGAACCCTGTTTCAAAAAGAAAAAAAAAAAAAAGAGGGGTAGTGGTCCAAAGAATAATCAAAGCTAAACTTTGGCAAAGCCAGAAGCCTCTGGAATAACTGCCAAACCTCCCATACCTTCGTTTATCAGCTTCAAAGTTTTCCAGACCTATGAATGGACAGGTGGGAATTTAGGCTTGGTTCAGGAACGGATTCCAGAAAACACTGTCAACGGACAGGTCCCATACCTGTATTTCCTAGCCTGGGCTTAAGGGTCAAACCCAGATAGACCCTGCCCTATACAACAGGAGATATGAAATAAAGAAATGCACTAGGCCCAATTCTGATTCTGTCATTAACTGTGTGACCTTGGGCAAAAACACCTCATTTCTCTGGGCCATAGTTTCCTCATCCATTGGGATTTCCTGGGGAAGGTGGTGGTGGTGATAGTAATTTAACTAGATTCTTTAAGGTCCCTAAAACTTATGATTCTAAATGCAAAGTACCATTTGGAAGTAAATGCACATGAATGCAGACAGTCTAGCCTGGAGGGAAGGCAAGTCCTGTTTGTTTGTCTAAGCTCTTCACAGTGGCTCTTTTCTCAGCTATCACACAACAGTTTCTCAGATCTGCTTCTTTTTATCAAACACATTCTTAGCTTCTCAGGATGCTTCTAGACTTAGGGGGCTATTAACTTTGACATTATGATTTTTAAGAGACAAAGTATGATTATGGCTTAATCATTGCTGCATCAAGGTAAAAATCAGGATCCATAGATCCACTTAGGGCCAGCAGTAGAAGATAATGGTACCAACCACTTACATTGAAAAAGGCAAATTAGGCTGGGCTTGGTGGCTCACGCTTGTTATCCCAGCACTTTGGTAGGCAAAGGTGGGCGAATCACTTGAGGTCAGAAGTTAGATACCAGCCTGACCAACATGGTGAAACACTGTCTCTACAAAAAATATAAAAATTAGTTGGGCATGGTGGTGCGCACCTGTAATCCCAGCTACTCTGGTAGCTGAGGCACGAGAATCGCTTGAGCCGGGGAGGCAGAAGTTGCAGTTAGCCGAGATCATAACATTTTTACTCCAGCCTGGGTGACACAGCAAGACTCTGTTTCAAAAAAAAAAAAAGGCAAATTACAGTTGACCCTCTGTGTCTGTGGATCCAACATCAGTGTACACGATCAACCACAGATCAAAAATATTCAGAAAAATTAAGTGGATGGTTGCATCTGTACTGAACATCTACAAACTTTTTCCCTTGTCATTATTCCCTAAATATGGTATAACTATTTACATAGTATTTATATTGAGTTAGGCATTACAAGTAATCTAGAGATGATTTAAAGTATAGGGGAAGGCTGGGTGCGGTGGCTCACACCTGTAATCCCAGCACTTTGGGAGGCGGAGGCGGGTAGATCACTTGAGGTCAGGAGTTCGAAACCAGCCTGGCCAACATGGCGAAACCCTGTCCCTACTAAAAATACAAAGATTAGCTGGGCGTGATGGCAGACGCCTGTAATCCCAGCTATTCAGGAGGCTGAGGCAGAAGAATCGCTTGAACCCAGGAGGCAAAGGTTGCAGTGAGCCAAGACTGCGCCACTGCACTCCAGCCTGGGCGACAGAGCCAGACGCTGTCTCAAAAAAAAAAAAAAAAAAAAAAAAAATTAGCCAGGTATGGTGGCGTGCGCCTGTAGTCCCAACTACTAGGGAGGCTGACGTGTGGGGTGGATCACTTGAGCCCAGGGATGTCATGGCTGGAGTGAGCCATGATGGCACCACTGCATTCCAGTCTGGGCGACAGAGTGAGGCCCTGTCTCAAAAGACAACAACAACAAAAACAAACCCTTTGGAAAGTGTTCACTTTTCTGGCTGATCAATCCCTCAAAGGTCAACCCACCCTGTTTTTCTTCTCTCTCTCTTGCCCAGGCTGGTCTTGAACTCCTGGGCTCAAGCAGTCCACCCACCTTGGCCCTCAAAGTGATGGGACTACAGGCTTGAGACACCGTGCCCAGCCCCAATCTGTTTTTTTTAATGAATCAAAACCCCAAACCTTAACTCTCTGATTAAACATGAGGAGTTCCTGAATGTATACACCTTGAGGTTACATTTAAAGTCTGAAAACCCCAGGGATTAGAAATCATAATTTTATATTTTCTCCAAAACTGCCACTGATAAGTACTTTATGGAGCATCATGTTCATGAGGCCCCAACCTAACCCAGAGATTATGTAAGAACTCCTCCTCCCTAGATACCTGGTGCAAAAAGGTTCAAGATGACCATGACAGAAAATTATTTTTGCCATCTATATATGCTCTCTGGCTTGAACACCTTTGTCAGGACCTTGCCCCCATCTCCATCCCTATAGCAGCTCAACCTCTCCTTAGAGAGAGGATAGGAAGAGGATATATTTTTTCAGGGTCAAAATCCCTAACAGCATGTGTATCTCAGAGCAGGCTGCTTTCCGTAAATCTCTGCTCCTGAAATCGTCATTTTTGCCATCGTCTCCTTGCTGAGTGAGGCTGCCCTGGTCTGCCTCAGGTCAGATTTAGCCTCCACTTTCAAAAGATAAGACAGGCACTTAAAGGCAGCATACACATGGGAAAATAGTTTATTGTATGATTTTGTCCAATATGATGTATGAATCCTGATTAGAAGAGGAATGAGTTTCCTACCTTGGGCATTCCTGCTAAATAGCCAGATTAACTTGTTGCTAGGAGCTGCTATCTACCACCCTCACAAGAATCCCATTTCATTGCCAGAACAACAACCTTAATTTGCCTCAGACATCAGCAACAGCTACATTATATTATTTTTATTTATTTTTTTTTTGAGATGGAATTTTGCTCTTGTTGCCCAGGCTGGAGTGCAATGGCGTGATTTCAGCTCACTGCAACCTCCACCTCCAGAGTTCAAGCGATTCTCCTGCCTCAGCCTCCTGAGTGTAGCTGGGATTACAGGCGTGTACTACCACACCCAGCTAATTTTTGTATTTTTAGTAGAGACGGGGTTTCGCCATGTTGGCCAGGCTGGTCTTGAACTCCTAACCTGAGGTGATCTGCCTGCCTCAGCCTCCCAAAGTGCTGGGATTATAGGTGTGAGCCACTGCACCCGGCCAGCTACATTATATTATTAAACATAATTACCATATATAATTTTATTTTATCCTCCCAATAACTCTGGGAAATAGTGTTACTGTCCTCACTTTACAGATAAGGACACCGAGGCTCTAAGAGGTTAAGTGACTTACCCAAGGTCACACAGCAAGTGGAAGAGATAAAATTTGAATCCAGGTCTATTGTGACTCCAAAGCCACTGTATTATACTCTTCAATATTATACCATGCTATGGTACAGGGGGCTTTTTGTTTGTTTGTTTGTTTTGAGACAGAGTCTTGCTCTGTTGCTCAGGCTGGAGTACCATGGTGCAATTATAGCTCACTGCAAACTCAAAGTCCTAGGCTCAAAAGCAATCCTTCTGCCTCAGACTCCTGAGTGGCTAAGACTACCAACTCCTGAGTGGCTAAGACTACTGGCATGTGCCACCATGCCCAGCTAATTTTTTAAATTTTTTGTAGATAGGGGGTCTTGCTATGTTGCCCAGGCTGGTCTTGAACTCCTGGCCTTAAATGATCCTCCTGCCTCAGCCTCCCAAAGTGCTGGGATTATAGGCATAAGCCACTGTGCCTGGCCTATTGTATAAGTTTACTACTAGATATATTAACTGCATGACTTGGATGACAAAAATTTAAAACTTGGCCGGGCTTGGTGGCTCACACCTGTAATCCCAGCACTTTGGGAGGCCGAGGCAGGTGGATCATGAGATCAGGAGATTGAGACCATCCTGGTTAACACGGTGAAACCCTATCTCTACTAAAAATACAAAAAATTAGCCGGGTGTGGTGGCGGGCACCTGTAGTCCCAGCTACTCAGGAGGCTGAGGCAGGAGAATGGAGTGAACCTGGGAGGCGGAGCTTGCAGTGAGCCGAGATTGTGCCACTGCACTCCAGCCTGGGAGACAGAGCAAGACTCCGTCTCAAAAACAAAACAAAACAAAAAATTTTAAAACTCAACCATCCTAGAACTGAAGTTTCTTCTGCACCTCTCCTTCTCCTAACCAGTGACTAAACATTGTTAGTTATTGCTTGTAGTACTGCCATACAAATTAAGTGTCAGGTTTACCTAGGTTCCCTCCTAATCCAAAGAGGGAGAGTGAGGCCCCTTTAACAAGGCTGGCAGGGATAAATGAGGCCCACAGGGACTGGCCTCAATCATATCTCAGAGACCCAAGGACAGACTGATCCATCTGTCTTACTGAAAGCACAAGTTTGATGCGTATCAACCTTAAATACTAGTTCTCTTCTTTCTAGAGGAAATTGGCACATATTGAAAGGCAAGCAATTCAGCTATAGCATACAGACAAACCAGAGCTACTGTGGCCCTTCACTCTGCCTTGTTGTTTTCTGCATGCACTGTAGAAGACCAAGCCCCAACTTAAGCAGGCAATCTGAAAGCCCAGGAGAAATTAAAAACTTCTGTTGGTATACTTGACAACAGAACAATTTACCCCAGCTTTATGCAGTCATTACACTTGGAGCAGCTTTTTCAATACAAATTCCTTTCAGAGTCTAGTAAAAAATTTCATTGTTCAACAGCAGCATTATAGGTTTATTATCAATTATAACTATGTCAGGTCTTCTCTACCAGCCCTGAAAAAGACAAAGAGGAAATTAAAAAGAACTAAATTCTGAACTGACATTAGCAAAGTTTACAGATGATGAAAAAGCCTGAAGAGATAATAGTCAAAGCTCCTGGAGAAGAATCAGACAGTCCCCAGTCTCAATAACAGGACTGATAAGTAACCTTTCCCTATCCCTTCAGTGTATAGGACCTTACTTATTCACTCTCACTTACTGTACTATCAGAGTACAGAGTTAATGTTTTCCCAAGAGCTGGAAATAGTTACTACAGCAGCATATCATAAATTCTTAGTGACAACAAGACTAAGGGGTCTTTTTATTTTTATTTTTTTTGAGAGAGGGTTTCACTCTGTCACCCTGGCTGGAGTGCAGTGGCACAGTCTCGGCTCACTGCAACCTCTCAAGTAATCCTTCCACCTCAGCCTCCCAAGTAGCTGGGACTAAAGCGTGTGCCACCACACTTGGCTAATTAAAAAAAATTTTTTCTTTGTAGAGACGAGGTCCTGCTATTATTTCCCAGGCTGGTTTTGAACTCCTGGGTTCAAGTGATCCTCCTTCCTTGGCCTCCCAAAGTGCTAGGATTATAGGCATGAGCCACTGTGCCCAGCCAGATTAAGAAGTCTTTATGCTGTTTCAGCCACCCTCATGCTAAAAGGCTCAAGAACTTTATGATAAGGGATATTTCCCATTTTACTGATGGGGAAAACAAAAGCGTCAAAAATAGATGGAGCTAGGATAAGTATGGTAATCACTTGCCACTGCTGTCTCTAGACATGTCTGTGAGCTGGACAGTAAACAAATAAAGCTTATGGAAGCAGCAGTACCCTGAAAAGTCACACCTTATTTGCTCGAAAGGTGCTGACAGAACCTTTAAGACAGCTGAATCTGGAGGAGCAATCCTCAAAGGGTTGGAAAACAATTTCACAAAACATGGGACAGAAGCTGGGCCCAGCCAACACCTGTTTCCCCAACACTGTCTGTCTGTCTGTCTCTTGTTTTATCCCAACTGCACACTTAATACAAAAGCTCCATTATTCTGGTAAAGTTGCATTCCAGCCCAGAGTGCAGAGTTAATGTTTTTTACAGCCACATGCCTTCTTGTGACGGATGACCACTTTATAATAAAATACTTTATGCTCAATCAACTTACAAATAATGGGTATTCCATTACATGGCATTTAAAACACAACCAAATTCAGAAAAATCCAGAAAGAAATAAGAATAGAAACAAGAATGATTCCTAGAAAGAGAGGAGGGCCGCCAGAGAATCCTCTGTAAGTCCTTCACTCCCAAAGAATTTATCCATTCTCTTATTGAAGGATATTTGAGTTGTTTCCAGTTATTTACTATTACTGCTGTATACATTCCTATAAAAGTCTCTTTGTAAATGTGTTTGTTTCTCTTGACTAAATACCTAAGAGCGAAAGTGCTCAGCCACAGGGTAGATGTGCATTTAACTTTAAAAGAAACAGTTCTTCAATGTTGCTGCACACCCCTCCCCTCTCCACCAGCTCTATATTTTCCTCCCCTAAGGGCCTAGGTTCTTTAAGTTGAGGATTTGGCAGGAGAGAAGAAGCCACATCATGAGGATCCCTGCTGCCAGAGCACAGTGGCCTGAATCGGACACTTAAAAAGCTGAAACAGGTGTTTGAAACCCTACTCCAGCCTCCCTGTTTGGTGCCAGCCCCCTGAGAGGCTAAGGCTTGGCCAGGAGAATTCGGCTCATCTAATGGATGCCGATTAGAGACTTTTACAAGACATAGCTACATAATAGTGTATATGCTGTGACGTGGTACATTTAAAGCAGGTAAGTGAACATCTTAATCTTAAGGAGGGGGGCCTCTGGTGGTCCAAATGCTCTTGAGCAAAGGGTAGTCAGGCTACGTGCCAGATGAAAGCCCTTCACCAACCTCTACCTTTTCTCCTTATATATCCACACAATTGACTACCACTCAGAAAAGCAAAACAGAAAAAAACTACTGATATATGCAACATGGATAAATTCCAAAAACATGCTAAGCTAAAAGAAGCTAGCTATGAAAGAGTATATCCTGTGTGATTCCATTTATATGAAATCCAAAAACAAAACTTATCCATAGTGATAGAAAATGGTTTTGTATATATGTGTGGGGTTGGGGGACTCAAAGAGGCATGGGGGATATTTCTGGGGAGATGAAATGTTCTGTGTATTCTTTATTCATGCTGGTTACATGGTTTATACAATTATCAAAACTTACCAACTGAACACCTAACATCTGCATATTTTATTGTATGTTAATTATACCTCAAGTTGAAAAAAAAGGAAAGCCAGATGGGGGCTTGGGGTGAGCTTCCCCTACTTGGTATTATTTGGGAGAATGAAGAAAGAACAGAAGAAACAAGTTTGCTTCCCAACTCACCAGTCTGGGAGCAGAGACTCAACAGCCAGCTGAACTGCCACCTCAGTGCCCCTTGGGCAACCTTTGTAGAAAAATGAGGTTTTCAGGTGGTAGCTTATAATATTCTCATTGAAGCCCTGTTACTCCCCAAGGGAATGATATTGAAATGTCTTCAACAGTGTTTACTTCCCCATTGCTAAAAGTATGATCAGCATTCCAATTTAGAAGCAAGTTTACATACTTGGCGTAAACTTGCATACTAGGCCCTGAGCACTTAGAACTCAGATAGCGTTCAAAAAAATTAAATTATAACCATAGTAATAGACAAGTAAGACAGATCTTTAGTTCCAGAGCTGCCACTACTCCGTTATGAGGCCTTGCATGACATGACCTTTTCCGAGCCACAGTTCTTTCCGTATAAAATAGGCCAGGTGACCTCTATACTTCATTTCAGTTCTAACACTGTATGATTTTAGAACTCTTATAAGTGTAGGCTGGGCGCAGTGGCTCACACCTATAATCCCAGCACTTTGGGAGGCCGAGGCAGGTGGATCACTTGAGGTCAGGAGTTCAAGACCAGCCTCGCCAACATGGCAAAACCCCATCTCTACTAAAAATACAAAAATTAGTTAGGTGTGGTGGCATGTGCCTGTAATCCCACCTACTCGGGAGGCTGAGGCACGAGAATCGCTTGAACTCAGGAGGCGGAGGGTGCAGTGAGCCAAGATTGTGCCACCGCACTCCAGCCTGGGTGACAGAGTGAGACTGTGTCTTAAAAAAAAACAAAAACAAAAAAAACTTTTGTAAGTTCATATGGGTTCCAGTATGAGACGGGCAAGGAAAGCCCTATAGTCCTTCTCAGCATTTTTTCTTTCTTTTTTTTTTTTTTTTGAGACGGAGTCTTGCTCTGTCGCTCAGGCTTGGAGTGCAGTGGAGCAATCTCAGCTCACTGCAACCTCCGTCTCCTGAGTTCAAGCAATTCTCCTGCCTCAGCCTCCCAAGGAGCTGGCATTACAGGTGCCCACCATCACGCCTAGCTAATTTTTGCATTTTTAGTAGAGACGGGGTTTCACCATTGTTGGCCAGGCTGGTCTTGAACTCCTGACCTCAGGTGATCCGCCTGCCTTGGCCTCCCAAAGTGCTGGGATTACAGGCGTGAGCCACTGGGCCCAGCCCTTCTCAGCATTCGTATAGAGACTTGTCCTTTAGCTTAATGAGGACCCCAAGAGGGATTCTGCATATCATGTGAAATAACTCCTCCCTGTAACGCACTTAGGGAATTAGATTCGGGGAGAAAAGCAACAAACTTTAGTGAAAAGCTGCTACCATGGCAAACACCCAACATGGCATGGCACAAAAGAAGAGTAGATAGCCTCAGAATCCAGAGGTAAAGACTGGAGAAGAAAATAATCATATGTAGAGTGCATACTGTGGAGAGGGTATGCATTGTACTAGGCACCTTATACACATCAACTCATGTAATTCTCACAAGAATACTATAAGGCAAGTTTTTATATTATTTTGCAGATGAGAAAATGGAGATTCAAAAAGATCAGCCAGGTACAGTGGCTCACGCCTGTAATCCCAGCACTTTGGGAGGCAGAGGTAGGCAGATCACTTGAGGTCAAGAGTTTGAGATCAGCCTGGCCAACATGGTGAAACCCTGTCTTTACTAAAAAATACAAAAATTAGCCAGCCGTGGTGGCGGGCGCCTGTAATCCCAGCTACTCAGAAGGCTGAGGCAGGAGAATCGCTTGAACCTGGAAGGTGGAGGCTGCAGTGAGCCAAGATTGCGCCACTGCACTCCAGCCTGGGTGACAGAGCGAAACTCCGTCTCAAATAAAAAAAAAAGATCAAGTAACTGCCACCAATGACTGCCCAAGACCACCCAATGGTAGAGATGGGATATGAAGCCAGGTCTATCCAACTCCAAAGTCTATGTCTTTTTCCACAATCATTTAGCAAGAAGTAAGTTGGAGATCCTAGATCCCAAAGGAGCCTGGTAAAAGCCTGGCATTTTTTCCTTCTTACAAATAACTCATTTCATATTTCTTGGGTAGCCCCTGGCATTCCCTACACAGAAGAAAGGGTTAAACCTACAGTTAGGAAGAGGAAATTCCCTGGAAAACTGAAACACATGCTGTGGCTCTGACTAAATTTCACACCCATTCTGTTGAGCAACGTCCATAGTGTGTGAGAAAAGACTCTAGCCCTGCCCCGATCCTTTATGCATTCCATCACCTGCTGCTTTCCTTCAGACTAAGGGGAGAGAGAGGAAGGGAGGAAGACTATATATACATCTTTGCTTGGTGCGTATTTAAGCCAGAGGTTAGCAAATCCAGGGTAGGAAGAAGTATTTTGTGAAAAAAAGAAAAGGAATAATACTCTCTTTTTTCCACTTGCACCAGTATAAGAGAGAGTTCTTATGACAAACCATAATGAGGGAAGGGGTTGGACTTATGCTGGGGAAAAGAGGGGAAGGCTAGCCTTCCTAGAAAGTAGGCAGGCAGGGTTCAGAAGAACAGGGCCAATTTACACCTGTCTCTTTGTCTGGTATTTCATGCTCAAGTGAACTCTGTATTTCTGTCCATAAGAGTTAAACTTCATCCAGGAAAACAAATGTGAAGATGGAAACATTAAAAGAAAGGCTTCCCTTGCTACCCCCTTCAGATTCCTATTTATGACAATGAATATAGTTATTTGGTACTGAAATTTGACTGGATTAAACAAGCTTATGGCCAGGCATGGTGGCTCACGCCTGTAATCCCAGCTCTTAGGGAGGCAGAGATGGGAGGATAACTTGAGCCCAGGAGTTGGGCAATATAGCGAGGTCCCGTTCTCCACATAAAGGAAAAAAAAAAAAAAAGACAGAAAAAAAAGTGCAAACATGCTTAAAAGAACTTAGTCTACACTGAAGTCTAGGGTAGCTACCTGGAATAAAAGAAGAAAAGGAAGAAGACAAGGGCCAATGAACAAATGCCATTATGGCAGTTAATCTCCAAAGGTAGTCCCTTACAGTGCCACCCCTCACATGTTCCTCCTCCAATCAAGAGGTACAGCTTGTGTCTGCTCCCCTTGAATCTCGTCTGTGACTGCTTTGACATACGGAATGCAGAGAAAATGACAATCTGGGACTTCCATGCCCAGGCACTAAAAAGGCTTTGAAGCTTCTTCTTCTTCTTTTTTTTTTTTTTTTTTTTTTCAATTTTGGAGATCTAAACTGCCATGTACACAGTCTAAGCTACCCTGCAGGAGAGCTAGGTCATGAGGAAAAGCCCTGGAGATTGAGGTATCATGTCAAAGGAAGCCACATGGTACCAGACATCCAAACCACAGCCGCAGCTGACTGCAACCACAGGAGAGACTGTGAGAAGAGGTGTTCAGCTGGGCCCTGGACAACCCACAAAATTGTGATACAATAAAATGGTTGTCGGTTTAAGCCACAAAGTTTGGAAATGGTTACACAGTAATAGATCATTGAAATGGCTGGCTCTTCTTTGTCTTCTTCTTATTATTATTATTACTTTGAGACAGTCTTGCTCTGTCACCCAGGCTGGACTACAGTGGTGTGATCTCAGCTCACTGCAACCTCTGCTTCCTGGGTTCAAGCGATTCTTGCTGAAACAACTGGCTCTTATTAAAAATGAAGCTAACTTAGGAAACTGGGACTACAGACATGCACCACCATACCCAGCAATTTTTTTTTTTTTTTTTTTTTTTTTTGTAGAGATGAGATCTCACTATGTTGCCCAGGCTGGTCTCAAACTCCTGGATTCAAGAGATCCTCCTGCCTCGGCCTCCCAAAGTGCTAGAATTACAGGCATGAGACACCACATGTAAGGAGAACTACTAACACTAGTATTTTGTCATGGGCATATAATGTAAACTGTATTGTAGGAATAAAGGGAAACTTACCCAGTTTTAGGTGAGATAAAAGGAATTTATAGTGGGGAGAAATCCTATTTCCTTTAGCAATTGAACATACACATATTTAGGAATAAATCTAACAAGAAATGGACATAAACTGGGGAAAGAAGAATCTACAAACTTTACCAAGGTCACCAGAGAAGTCTTGACTAAATGGAGAAGCCATAACATGTTCCTGGTTAGGGAGGCCAAATATATTATAAAGATGTCAATTCTCTCCATACTAATTTATGTTTTTGAATCAAAATCTTAAAGGTCTTTGAAAAAGAACTTGAATAAGTGACTCTGTACTTCATGTGAAAGAAGAACCAGATGAAGATAGCCAGAATATTTTTTCAAACAACTAATGAGGCCAGGCATGGTGGCTTGGCTTGCGCCTGTAATCCCAGCACTGTGGGAAGCCGAGGTGGGTGGATTGCTTAAGCCCAGGAGTTCAAGACCAGCTTGGCCAACATGGTGAAACCCTGTCTCTACAAAAAATACAAAAAATTACCTGGGCGTGGTGTTGCAGGCCTGTAGTCCCAACTACTCTGGAGGCTGAGCTGGGAGGATTGCTTCAGCCCAGGAGGTTGAGGCTAGAGTGAGCTGTGACTGCACCACTGTACTCCAGCCTGGGTGACAGAGCAAGACCCTGTCTCAAAAACAAACAGGCTGGGTGCAGTGGCTCACTCACACCTGTAATCCTGGCACTTTGGGAGGCCAAGGTGGGCAGATCACTTGAGTTCAGGAGTTTAAGGCCAGCTTGGGCAACATGGCGAAACCCCGTCTCTACAAAAAATTAGCCAGGTGTGGTGGCACACACCTGTGGTCCCAGCTACTCGGGAGGCTGAGACAGGAATATTGCTTGAGCCCAGGAGGTGGAGGTTGCAGTGAGCTGAGATCGTGCCATTATACTCCAGCCTGGGTAGTAGAGCGAGACTCCGTCTCAAAACAAAAACAAACAAAAAACTAATTTCAGGAAGTCTGCAGTATCATTTTAAAATGTCTTATAATACTACAACAAATAAATCAGTATACTATTGGCAAAAGAATAGGTAGGACAATATGTAGTATATGATATATGATAAAGAGCATTCAATAAATGGGATGTTAGGTGGGAAAAGTTAAATTCCTATTTCAGTCCACTTGACAGAATAAATTATATTGATTAAAGAAAGATGCAAATTAATACACTTATTAAATATTTATGAGTGCCAACTTTGTGCCAGTCACCAGGCTAGATAATAGATATATGATGGTGAACAATGCAACACAATCCTTGTCCTCATGGAGTTTCCTGTGTAGTGGGAAAGACATTAGGCAAGGGATCACACAATTAACTAATTATAATTGTGACTAATTATAAGTTATGATTTTAACACTAATTGTAAGTGTTATGAAGAAATACAAGGTGTTCAGAGTGGTTAAGAATTAAATATAGGCTGGGCACCGTGGCTTATGCCTGTAATCCCAGCACTTCGGGAGGCCAAGGTGGGTGGATCACTTGAGGTCAGGAGTTTGAGACCAGCTTGGCCAACATGGTGAAACCCCATCTCTACTAAAAATACAAAAACTAGCCGGGCGTGGTGGTGCACACCTGTAATCCCAGCTACTCGGGAGGCTGACGCTTGAGAATCACTTGAATCTAGGAGGTGGAGGTTGTAGTGAGCCGAGACTCCGAGACTGCACCACTGCACTCCAGTCTGGGCGACAGAGTCAGACTCCATTTAAAAAAAAAAAGAATTAAAAATAAAAACTAAAATATATAATAAGTAGAATAAAATGATCTTGAGGTGAAAAGAAAACTGTCTGAGATTCATTAACAGATTGCTTCTCAGCCTTTCAGCTAAAATCAAGCATAGATTCATTAACAGATTCTTAGCAGAAGAAAAGGAAATATAAGCAGAGCAGAAAAGGCTGAAGAGCAAGTTGCTTTAGAAGGAAGTACCAATAAGAAACAAGCTCTGGAAGGAGGCACCAGGTAGAAGGTGAGACATGGAACAGAAAACAGGGGGACTAATTGAGAAAACAGAAAAAATGGAGAAGGGGGAAAAGGGGAAATTATTGAGGAACTAATATAAGATCATTTCCCAAAATCAAATGATATAATTTTGCAGATCAAAAAGACCCTTACTAAGAACCTAGCAGAATAACTAAAAGAGACCCACACCAAGTGTTTCAGAATAATGAGGATAAAGAAATTGTAAGAACTCCAGTTTAAATATAAAGGACTGAGATTCAATATGGCATCAGACTACTCAAGATCAACACTGGAAATGAGAAGAAAAAGAAGCAGAGCCATCAAGTTTCGAAGGAAAACTATTTCCAAACTAGAATTCTATATCCGGTAAAACCTTCAATTAGTGTCAGTATAGAATAAAAAGATAGCTTCAGATAAGCAATGTCTAAAAAAACCATACATCCCCAGGTGTCCTTTCCTAGAAGCTACTGGATGACGTAAAAAATAAAAAATAAAAAACCAATGTGAGACAGTAAATCAAGAAAGAAATGGGCCAGGTGCAGTGGTTCACGCCTGTAATCCCAGCACTTTGGAAGGCAGAGGCACATCACCTTAGGTCAGGAGTTTGAGATCAACCTGGCCAATATGGTGAAACCCCATCTCTACTAAAAATATAAAAATTAGTTGGGCGTGGTGGCAGGCACCTGTAATCCCAGCTACTCAGGAGGCAGAGGCAGGAAAATTGCTTGAACTTGGGAGGCGGAGGTTGCAGTGAGCCGAGATCACATCACTGCACTCCAGCCTGGGCGACATGAGTGAAACTCTGTCTCAAAAAAAAAAAAAAAAAGAAAGAAAAAGAAAAAGAAAAAAGAAAGAAATGGACATAGCATAAACAAGAAAAAGGAGATCTAGAGAAAACTGAAGGGAAGTTCCAGAAGGACAGCTGTGCCTGAGGTCTAGACAGTAACCAATACAGAATAGAAGAAGAGGATGGGAGGCTCTGAGAAGGAGTTTCTAGGAAGAGATAAAAATGGAAGAGAAGAGCTGTGTGTTTGACCACGTGGAAAAATAATATTCAGTTTTTAAAACTTGTAGAATTTGAGAAGAAACAGTAATAGTAACAGAAAACAGCATATTTTCAAAAGGAAGGGAAAACTTGAATAATGAATTCAAATGAATAATACTAAAGATCTTTTTTTTTAGAGACAGGAGTCCTGCTATGTTACCCAGGCTAGCCTTTTGTTGTTGTTGTTGTTGAGACGGAGTCTCACTCTGTCACCCAGGCTGGAGTGCAGTGGCGCGATCTCGGCTCACTGCAAGCTCCGCCTCCCGGGTTCATGCCATTCTCCTGCCTTAGCCTCTCGAGTAGCTGGGACTACAGGCACCTGCCACCACGCCCGGCTAATTTTGTTTTGTATTTTTAGTAGAGACGGGGTTTCACCATGTTAGCCAGGATAGTCACGATCTCCTGACCTCGTGATCCATCTGCCTTAGCCTCCCAAAGTGCTGGGATTACAGGCATGAGCCACTGCGCCCAGCCTACCCAGGCTAGTCTTGAACTTCTGGCCTCAACAGATCCTCCTGTCTTGGCTTCCCAAAATGCTGGGATTACAGGCATGAGCCACTGTGCCCAGCTATAAGGTCTTAATAAGGTAAAGAATGAGTACTGGTTTAACCAAATGGGGTGATAATTATATTGGGAGGATGGAGGAAAGGAGAATGGGGTGGTGAGTATTGCAAATGTGCTATATCTACATGTAGGAGTAGGAAGTCAATAGATAATGCTTAAAATGTAAAAATCCTATTTAAAAATGTAGTATCAACATATTATTTAGAAATAGAAAAGAAAACAACTGAATAAACAGCTAAAAGAGTTTAGGGAGGGGACCTTGAAGGGGGGGAAGTTGGACTTTGCAGCACAATTTGACTTTTTAAAACTATGTACATGTATTACCTAAAGAGAAATAAAAATAATAGAAGGAATTTATTATAAGGATCCTTAAGAGTGATAAGCAAAAAATCGTGTACCAAGATATTTATACCACATTGCTTATAATATTGAAAAACTGGGAATAATCTAAATAACCACTGGGCACGGTGCTCATGCCTGTAATCCCAGCACTTTGGGAGGCCAAGGTAGGTGGATCGCTTGAGCCCAGGAGTTCAAGACCAGCCTTGGCAACATGGCGAAACCCCATCTCTACAAAAAAAAATTACAAAAATTAGCCGGGTGTGATGATGCGCACCTGTAGTCCCAGCTACTTGGGGGGCTAAGGCAGGAGAATCACTTGAGCCCAGGAGGTTGAGGGTGCAGTGAGCCACACCACTGCCTTCTAGCCTAGGCAACAAAGTGAGACACTATCTTAAAATAAATAAATAGACTGGGCATGGTGGCTCACACCTGTAATCCCAGCACTTTGGGAGGCCGAGGCCGGGCGGATCACAAGGTCAGGAGATCGAGACCACGGTGAAACCTTGTCTCTACTAAAAATACAAAAAATTAGCCAGGCGTGGTGGCAGGCGCCTGTAGTCCCAGCTATTTGGGAGGCTGAGGCAGGAGAATGGCGTGAACCCGGGAGGCAGAGCTTGTAGTGAGCTGAGATCACACCACTGCACTCCAGCCTGGGTGACAGGGCGAGACTCCGTCTCAAAATAAATAAATAAATAAATAAAAATAAATAAATAAATAACCAACAACAGGAAGCTCTTAAATAAATTCTGTAACATTCATACAATGAATAATATCATTAGATCTTATTTTCTAATGTGTAATGATGTGGGACAATGCCCATAACATGATAAAAGAAGAGGCAAAAATGTATAGAATATGATTCCCATTTTGCTAAGGGTGATATTGTGTTTGCGTGCGCTAAAAAAAGATAAAATAATAGTTATCTTTAGGTGATTGGACTATGGAGGTTCTTGTTTCCATCTCTTTAAACTTTTTTATTTTTTTAAAGATGTAGTCTTGCTCTTGTCGCCCAGGCTGGAGTGCAATGACGTGATTTTGGCCACAGCAACCTCCGCCTCCTGGGTTCAAGCGATTCTCCTGCCTCAGCCTTCTCAAGTAGCTAGGATTACAGGCATGTGCCACCATGCCTGGCTAATTTTGTATTTTTAGTAAAGATGGGGTTTCTCCACGTTGGCCAGGTTGGTCTCGAACTCCTGACCTCAGGTGATCCACCCACCTTGGCCTCCCAAACTGCTGGGATTACAGGCATGAGCCACCATGCCCAGCATCTTTAAACTTTTTTGTATCTTCCTAAATTTATATAATAGTCTATGTAGACATGGGCTATTATTATTTTTTAGATACAGGGTCTCACTATGTTGCCCAGGCTAGACTTGGACTTCTGGGCTAAGCGATTCTCCCATCTCAGCCTCTGGAGTAGCTGGGACTACCAACACATGCCACTGTGCCTGGCTTATATTACTACTAAATGTTATTTTTTAAAAGCCAGTTAGAAAAAAAAAGGGGGCACTGGGCAGCCTAAATCACAGAGTCTGAAGACTATTATTACTAAGTTTTAGTAAAACTCACTTCCCAAAACTTAATATGAGCACTGCTTTGTTGTTCATGAATAGCTAAAAATGATGTTTAGCATAATCTCCCATTATTAGGGAATTTAAAATAATTATTTAAAATGGCATTTATAGGATTACTGAAACAATACTGGCCTTCCTGCATTCAAATCCCTCATCCTCTCCTTCAGTGAATATTATTTTGTACCTTCTGTGGGCCTGGCACTGCTAGCCATTGGATATACAAAGAAGAATAATCCAAAGTCTTGCTTACAGACTATAGACTACACTAGCTTTTATGACCACAGCCAAACTTCAAATTTTCTGGGTCTTATTTTATCAGTTGGTCTATCTGTCTATCTATCTAAAAGGATAGGACTGGAAATGGCCATATGGCTCAGAAATTCAATGACTATGATTTCTGATTGTCAGGCATGCCAAGTATTCTACTCGTTAACTGTGGCACAGTTTTATATCTGTGACTCACTGAAGACCTAAATGGTGGTTCTGTTCCTAATGCTTGTTAAAAAGACACTAATATTGTGATGAGATGGAGAACAGGTAAGAGGAAGAGGACTACTAAAATTACCAAGAAGTATAAGCAATCCATGTCCTTACTTAAACTGTACTCAGTCAAAAACTAGACAGGTCAAAAAGTAGAGGGAAGGCCGAGCGTGGTGGCTCATGCCTGTAAATCCCAGCGCTTTGGGAGGCTAAGGCGGGCGGATCACCTGAGGTCAGAAGTTCAAGACCAGCCTGGCCAAGACGGTGAAATCCCATCTCTACTAAAAATACAAAAATTAGCCAGGTGTGGTGGCACACGCTTGTAATCCCAGCTACATGGGAGGCTGAGGCAGGAGAATCGCTTGAACCCAGGAGGCAGAGGTTGCAGTGAGCTGATATTGCACCACTGCACTCCAGCTTGGGCGACAGAGTGAGACTCCATCTCAAAAAAAAAAAAAAAAAAAAGTGGAGGGAAGGAAAACAGAAAGGTAAATGACAGAGACTACTGTCCTCATCCTGATATGAATTGGTAAGAGGATATAGCACTAATAGTACTATATTAGTACTATTACTAGTATTAGTATTATATAGTCTGCTATCAGAATTAATTTCTTCCTTCTTAGAACTTCTATAGAGTTCTGTTGCTTTAGTATAGCATATTCTGGTTTATGGAATTGCTAAATTGTAGTCTGCAAGCTCCTGGAAAGCAGAAAGGGACAAGGCTTCTTTGCTTTTCTGTTACCTACAGCAGGGGTCCCCAACCCCAAGGCCATGGACCACTACCAGTCTGTGGCCCATTAGGAACCAGGCCACACAGAAGGAGGTGAGCAGCGGGCGAGTGAGCATTACCACCTAAACTCTGCCTCCTGTCAGATTAGCGACGACATTAGATTTTCATAGGAGCACAAACCCTATTGTGAACTGCACATGTGAGGGATGTGAGGGATCTAGGTTGGTGCTCCTTATGAGAATCTAATGCCTGATGAGCTGAGGTCGAACACTTTCATCCCAAACACCTCCCTTGCCCTCCAGCCCCACTGTCTGTGGAAAAATGGTCTGCCATGAAACCAGTCCCTGGTGCTGAAAAGGTTGGGGAACCGATGTTCTACAGTGTTAGTTACATTCTCATAAGGAGCACGTAACCTAGATCCCTCATGTGTGCAGTTCACAATAGGGTTCACACTCCTATGAGAATCTAATGCTGCAGCTTAACTGACAGGAGGCAGAGCTCAGGCAGTAATGCTTGCTCGCCCACCACTTACCTCCTGCTGTGCGGCCCAGTTCCTAACGGGTCCGTGGCCAGGGGGTTGGGGACCCCCTGAAGTAGAGGACCATGAACATAGTAGTCTTCAACTGATGTTTCTGAATTGGTGGAGAAAGGTCCTATGTAAGTACTGAAGAAACCTATACTCCAGTATTCCTATCAAAGATTTCTTGTTATTTCCAGGAAAATTGGTAATAAGCGATGTTTACAAGGAATAGGGCAGCACCTGAACAGAAGGTCCCCCCATATGTGACCAGTGGCTGTTGGCCAGGAGTGTGAGTTTAGAGAAGTAACATCTCTGAGAACAGCCTGCCAATGGTGATGGAAAGAAGCCTAAACTTTGAGGTGGCTGTATTTGGAGGGGAGGCCATTTTGTGCTCTTTGGGGAAAATGTTAATGAGAGGTTTCACAAATGTCAGACTTGCCTGATTAAATGAAGCCAGCTAGGTAGATGTTTTTCATATTAATGCCATCTCTGCTGAAAGAGCAAAGAAGGGGAAGAAAAGGAGGTTTGAGAAAGGGAAACGATAAACATCAATTATTTACCAAAGAAATTATGCTTCTGCTAACTTGGGCAAGGATCTCAGAGAAGAGAACTGTTATATGGCAGGCATGGCTACTCCATCTCCTTACCCATTTCAAAAAGAAAAATTCAAGCCTTGAAGCCAGGAGAAGTAATAGAACAGTGAGATCATTGCCTGGCCTAGGGTGTCTACTGATAAAGAATTTAAAGGAAGCTAAGGAAGTTAAATTGTAGAGAAAGCTCCATTTGAACCGTTACTCTTAAAACTTAAAGGAAGAAAGTATAGGAGGAAAAGTCACTCAAATAATTGACAGGTTGCTGGGTGCGGTGGCTCATACCTGTAATCCCAGCATTTTGGGAGGCCTAGGCGGGAGGACTGCTTGAGCCCAGGAGTTCAAGACCAGCCTGGACAACATAGGAAGATCCCTGTCTCTACAAAAAAAATTAAAAATTAGCCAGGTGTGGTGGTGTGCACCTATGGTCCCGCTAGTTGGGAGGCTGAGACAGGAGGATCACTTGAGCCCAGGAGGTTGAGGCTGCAGTGAGCCATTTTCACACCACTGCACTCCAGCCTGGGCAAAAGAGCGTAATCCTGACTCCAGAAAAAAAAAAAAAAAAAAAGATATGTTTAAAGGATTTCTTCTTCCTTAGTTTGAGCTTATGTCTTTACATTTTTTCAAATGCATATATGGTTTCTTTTTTTCTCTTCTTTGACTTTACATGCACAGAACTGGATTACTTATAATCCCTGTTCCTGACATACGCTCTCATCACTGCTCCTAAAACTGTTACCAAGAGTTTAATAGTTTCTGCCATCTAAATTAAAGGGTAGAGGTGGGAAAATACTGTTGATTAAGAGAGCTCAGCCTCCTTTTGGCCCTTGTTTCTCCCTAGCCCAGCCTGCAATTGTGTCCCAATCAACCAGCATTAATACAGATACACAGAGGTATTTATTTGCTGCTGATTCTGCCTAGCTGTATTCAGACTCGATCTCCATGTGTATTTAATAAATCACACTAGTTAGGTGGACAGGATTAGTTCCAAGTCACCTAATGACTATATCATGAACTGCAGCATTAAGGGGATTAATATTAATCTGAGCCATTGTAGTTCAGTGGAAAAGCCAGTTCATTCTCCAACAGGAGCTCAGGCCGACAAGAAATCCTCAACAAGACCAGGAAGATTAATGAGGGCTTCTACATTCTGCCTGCAAATCTTCACCTACCAGGGTGTGGGGCAGTGAATCCCAGTCCAGACGAGCTCATAAATAACCTGCAATATCACAAGTATTTGGGGCAGCTGAGCCCCAGCAAGGGAGGGCCAGCTAGCCCTCTCCATCTTCTCCTCCTGTAACCCACACCACTGAGATGGCACAGGAATTTTACAGGCCCACAGAGCGGCTGGTTTTGTTTTCTTTCACGTAAGGGCCCACACCTCGTAAATCACTTTCTTATTTCAGGAAAAGAAGTATACTGACTGCAGTACCGACTCATGTGTACTCAGAAGAACATGAAACTTGTAGTTAGTGCCACTCGCCTAAAGCTGGGAAAATAACCCAGCCTCCATGATACACAGAACGTGCTTTCAAGTCACAAAAGCTTTCCTTTGCTCAGCAGCACAATTCCTCTTCATTAGCACCTATAATATGCTATATCTGGATTAGGCCTCTGGAGTTCCCATTCAGAACTACTTTCTTGGCCCTGCCTAAGTGAGCACTCACTAGAAAGTACTGTATCTATAAGACACCACAGCCCTGCACACAGGGCTAAGGTGTGCATTTCCACACACCTTAGCCCCAATTTCACCATTTGGAGACCATCAAGATGAGCCTAGCCAAGCCTCAGATTTCCACAGGACAAGGCACAGCTCAGATTTAACTGACTCAGAAAGGAAACTCATGATGCCAGTATGAGACACAGACAGAGAAAGCAACAGACCACAATTAAGCTCAATTCACTGGAAGATCTGTTTCTTCCTCAGTGACTTTACAGGTACCCGAGGCAAACACCAGGAGCAGTGTCTCATGGGCAAAGCTCTATCTGCTGAAGAAACCAAAACAAACAGTTGTTTCTACCTGCAGCAGTTTCATAGTCTGGGAACACCAAAAGTATAGGCTTACTCCAACTAAGATCTTTTAACTAAGATCTTTTAACCTGCATAGACGACAGCAGGTCAGCTGTCAGCATTCCCTTACAACGGATGGAATTGCTAACTAGAATAGTTACGCCCTACCAACAAAGATTATTGAATTGAAAACTAAACTTTAGTAGCATTAAAATAAGTGAACCAAGGGCTGGGTGCCAGGTTATCCAAAGTTTATAAATGCTTGCCAACCAACCTACACATAGAGCTGCCGTGGCTACAGCTAAGCAAAAGAGAAGAGACCCATTAAGTGGATTGTTCCTCAACCCCACAGCAGAGTAGGGCAGAGAGAGATTTAACATTTTCTTTCTTTTTTTTTTTTTTTCTGAGACAGAGTTACGCTCTTGTTGCCCAGGCTGGAGTGCAATGGTAAGATCTCAGCTCACCGCAACCTCCACCCCCGAGGTTCAAGCCATTCTCCCGCCTCGGCCTCCATTGAATAGATGGGATTACAGGCATGCGCCACCACGCCCAGCTAATTTTGTATTTTTAGTAGAGACAGGGTTTCTCCATGCTGGTCAGGCTGGTCTCAAACTCCTGACCTCAGGTGATCCTCCTGCCTTGACCTCCCAAAGTGCTGGGATTACAGGCGTGAGCTACCACGCCCGGCGAGATTTAACATTTTCTAAGTTTGTGAACAGTGCACCATACTTATAGAAGAGATATTTAAAAGTGGGGCCTACTCAAGCTCTTCATTAAGTAAAGGAGGAGCTGAGGGAATTGTTATGGCTGGGTCTCTGTTTTTCAGTTAAAACACAAGGGATGAAAGACTCTTATTTGCTGGGGAAATGCCCTGAAATGGTAGGGAACCAATAAACCCTCAGTTCCACTGGAGTAGTTCAACTTTGGGGAAATTCATGGGGCATAGGAATAGTTGATTCTACAGCTAGCAAAGGCAGTTCATTTGAGTGGGAACAGAAGAAATTAGGCCCATAGCCACAATTCATATTTTCCTGACAGCCAAGCTGGTTTGGATGAAGTCACCAAGGGACTGACAGGGTCAAATGACAGAGGTTTTCTCATCACCCTTAGCAAACCAAGGTTCGTAAGTTCCCATCAGACACCCTGGCCTTGCTTCTCAAAAGACAAACACATAGAAGCAATAGCGTAAGATCATCCTGGAGAAAAAGATGGGAATGTGTAGCAACTTTTCTTGATACTTGCAAATGGCTCAATTCTCTCTTCACCTATATTTCCTGTACCATGACTTCATTTTCCCTTCCCATCCCCTGCAGCTTCTCTTTTAGTTCTAAGAAAATTAACCACTCCACACACAGACTATAAAGCCCTTTCTTCACAGCCGCGTTAGCCTTTCTTAAGGCTCACGCCAGTGGTGGCCCCAGAACAACTAAGGACATTAAACAGAAGTGTTATCATGCTAAAATCATGTGTATACACCACAGCAATCTGCTTAAACTTGCAGCCCTGATGCAGAGTGACTAGGAGTATTTACAGTACTTAAGAGCTCCTCTGTTTCTTGCCAGACATTCCTGTCCTTTTAATAAATAAGTCCTCAAGCCATCAGAGGAAAGATGCTCCCTGGACATGGGGTACTTGTGTTATATCACTGTATGGGAAGGGGACTTCTGTAAGTGGCAGCAAACTTCTTTCCTCAAAGCACCCTCTAAAGGAGAGTACCCTGCACACTGCTGAGTCCCCAGGCCATCATGTACACAGGAACAGGGCCATCCAGCGGGATGCATCAGGCTCCAGGAATGCTGAAGTCCACATATTTGCCATTCAACACCAAAATGGCTTTTCAAGTTCAATCAGCTATAAATGTTGCTTTGTTTTAATTTTCCACTGAACTTCCTGGAACCTATTATCCAACTGTCAGGGATGTATATTTAGCAAGAGCAACATGGCCTCTTTGCCGCTGCCCCACTGCTCATGTCACCTCTAATAAACAGAAAAATCAACCCCTTCCTCAATCCCTGCTCAAATGTGGCTTGGGGGTGATAAAGAACAGTCTTGGTGTATAGGCCACAAACTGATCAACCTCCCATAGTTAATGTGTAAACCCCAAATCTCTCCTAGGTTAATGATGCTGCAAGGTTTTCTTAGTGCCAAGAAAAACACCTAGTGCTTATACTCATTAGAATACAAATGTGCGTGCAGGCCTCTAGTCTAGGGAATGCCAGCAGTAGAAATGACCTAACAGAGATCTAACACAAATTAAGAGGAATCTCAACTAATACAGGCGTAGCAGACCTAAAATATTCAGTGCTAATCAGCATATCATGTTTAATAGGAATAATCTGAAAAACCAAAATCAGGAAAAACAAGGATAAGTAGGGCACATGTACAGCTTCAATTTCATCTTAGGAAGCTAGTTTGAAAATATAACCTCCTTTTGATCAATAGAACATGAGGCACGACTTTTCCCACTCTGTCAAGATTCTTTTGTCTTTTTCAGCTACTGACACTTTTTACTCTGACATCAAACAGTAAGAATAGACTTGCCTTGAAGGCGAAACATATGTACCCTATCACTTTTCCAATTCACCACTTCTACCAACAACAAATCCACCTAAATACCGTAACTATCCACATGGCTTCTTTCCAGTTCCATAATACCCAGTACAACTCTTCAAGCCCAACAGAAAAGATGAGGACTATATATGTTTAAAATACAGTTGGTTGTATTTTCCCTAAATTATACAAATGAAAACCAAGAACCAAAAAATGAGATTTTTCTACAACTTAGAAACCCAGACTATATTAACACTAGAATTGAAACTAATTTCTAGGACTAACTCAGCATCACTAAATTAGCTTCTGGTTAAAATTTTATGCCAACAGATCTAGAATGGGGAGAAAATTCAGGAGAAGAGTAAAACAAAATCTTACCTTTCATTCTACAACTAATAATGAATTAAATTCCAGATCCATAAACAAGGACACACAAAAATCATAACTAGGTTATGATTTAACTAAAAAACAAAGATGAAAACAAAACCCCAAACCAGCCTTATCTCAACAAATACAGTGCACAAGAATCTCCTCATCAGCTATGGGAGGTGAACAAGCAATATCTCACTTACAAATGAGAACAGTGAAGCAAAGCTTTAAAAAGCCACAAACTCAGCTTACTAAAGAAAAAGAACAAGCTTCACATTTACAACCTCTGGGGACTGACCCTGATGGGGTAAAAATCAGTATTACAGAAGAAATAGTAGACCTCCTTCTTGCCATTTCATTTTCGTGACCTTATACTCATTTCCCCAAAGGCCATCTTATTAGAGCTGATGACTAAAATAATTTACACACTTGCATCCACAGATTTAACATTTACTATTTCAGCTATTCAAGAGTGACTCTGAAGGAAGTCCCAAGACAAGCTGTAATTAATAACTTTTCTGAGACATGAGTTTGATTCCTGCTCTAAGGCTGATTGGTAGCAGTAAGTTGTTCACCTAGTGACTGGGCCTAGCTGATTACTCAGTTGTGCAAATTGAAGCCCTCTCTCCTCCATCAGCTCTAATAAGACAACACCATTAAGTGCATAACTCAATGAATTTTGCAAACCTAACCACTCATGTAGTCGGCACTCAGATCAAGACACAGAGCACTATTAGGACCCAGAAATCCCAATCATGACTTCTTCCAGTTGCAATCCCTCCAAAGATAATCATTATTCTAACTTCTTAAACCACTGATTTTCTCTGCCTGAACTTTACATAAATGGCATCATGAAGTAGAAGCTCCTTTGGTTTGGCTTCTTTTTTTTTTTAATTTTATTATTATTATACTTTAAGTTTTAGGGTACATGTGCACAATGTGCAGGTTAGTTACATATGTATACATGTGCCATGCTGGTGTGCTGCACCCATTAACTCATCATTTAGCATTAGGTGTATCTCCTAATGCTATCCCTCCCCCCTCCCCCTACCCCACAACAGTCCCCAGAGTGTGATGTTCCCCTTCCTGTGTCCATGTGTTCTCATTGTTCAATTCCCACCTATGAGTGAGAACATGTGGTGTTTGGTTTTTTGTCCTTGCGATAGTTTACTGAGAATGATGATTTCCAATTTCATCCATGTCCCTACAAAGGACATGAACTCATCATTTTTTATGGCTGCATAGTATTCCATGGTGTATATGTGCCACATTTTCTTAATCCGGTCTATCACTGTTGGACACTTGGGTTGGTTCCAAGTCTTTGCTATTGGGAATAGTGCCGCAATAAACATACGTGTGCGTGTGTCTTTATAGCAGCATGATTTATAGTCTTTTGGGTATGGATTGGCTTCTTTCACTCAATATTATGCTGGAGAAAGTCATCTGTGTTGTAAGATATTGTAGTTTACTAATTCTCATTTATTTATAGTATTCCACTATGAGAATTTTCACATTTTACTTATCCATTTTATTTCTGATGGAGATTTGGGCAGTTTCCTCTTTTTTTTTTTTTTTTTTAGCTTCTGTGAACAACACTGCTATAAACATTCTCATAAACATCTTTTGGTGAACATATATATGATTACCTGCTGGGCATATTCTTAGAAATGTAATTGCTGGCAAATCAGCTCTTGTAGATGCAGCCAGCTTTCCAATTTACCCTATTTACCCTTAGGGTATGAAAGTCTGAGTTACTCCACATCCTTGCTATCACTTGATATTGTGTATCTTTTTCATTTTTGCTATTTTGCTCTATGTGTAGTAGTATTCTATGGTGGTTTTGAAGTTCCCTAATGACTAATGAAGTTGAGCACCTTTTCTTATGTTTACTGATTATTTAGGTATCCTCTATTGTGAATGTCTGTTCAAGTCTTTCTCCCATTTTCCTACTGGGAAATCTGATTTTTTGTTTTTTTTGTTTTTTTTGAGACGGCGTCTTGCTCTGTCACTCAGTCAGGCTGGAGTGCAATGGCGCGATCTCGGCTCGTTGCAACTCTGCCTCCCGGGTTCACGCCATTCTGCTGCCTCAGCCTCCCCGGCAGCTGGGACTATAGGCACCCGCCACCACGCCCGGCTAATTTTTTTGTATTTTTAGTAGAGATGGGGTTTCCCTGTGTTAGCCAGGATGGTCTCAATCTCCTGACCTTGTGATCCGCCTGCCTTGGCCTCCCAAAGTGCTGGGATTACAGGCGTGAGCCACTGTGCCCAGCTGGGAAATCTGCTTTTTTCTTATTGATTTACACCGGTTCTCACAGGGACCTTTTTTTTTTTTTTTTGCCAAGGTTGGTGATTTGTGAACATCACTATAACAATTCCTTTCAAAAAGCAAAAATGTACTGTATTTCATATATGTCTCTATCATTCTGTAGTTAAAAAATTCAAACTCAGCTCATATTCTAATTTTTAAATAGCAGAATCAGAATCAGAATCCTCAGATTTTATCATCCTGAGGCTCTTGGCATCTAATAGCAACATGCACTGAAGTCCATGTTATAGTAAGAGCTGAAAATCATCCTCCCACTATAACAGGAACAAAAGTGTGGGGAAAGAGGAAGAGAGAAAGCAATACTTTTCCTGGGATGAAAGCCTCTACAGCACAAGGCCTGATTAGTAAATGGAAATTCTGGATAGTCTCTGAATAGAATCCTTTTCCACCTTTCAAATAATTTACAGCTTAATGTCCGCTAAATTTAGTAACTTCTCCCATTTGTCCATGGCAAGGAGATTCTTGGCTGGCTTTCCATGGTCATTACAGACCTTCTCATAGATCCCTGAAATATGATGTGGCCATCAAAATGTCAGCACTTACCTGCTGCCCACATTGTGGACACATGGATCAGTTCACAGGTCAGTGACTGATAACATGAGGAAACAAGACCAGCTTCAGATCTAATTCAAGAATAGATACCTGACCATCCCCATGTTCTCAATAATATAAGCTAATAATAATGGCCAATTCCTTGGCCACATCAGTAACTATCTAAAGAGACAGCCCCGGCTGGGTGCGGTGGCTCACGCCTGTAATCCCAGCACTTTGGGAGGCCCAGGTGGGCAGATCACCTGCAGTCAGGAGATCAAGACCAACCTGGCCAACATGGCAAAACCCCGTCTCTACTAAAAATACAAAAATAAGCCAGGCTTGGTGTCAGGCGCCTGTAATCCCAGCTACTCGGGAGGCTGAGGCCAGAGAATCGCTTGAACCTGGGAGGCAGAGGGTGCAGTGATCCAAGATTGCGCCATTGCACTCCAGCCTGGGCGACAAGAGCAGAACTCCATCTCAAAAAAACAAAAAAACAAATAAAGAGACAGTCCCTCCCAGAGCAATCACATAAGGGTGGAAGAAAGAGCATTAATAAATAGAGCAACCAGGTAGTGAAACAGCAGTAATTCTGTTGAAGAGAACTCCCATGCTCAGAAACCTTCAATGAATGATTTCCCACTTCTATTAAAACTGAATTAAGGGGAATAACAGAATTTAGAGCTGTAAGGAAACAGACACCCAGCTCATTTCCCGTCTCATTTGTGTTTATGTGTGTGTTTGAGTAGTGCAGCTGAGGTCAAGAGAGGTAAAATCACTTACCTAAGGGTAACACAGCTAATTATGATAAAGCCCAGTCTATATCTCAAGTCTTCAGGCTTCTTCTTAGGTATCCTTTAATTGTATATATATATAGTAACCTTGCTCAGTTGGTATTTAAGGGCATCCACAACATGAATCCAACCTACCTATTCATCATTCTCTCCCTCTGGAGATCCCTGCTCTCCCCCAAACCTATCATCCTATTTCCATCATTTTGAGAGGGATGCTCTCCTTTTACCCTTCACCTGCCCAGAACAGTACTTCACACTCATTTAAAGTGATCATGTTTGTATTACACAAAGCACCCACAAGTGTCTGGCATACAAAAGATATTCAATACAAATTTATTGAAATGACTCTTTAGGAGAGAAACACAATGAAAGGACTCGAATTTATTTCTTTTTTTCTTTTTTCTTTTTTTGGAGACAGAGTCTTGCGTCATGGCACTCCAGCCTGGGCGACAAGAACGGAACTCCGTCTCAAAAGAAACACAGTGAAAGGACTCCAATTTCTTTTTTCTTTTTTTTTTGGAGATGGAGTCTTGCTCTGTTGCCCAGCCTGGAGTGCAGTGGCATGATCTTGGCTCACTTCAACCTGTGCCTCCTGGGTTCAAGTGATTCTCCTGCCTCAGCCTCCCAAGTAGCTGGGACTACAGGCACGTGCCATCATACCCAGCTAATTTTTGTATTTTTCACTATGGGGTTTCACTAGGTTGGCCAGGCTAGTCTTGAACTGCTGACCTCAAGTGATCTGCCTGTCTTGGCCTCCCAAAGTGCTGGGATCACAGGGATGAGCCACTGCACCTGGCCAGGACTCCAATTTCTATAGCTAGGAGAAAGATTTGTCCAGAATTAGAAGTACAGTGGTACCTCTTAATATTATTTCACCTCTTAATATTATTTCACTGAGGTGATCAAGTACACACACACACACACACACACACACACACACACACACACACACAAATCTGCATATAATTTCAGAAGGTTCATTAATCTCCTGAAGCCCATTGCTGGATCCCAGATCAGAATGCCTGATCTCAATCCTTCTGGAACCAATGTTTTACATAAAATTTTTATTTTGGTATGAACCACCACACCCAGCTAATTTTTTATTCTTTTTCTTTCTTTCTTTCTTTCTTTCTTTCTTTTTTTTTAAGAGATGTGCGTCTTGCTATGTTGCCCAGGCTGGTCTTGAACTCCTGAGCTCAAACGATCCTCCTGTCTCAGGCTTCTGAGTAGCTGGGACTACAGGCTTGCACCACCACACCCGGCTTGTATAAAATTTTAAAAATTTACTTACTACTACATAAGGAAGAACTTTTCCTTTTACCTAATTTCTTTCTTTCTTTCTTTCTTTTTTTTTTGAGATGAAGTCTCACTCTGTTGCCCAGGCTGGAGTGGAGTAGCACAATCTCAGCTCACTGCAACCTCCACCTCCCAGGTTCAAGCAATTCTCCTGCCTCAGCCTCCCTAGTAGCAAGATTACTGGCGTGTGCCACCGCACCTGGCTAATTTTTTTGTATTTTTAGTAGAGATGGGGTTTCACTGTGTTGGCCAGGCTGGTCTTTAACTCCTGATCTCAGTGATCCACCTACCCTGGCTTCCCAAAGTGCTAGAATTACAGGCATGAGCCACCATGCCCGGCCCCTTTTACCTAATTTCACCTTGAAGATTATGTTCCTAAATCCTAATATTCTAAGACTGGAAAGTATTTTATTTTACCACTCCAAAATTTTCTCAGATTTAAAAAATATATATATCTTTCTTAGATGCTGCAACCAGAACCACATACGGCATTCGAAGTCTTTGCATGTTGTAATGTTTTCAAAATTACATACGATGTGGCCCATGACTGTGAGGACCTCTTTAGCTATAAAACAAGTAAGTATTCAAAGAACGGTCCATATCCCCTTTCTAAGTCAGAATATAGATTATAAAAGGCCAATGAATCTTAAATATAGTTTAGATTTTCCCCTTAAGTATATATTGGCTTAAGCTTAAACCTTATGTACCATTTTTCTGTTTGGATATATTTTTGCAGTTATTTTATTCCTATTAGAAGAACTTAATTATATGTGAAGATGGAGACTTCACATATAATTCATTATGTGCTCTCTAAAGGCAATGCCTTTGGAGTAAAAAAAAAACTAGATTAAAATCCCAGTCCTGGTATGACCATAGCAAATAAACTTCTCTAAGCCTCAGTTTCTGCATCTGTAAAATGACAAAGAAAATAGCACAACCCTACCTCCTCGGCTTGATAATTAAACAAAATAATGTATTTAAAACATTCAGATAAGAATAGCTAAGGAAATTTTTGAAAAAGTAAGTACTGAGAGGGTACCTGCTTTGTATATTGAGATTTATCATAAAACAACAATAATATTTGAGATAATTTAGAGTACTTGGTAGAAAGTCGGATTAAATTTTTGAAGTCCTTCACAATTTTAATGCCATGCCTTAGCCTGGAGAACTGAAGCTGCGTGGTGTGAGCTGCCTGAATATATGACAGGAGGCTTACAGACACTGTAATCCTTAACCTGTTCTCACTCAGGTGTAGCAGTATTCATATGGAAACAACCTGAATTATTCTTTAGGCAGCCATAGCAGTAGAAAGTCATCAAGATTTTCTAAGACCTCAGGGAGGCTGTGTAAGGCTTTTTCTAGGAGAAATAGGTACAGACATTAGCCATTTTACACCAGGGCCATTTATGGTCAATTGATTTTGACAAGGATGCCAAGACCATGCAATGGGGAATAGCCTTTTCAACAAATGTTGCTGGGACAACTCGATACCCACATGTAAAACAATGAACTGGACCCCTACCTCATATCATATACAAAAATTAAAGCTGGTCATGGTGGCTCACGCCTGTAATCCCAGCACTTTGGGAGGCCGAGGTGGGTGGATCACTTGAGGTCAGGAGTTTGAGACCAGCCTGGCCAACATGGTGAAACCCCATCTCTACCTAAAATACAAAAATTAGCTGGGTGTGGTGGCATGCACCTGTAATCCCAGCTACTTGGGAGGTGGAGGCAGGAGAATCACTTGAACCCAGGAGGCGGAGGTTGCAGTGAGTTGACATCGTACCACTGCACTCCAGCCTGGGCAACAGAGTGAGACTCTGTCTCCAAAAAAAAAAAAAAAAAAGCTTAAAATGGATCAAAGATCTAAATGTAAAAGCTAAAACTCTTGAAAGAAAACATAGATGTACATTTTGTACCAGAGTTTCTCAACCTTGGCACTAACGACAGTTTGGGCCACGTAATTCTTCATCATGGGGGCTGTCCTATGCATTGTAGGATGTTTACCAGCATCCCTCCTGGCTTTGATCCACTAGATACCAGTAGCATGCCTGAGATATGACAATCAAAAATGTCTCCAGATATTGCCAGACTTTCTCTGGGGGGCAAAATCACCCAGTTCAGAATCATTGTTTTAGTCTTAGTGATGATCCTTATCCTCCTCCCTTGTAAAAATTGACAATGACTACATCATAACTACATGAATGGTTATTTGCTTAGTAGATGAATTCTAAGAATTCTTCAGAAAAGTCATTAAATACTCTAAATCCATAATTTTAGGATAATCTCAGGACCTTGCCTAAGGGCCAGTAGCCCCATTTTGAAAAGTTTAGTTTAATTCCTTCCATTGGAAGGTCACAGATCAGTATGATGATTTTTTTTTTGGTATGGCATTTTTGTTTTGTTGTTAACAGCTTTATTGAGCTATAACTCACCCCTTATATATTGAGATATAGTTCACTCCTTTAAAGTATACAATTCAATGTGTTTTAGTATATTCAGAGTTGTGTAACCACGTACTATATGATGATTTTTGAAAATACTAACCTCTCCCCTCTCCCCTTTCCCTCTCCCTTTCCACAGTCTCCCTCTGATGCCAAGCCGAAGCTGGACTGTACTCCCGCCATCTCGGCTCACTGCAACCTCCCTGCCTGATTCTCCTGCCTCAGCCTGCCAAGTGCCTGGGATTGCAGGCGCGCGCCGCCACGCCTGACTGGTTTTTCTATTTTTTTGGTGGAGACGGGGTTTCGCTGTGTTGGCCGGGCTGGTCTCCAGCTCCTAACCGCGAGTGATCTGCCAGCCTCGGCCTCCCGAGGTGCCGGGATTGCAGAGGGAGTCTCGTTCACTCAATGCTCAATGTTGCCCAGGCTGGAGTGCAGTGGCGTGATCTCGGCTCGCTACAACCTCCACCTCCCAGCCGCCTGCCTTGGCCTCCCAAAGTGCCGAGATTGCAGCCTCTGCCCGGCCGCCACCCCTTCTGGGAAGTGAGGAGCGTCTCTGCCTGGCCGCCCATCGTCTGGGATGTGAGGAGCCCCTCTGCCCAGCTGCCCAGTCTGGGAAGTGAGGAGCGCCTCTTCCCGGCCGCCATCCCGTCTAGGAAGTGAGGAGCGTCTCTGCCCAGCCGCCCATCGTCTGAGATGTGGGGAGCGCCTCTGCCCCGCCGCCCCATCTGGGATGTGAGGAGCGCCTCTGCCCGGCCGCGACCCCGTCTGGGAGGTGAGGAGCGTCTCTGCCCGGCCGCCCCGTCTGAGAAGTGAGGAGCCCCTCCGCCCGGCAGCTGCCCAGTCTGAGAAGTGAGGAGCCCCTCCGCCCGGCAGCCGCCCCGTCTGGGAGGTGTACCCAACAGCTCACTGAGAACGGGTCATGATGACGATGGCGGTTTTGTCGAATAGAAAAGGGGGAAATGTGGGGAAAAGATAGAGAAATCAGATTGTTGCTGTGTCTGTGTAGAAAGAAGTAGACACAGGAGACTCCACTTTGTTCTGTACTAAGAAAAATTCTTCTGCCTTGGGATGCTGTTAATCTATAACCTTACCCCCAACCCCGTGCTCTCTGAAACATGTGCTGTGTCCACTCAGGGTTAAATGGATTAAGGGTGGTGCAAGATGTGCTTTGTTAAACAGATGCTTGAAGGCAGCATGCTCATTAAGAGTCATCACCACTCCCTAATCTCAAGTACCCAGGGACACAAACACTGCGGAAGGCCACAGGGTCCTCTGCCTAGGAAAACCAGAGACCTCTGTTCACTTGTTTATTTGCTGACCTTCCCTCCACTATTGTCCTGTGACCCTGCCAAATCCCCCTCTGCGAGAAACACCCAAGAATGATCAATAAATACTTAAAAAAAAAAAAAAAAGAAAAGAAAATACTGATTCTCTTATATATTTTAAACCACTGTCCTAACAAACTACTCTTAGCATAATTAACGAGAACTAAAACACAAAACCAAAATAAAACAATAGGCTAGTCAATTTGGCATTGTCTCCTCAAAGCCACAAAAGAGTGATGTTCCTCAACAGCAATCAATAACTTAGTCACATATGTACAACAAGCTATAAAAGAAGCAAACTGAATGACGACGGAGCTTTGCTTGAAATTTAGTGTCACTGTTGTAAAGAAATTAGGAAAAGTTAAGTCACTGCTAAACCAATGCCCTGTACCAGGAACCACAAACATTCCCCTTTCCCCCCTGCTTCCTGAATTCTGGCGTCATTAGGTAAAAATGAATATACAGACCAGTAAGTGCCAACTAACATAGCAAGCATTCTAAGGTCAGAATCCTTTTTACCATTTATTTAACTTGTTTTGATTCAGGTTGTGAGTTCCTCTACAAAAGCACCACCCCACTTGATGGAAAGGTCATGGTTTCACTTTAGAACCTCTTTTTCACTGCTAGTGTAACTACAATGCCACTGCGACCTTAACTTTTTTTTTAGCTGTTGAATAATGCTTGCCCTACTGCTATCACTGTCTAATCCAGAGACTATGGCTGGCAGGAAGAAATGCCTCTGGAAGCTACAGCTGTTATACAGAACAGCTACCATCTTCCAAGTATAAGAACCACTTCCAGCTCCTTCTTTGACCAGTTTGCTCAGTCCAAATTTCAGATCTAATCTGAAGCCAGTGAAAAGAGCTGTGGCTTCTAAGACCAAAGCTATTTTGTTGAAGAATACTATCAAGGGAACTGTATATGCAGCCAGACAAGAAGTCAGTTGCAAGATACTCCAGAAATACTAGGCCTAATCCTCCACTGTCCAGAAAACCTCAGATCCCCTGCCAAATCATGTGAAAACATACTCCACCTGACTCAACAGTTACTCATTTTTCTCACATTTACTGACCATACCCATGCAGATGGTGTGAAAGTTTATTCTATCCTACTTTAAATGAATGTCACCATATTTAATATCATACTTTTAATAACAATGATAAAATAACAATAATAAAAATAATTTAGTATATAGTTATGTACTGTATAGTAGGTAGTACACAGGTATGTGTAGGTTTTGTTACTGCCCCATTTTTTACATTTATTTTTTAATTTTTTTGGGACGGAGTTTCGCTTTTGTTGCCCAGGCTGGAGTGCAACAGCGTGATCTTGGCTCACCACAACCCCTCCACCTCCCGGGTTCAAGCGATTCTCCTGCCTCAGCCTCCCAAGTAGCTGGGATTACAGGCATGTGCCACCATGCCCTGCTAATTTTGTATTTTTAGTAGAGACGGGGTTTCTCCATGTTGGTCAGGCTGGTCTCGAACTCCTGAACTCAGGTAATCCACCCGCCTCTGCGTCCCAAAGTGCTGGGATTACAGGCATGAGCCACTGCGCCTGGCCCTTTTTACATTTATTTTTTTAACAAATTAATGTATAGTAAATGGATTCCTTGGGGAAGCGTATTATCTATGAGTTTTAACACATGTACTAACTCATGTAACCACTACCACAATGAGGATACAGAACAGTTTCATCTCCTCAAAAATCACCTCATACTACCCCATGGTAGTCACACGCTTTCCCCACCACCAACCCCTGGCAATCATGCTTGTTCCTGGTCACCACAGTTTTGCCTTTTCCAGAATGCTATGTAACTGGAATCATTCACTCAGCAGAATGACTTTGAGATCCACCTAGGTTATTGCATGTATCAATAGTTCTTTCTTATTGCTGAGTAGTATTCCATACCATCCTCATTTTATGGTAAGTGCCTCATAAGGCACTTAAAGTACAGCAAGGTTATGCAACCTGCCCAAGGTCATCAAGGTGAGGCCAGTATTCAAAGCCAGTCTGCATGGCTTTAGAACCTATATACACTCTTAACCACTATGTTATACTGCCCCTATTAATCTAAGCTCTTAGAAGAGGGGGATAGTAGTCCATGATCCTGATTTAAACATTAAGAGCTTTTCTAGAACAACAGAACAAATGAGTTTCATATTTACCAAAAATGAGGATGAGAATAGTCAAGACTTCTAGTGACAATTCCAAAGCTCTCAAGGGATCTTGATGTAGAGGTAAGAGTAGGAGGTATAATCAGTGAAACAGGCCTAGGTTTACAGTCCCACTTCTGTGACTTACTAAGTATGTGACCTTACACAAGTTCTTCACTTTTTGGAACCTCTGTTTCCTCTTCTATACAATGGGGATAATATTACCTTGAAATATCCTTGGGGGAACTCAATGAGATGATACATACAAAGTTCCTGATACAGAGTATTATTACCACCTATATTGAGTAGAGACAAAAAGAGAGGCCAAAATGCTTACGAAATATACGAGTATTTATTAATCTCTGAAAGATTTAGAAGGCATGGTCCCTGACTACAAAGAGCACATATTCTAGCTAAAAGATACACTTTTCTAAAAGTAGAACTAATGTCATGATATAATATGATGCTAAACTGTGTGACTGGATCTACAAATATAGAGATAAACTCACAATTTTAGCCAATAGCTTTAACTTTCTATTTAATTTTTTAAAGTCAAAATCAACACTCAGGTGTGGACTCGACTTGTCATCTAGTCTAGAACATTACCTAGGTATAGATAACAGCAAAGCCTTTACTAGTCGACATCTAGAATACATTTTTAAAACTATTAGTTTCGGCCGGGCATGGTGGCTCATGCTTGTAATCTCAGCACTTTGGGAGGCTGAGGCGGGGGGATCACGAGGTCAGGAGTTCAAGACTGGCCTGGCTAACACAGTGAAACCCCGTCTCTACTAAAAATACAAAAATTAGCTGGGCGTGGTGGTGGGCGCCTGTAATCCCAGCTACTCGGGAGGCTGAGGCAGGAGAATCACTTGAAACCAGGAGGCGGAGGTTGCAGTGAGCTGAGATTGCACCACTGCACTCCAGCCTGGGTAACAGAGCTAGACTCTGTCTCAAAAAAACCAAAACCAAAAACCAAAAACAAAACTACTAGTTTCAACTCTTTCATTCCAGGTACCTGCATCAATTTCAAAGTGGTATTTGTTCTAACAACTTTTTACCTATGAAAGGAAAAAAATTCTATAAAAGGCCTGAGTTTTATACTACTTGATGAGTGATTGGTTTATAAAATTTTCAAGTTCTTTAGGAAAACAGAGTATACTTCAAAGGGGTTATGAAAAGGTCCAGAAGGACTCAAATTCTATGTCCAAAGGAATTCAATAAGATCATTTCTTTCCCTTCTGCTTCCATTTGGTCTGAGTGGAAAAATATATAAACAAACAGGAGTAGTATAAGAAGGTAAAAAAGAAGAGAATAAGCTGGAATAGTAGAAAGACTATTCAAATCTATCTACAAGAGTCATTCTAATTTCTTCTGGTGCTTTCTAGTAATCTCTCCTCAACTGATGTTTGCTATGTGAATCTTTGCTAGTACAGAAATGGTTTTTCAAAAGTCAGCTCAGGTTTATTAGGCTTTTAAATTAAGCATGCTAACAAAACATACATAAAACAAAACTGCCTGAATCCTTATTTCCCAATTAGACCTGGGAGCAAAGTCTAGTGATAACTGTACAGCAAAGCATCTAACGAAGGCTGTCACAGCTACTTAGCAACACATCCCCAATAGCTGGCAAGTCTGTACATCTATGCTGCTTGCTTAGTGCTCTGGACTTAGAGAAAAGAATTAAATTTTAAAAATAAATGTTAAAGCCCACACACAGCAGCAATTTTTAGTGGCAGTGAAATGTCACTTGGGGACCAAATAGAACCAAGGGGTTCATTTTTCCAGTCCTGCCTCATCTTAAGTCTTATGCTTATAACTTGCTTAAATGCTACAATTACCTTTTTTTTCCTTTTTTTTTTTTTGAGACAGTCTCGCTCTGTTGCTCAGGCTGGAGTACAGTAGTGCGACGTAGGCTCACTGCAACCTCTGCCTCCCGGGTTCAAACGATCCTTGTGCCTCAGCCTCCCAAGTAGCTGGAATTATAGGCACGCGCCACCAGGTCCAGCTAATTTTTGTATTTTTAGTAGAGACGGGATTTCACTAAATTGGCCAGCTTGATCTTGAACTTCTAGCCTCAAGTGATCCGCCCACCTTGGCTGCCCAAAGTGCTGGAATTACAGGTGTGAGCCACTGTGCCTGGCCTACAATTCTTTTTTTTTTTTTTGAGACAGAGTCTCACTCTGTCGCCTAGGCTGGAGTGCAGTGGCACGATCTCAGCTCACTGCAACCTCCACCTCCCGGGTTCAAGCAATTATCTGCCTCAGTCTCCTGAGTAGCTGGGATTACAGGCATCCGCCACTAAGCCCGGCTAATTTTGTCTTTTTAGTAGAGATGGGGTTTCACCATCTTGGCCAGGCTGGTCTTGAACTCCTGACCTCATGATCTACCCGCCTTGGCCTCCCAAAGTGCTGAGATTACAGGCGTGAGCCACCGCGTCTGGCCTACAATTCTTTATCATTCAAAGAAATATAACTATCCTTAGACCTGGATTTCTACCAGAAGTTTAAGGCTGAATCTCTTATCCCTATCATCTTACAAAAAGAGAGAAGACAAATCTCAAACCTATATTCTAAAAAAAATAGTCAAGGTTAGGAAACAGGAGACAATTGCCAGGCAAAACCATAACCCTTCTTTCTTATTTAAGTCAGTTGGGCAGTTTTTTTCATAAGCAGCAGCAATGAATGGGGAATCAGGAGACCTGAGTTCTAGCTTTCCCCCTGATAAGCTATGTGACCTTGGTTTAAGTTTTAGTTTCTTCTGTGAAACAAGCTGGTGAGAATAGACTCAGAAATCACAAACTGAAAGCCAGCTTACAAATTTGGGCTGGTCCATAGATGTGTTTTGCTTAGTATTATATTGTGTTTTATTTTTTTAATAGCAATAAATGAGTTTATTGAGAATAAGTGAAACCACATTTTGGAATGAATGTTATTGTCCGCTACTTAAGATATAAGTATTTATTTGAGTATACAAATAAACTTAACAGAATATGCCAAACAAATAAATATGTATAATAACAAATACATATTTATTCAATGGAATATACTAGTAAGGTTCTGGTGACAACCCTTAATCAGTATAGCTAACAGAACTGCCTCTATTCTCGCTTAATCTGGATTCCTTTTCTCCTCATTCTAATATTCCTCTTCGAAGGAGACAAGGTTTTACCCACATAAGTCTTTTAAAAAAAGCTTATGAAAATTTTCAAAATTATATAAATGTAAATTATGTAAACAGACTAACAAACGCCCAAATATCCCAAACCCAGCCTCAATAATTAGCAACTTAGGGCTTATCTTGTTTTTTCCCTTCTATTCCCTTCTATTCCCATATTGTTTTGAAGCAAATCTTGCCTATCATATCATTTCATACATCTTTAACCTTAATATCATTATCATCACATCTAAAAGAGTAATATTGCTTTAATATAAAAATTTTAGTTAGTGCTCAATTTGCAATTATTCAATTTCTATAACTGCCATAAACTTTTAAAGATAGTTTGTTGTATAAATCACTATCCAAACAAGGTCCATATATTGCAACTGTTTGATATGTGCAGAGTTAAAACTGAATTGAATGTCCTTAGATGGCACAGAATTCTAGTCTGCCACAGTCCATACTACTCCCTATTCTTTTCATTTAAGTTATCTGCCAAGCCCTTGACAGTTTTTGAGTTTAGTTCTCTGGAGGATCTGAAGTCTCTTCCAGTTCTAAGATAACTTGACTCTTGTAAATATTGACAGAGAAACAAAACAAATGAGTGGAGCTCTATCCTTTAATCTGAAAAACTAAGAAGCAGCAATACACACTTGTTAATTAGAAATATGGGAGTAAATTCCAAAAGAATCTACTAAAAGAGATGAAAGAAGTTGCCTCTTGGGATTAGGATATATTGGTGTCTGCTATTCCACATCCTCAGGCCTACCTCACAGGCTTAACTGATATGCATTCATTGCTTAAGGACAGAGATACATTCTAAGAAATGCATTGTTAGGTGATTTCATTGTTGTGCAAAAATCATAGAGTATGCTTACACAAACCTACGTGGTATAGCCTACTACATATCTAGGCTATATGGTACAGCCTATTGCTTCTAGGCTACAAACCTGTACAGCCTGTTACTGTATTGAATACTATACACTGTAAGCAATTTTAACACAATGGTAAGGATTTGTATATCTAAACACAGAAAAAGTACAGTAAAAATACTGCATAAAAGATACAAAATGGGCCGGGCATGGTGACTCACGCCTGTAATCCCAGCACTTTGGGAGGCCGAGGTGGGCAGATGGTCAGGAAATCGAGACCATCCTGGCTAACACGGTGAAACCCCATCTCTACTAAAAATACAAAAAATTAGCCGGGCGTGGTGACAGGCGCCTGTAGTCCCATCTACTCAGGAGGCTGAGGCAGGAGAATGGCTTGAACCCAGGAGGCGAAGGTTGCAGTGAGCCAAGATTGCGCCACTGCACTCCAGCCTGGGCGACAGAGCAAGACTCTGTCTCAAAAAAAAAAAAAGAAAAAGAAAAAAAAGAAAATGGCAACCCTGTGCTGGGTACTTAGAATGAATGGACCCTGCAGGACTGGAAGTTGCTCTGGATAAGTCAGTGAGTGAATAGTGAGTGAATGTGAAGGCCTAGGACATTGCTGTATGCTGCTGCAAACTTTATAAACACTATGCTTAGGCTACATTAAATTTATTTTTAAAAAGATTTTTCTTTCTTCATTAATTAACCTTAGCTTACCATAATTTACCTTATAACTTTTAAATTTTTTTAAGCTTTTGGACTTTTATAATAATACTTAGCTTAAAACATACATACTACAGCCCGGGCATGGTGGCTCATGCCTGTAATTCCAGCACTTTGGGAGGCCGAGGCGGGTGGATCATGAGGTCAGGAGATCGAGACCATCCTGGCTAACACGGTGAAACCCCGTCTCTATTAAAAAATACAAATAATTAGCTGGGCGTGGTGGTGGGTGCCTGTAGTCCCAGCTACTCGGGAAGCTGAGGCAGGAGAATGGTGTGAACCCGGGAGGTTGAGCTTGCAGTGAGCAGAGATCACGCCACTGCACTCTAGCCTGGGCGACAGAGTGAGACTCCATCTCAAAAAAAAAAAAAAAAAAAAAAAACACAAAACATACTACAGCTGTACAAAATATTTTCTTATATCTTTATTATATAAGGTTTCTTCTATTTTTAAATTTTTTATTTTGTACTTTTTAAACTTTTTTGTTAAAAACTAAGCCACAAACACTCACATTGGCCTAGGCCTACAGAGTGTCAGGATCATCAATATCACTGGTTTCCACCTCCACAGCTTGTCCCACTGGAAGGTCTTCAGGGCAATAACACCCATGAAGCTGTCATCTCCTATGATAATAATGCTTTCTGGAATACCTCCTGAAAGACCTGTCTAAAGCTATTTTATAGTTAACTCTTTTTCTTGATTAGTAGAAAGAGTACATTCTAAAACAATGATATATAATATATGAAATAGATAAACTAGTAATGGTCATTTATTATCAAGTATTATATACTGTACATAATTTATGTGCTATGCTTTTATATGACTGGCAGCACAGGTTTGTTTACAACAGCATCACCACAAACACGAGTGATACGTTATACTATGACATTATGATGGCTACAACATCACTAAGTGATAGGAATTTTTTTACCTCCATTATAATCTTATGGGCCCACTATCATGTATGGGGTCCATTGTTAACCGAAATGTTGTTATGCAGCACCTGACTGTACACTGATGCATCTTCAGATAAATTAATATAGAGACACTGCAGTATATTTTAATGATTAAAATTTTAAAATGAAAATAGAAGAGGTTCTCTTGACATTCATGCAATATTAATCTATTTTTAAGAATGATTGAAAATTTAAAGAAATACGAAGATTTTGGAAACAGTAATTTGAAACTAAATGCCCAATAGAAACTTACATAACAAGTTTGAAGCAGAATTTATCTGAAAACTGACAACTGGACAACAGAAAGACAAAGGAAAATTATAAAGTCAGACTATCTCAAAATGCACAGAAGACTGTGTATATTTACCTCTTTAAAATATATTCTACAATATTGCTACATCAAAATTTTCATTAAAATTGTAATGACATTCATATGGAATAGAATCCCTCTGAAAGTATTTCCAAACTTGTGTGGGAAGACATCAAACTCCAAAAAATCTTAGGACTTTAGGGACTTTAGAGATCATTTGAGCCAGGCATAGTGGCTCATGCCTGCAATCCCAGCACTTTAGGAGACCAAGGTGAGAAGAAAACTTGAGGCAGGAGTTCAAGGCCAGCCTGGGCAGAACTGGCGAGAACCCCATCTCTAAAAATATGAAAAAATAAAGTAGCCGAGAATGGTGGCACACACCTGTAGCCCCAGCTATTGGAGAGGCTGAAGCAGAATTGCTTGAACCCAGGAGTTCAAGGCTGTAGTGAAGTATTGCACGATTGTGCAACTCACTCCAGCCTGGGCGTCACAGCAAGGCCCTGTCTTTAATTAACAAGTACATACATACATCATACTTGAGAGATCGTTTGGTCCAATTTTCTTATTTTTTTTATCATTAAATTTTTTTTTCTTTTCTGTTTGTTTGTCCCAGAGATTCCAGAATTTTCTTATTTTAGAGAAGAAAATGGAAAGGCCAAAGAGAATACTAGAAACTAGGACCTTAGAAAAAGTTCTAGGGGCCGGGCATGGTGGCTCATGCCTGTAATCCCAGCACTTTGGGAGGCCGAGGCGGGCAGATCACGAGGTCAAGAGATCGAGACCATCCTGGCTAACACAGTGAAACCCCGTCTCTACTAAAAATACAAAAAATTAGCTGGGCGTGGTGGTGGGCGCCTGTAGTCCCAGCTACTCAGGAGGCTGGGGCAGGAGAATGGCATGAACCCGAGAGGTGGAGCTTGCAGTGAGCTGAGATTGTGCCACTGCACTCCAGCCTGGGCGACACAGCGAGACTCCCTCTCAAAAAAAAAAAAAAAAAGAAAAGTTCTAGGGGTTTGGGTCCCTCTGCAGAAAGCCCAGTTAGAATGACTGGACACAGCAGCCTATGATAAAGGTAAAAGAGAACCTTTGTCAATGGTAAGGAGAATGACAGATGCTGGGTAACTAGCTCCCCATCCATCTGTCCAAGGCATGGTGCCACGGCAAAGGGATACAGGCAAGGCCTTTCGCTGTTCAGAATTCCACTTCTTACTTAGGAAGCCAAATATCAAGTCTCCACTCCCACGCTTTCCATTTGGTCACCTCAGTCTAACAGAAATGAGAAAACAAGAGTAAGAGCTGACCAATATCAGCACTTTCCACCTTTCTGAGAGCTGGAAACAGTAACATTTCCTCTAAAAGTCCTGATGCCTTTTCTCCACAGCCAACCAGTAAAAAGTCTGGGGAAGACAATAAAAGTGACCTAATTCCTATTTCAAAGTACAAAGCTAAACCTTAGGGTATTTATAGGCCTGGTGTCAGCCTTGTCCTCAACTCCCCTCCTATCATGGACAGCCTGCTCTCCACACACACTGCTCCCATGCCAAAAGTTCAGCCAGGACCTCTCGTTTCTACACTTCAAATGCAAATAAACTAGTTGATGCACTTCTCTGTAAGGATAAAAAAATACCACTACCTATTTAGGTTTGAAATAGCCCATAGTCTCAGACCAGTCTGGGTATTATTTAAAACAAACAAACAAACAAACAAACAAACAAAGCAGTGAATAGCTCATAGTAATAGAAAGAAAAAAAAAGAGACTTGGCAATAAAAAACACACTATCCAGCTATGAAAGAACCTGATACATGTAATACAAATCCGAAAGGTTCCTATCCAACTTCTGTCCAATAAGTGGCCAAGAGATAAGAACAGATAATTCAATAGGAAAAACCCCAAACAGTAAAACACTTGAGAAAATGCTAGTAATTAAAGAAATGTGAAACAAATTATAAAAGCATCACTTTGTCAATTAAATTAGCAAAATTAAAGAGAAGTTAGAAAACTCAATATAGGATGCAGCATAGCTACAAAACCCACTCTACTTATGGGACTATTACTTCGAGAAAATAATTTAAAAGAAAAGCAGGCTGGGTGTGGTGGCTCACGCCTGTAATCCCAACACTTTGGGAGGCTCAGGCAGGTGGATTGCTTTAGCCCAGGAGTTTGAGACTAGCCTGGGAAACATGGCAAAAACCCATCTCTACAAAATATTAATATATAGAAATTAGCCAGGAGTGGAGGCACACACCTGTAGTCCCAGCTACTCAGGGAGGCTGAGATGGAGGATCACCTAAGCCCAGGCAGTCAAGGCTGCAGTGAGCTGTGATCACACTATTGCACTCCAGCCTGGGCGACAGAGACCCTGTCTGAAAATTTAAATTAAATTAAAAATTAAAAATATAAAAAAGAAAAAGAAAAACTGTTATCAACACAGAGATAAGGTTCTACTACATATAATGAATCAAAATTTAAAAAGGATAGTTAATCTATGGCATTCTGGTTCAATGTATTTTTATAATGTCATTAAAGATGATAAATATATTAGGTAAATGCATGGAAAATTCTGTATGAAATAATGCTAAGAACTTCTGGCCCCACTGAAGAGTATCCTCAGCCAATTTCAGCAAGGTTCTATAGTGCCTATAAAAATATACTTTAAAAAATGATACTAAATGAATAAGAGGAAAAAATAATAATAAGGCATACTGATTAAACTATTAAATTATGTTTACATAATGATAAGGGTTAGAGAAGGTAAACAGTGATTTTTGTGTTTTTGTTGAGAAAGGGTCTTACTCTGTTGCCCAGGCTGGAAAGTGGCATGATTATGGCTCACTTGAAGTCTTGACCTCCTGGGCTCAAGCAATCCTCCTGTCACAGCCTCCTGAGTAGCTGGGACTACAGGCACTTGCCACCACGCCCAGCTAATTAAAATTTTTTTTTGTACAGACGGGGTCCCACTATGTTGCCCAGGCTGGTCTTGAGCTCCTGTGCTCAAGCAATCCTCCCGCCTAGGCCTCTCTCAAAGTGCTGGAATTACAGGCATGAGCCACCACACCTGGCCTAAATAGTGATTTTATGGCACAAAGGTTTTTGTTCTTGTTTGCCTGCTTTGTTACTTTTATAGTCTTCTATAGAATCAGTTAAACACAATTTTGGAACCTCTCTGATTCTATAAAACCTACATCAAAAAAACACCCAAAGGATTTTCCCAGTTATGAATTGTCTACTACGCCAGTAAATGACAACAGGAATATGAGGCCAGGGTTTATTTACAGCCTTAGGCTATTTCCTAGGAAGCCAAAGATGCTCTGGAATTTTTGTTTGTTTTGAGATAGGGTCTCACTATGTTGCTCAGGCTAGTCTCAAACACCTGGGCTCAAATGATCCTCTTGCCTTAGCCTCCCAAGTAGCTGGGATTACAGGCGCATGCCACCATGTCTGGCTTCCAGAATTTTTGAAAAAGTAAACTGATTCTCCATTGTAACAACCTCACCCCTGTTCTCTGCCCCACACTTCCACCCACCTCCTGTCACCAAGAGCTGAATAAGTATATTCTCACAAGGATTTCTATTATCAGGTATAGAGTAAGGTATGTACCAAGGAGGGAAAGACATCAATGAAACTGCATAGCTGGAATGATTACCAAACACAGAGGCAAGACAGTGTCCCTGGTTAGCTTTAGGGTCTGCCTGTGCAGTCCTCATCACTGTGGCTATCGACTTGCTTGTCCTAGAAAGGTGAAGAATAGTAAATAACTCCTAAGGCTTTTTTTTTTTTTTTTCTGAGACAGAGTCTTTGCTCTGTCACCCAGACTGGAGTGCAGTGGCATGATCTTGGCTCACTGTAACCTCTGCTTCCTGGGTTCAAGTGATTCTCATGCCTCAGCCTTCCAAGTAGCTGGGATTACAAACGTGTGCCACCACACCCAGATAATTTTTTTGTATTTTCAGTTGAGATGGGGTTTCACTGTGTTAGCCAGGCTGGTCTCAAACTCCTGGCCACAAGTAATCCGCCCGCCTCAGCGTTCCAAAATGCTGCAATTACAGGCGTGAGCCACCACATGCGGCCAACTCCTAAGGCTCTTATCTGACTGGTATACAAAGGACCAGATGAATCTATCTAGTGACAAGTAATTTCGTTTTTTTTTTTTGTTTTTTTTTTTTTCCTTTGAGACGGAGTCTCGCTCTGTCGCCCAGGCCGGACTGCGGACTGCAGTGGCGCAATCTCGGCTCACTGCAAGCTCCGCTTCCCGGGTTCACGCCATTCTCCTGCCTCAGCCTCTCGAGTAGCTGGGACTACAGGCGCCCGCCACCGCGCCCGGCTAATTTTTTGTATTTTTAGTAGAGACGGGGTTTCACCTTGTTAGCCAGGATGGTCTCGATCTCCTGACCTCATGATCCGCCCGCCTCGGCCTCCCAAAGTGCTGGGATTACAGGCGTGAGCCACCGCGCCCGGCCGTAATTTCGTTTTTAAATCACTCCCGAGCATTAGGTCTTTATCTCCATTTTGGAGATCCTGGATAGAATCCAAAAAGAGCTCATATCATTATATCATTATATATCTCAGTCTGAAAAAAACATGGTAACACTGTAACTCTAGTCAGTCTAGTTCATTTGCACCAAATTTTAGAGGATCAGTAGTAAATAGGTGGAGAAACCACAAAGGATTATCTGAATCCAGTTGAAGTGCTCTCATGAGCAGAAGCCTCCTTTGACCAGCTGCCATGGATGTCCCAGCAAAACGGGTAGAGGAGGTAGATCGATCATGCTTACTGGCTTGCTTTAGAAAAACGGAAAGTTTTTACTAGCGCTTATGGCTGAGACAGCAAAGGAAGAGAAAGAGATATTTGCCATATACATATTGGACAATTTCAGAGACATAAAGGTTTGGGAGAAGACAGGGAGACAGGGCTGACTGGGGAGAACAAAATTTTTCAAATTAAAAAAATCAATCTTGAAGTCCCAGTGAACATCTAAAAATTTCCATTTAACTTCCTGCAAGGCCAGCCTCCAAGATGACTCCCAGTGATGTCCCCAGTGATTACATCTTTATGTATTTAGGTTGGTCTATGTGACTAATATAATATAGCAGGAGTGATGGTTACTCCTGAGGTTTACTTCTGAGGTTGGGTCAGAAAACAAAGTGTGGCTTCTGCTCTCTCTCAGATCATTCACCTATGGAGAATCTAGTTTCCATGCTGTGAGCAGTCCTATTGAGAGGCCCACATTGTGAGGAACTGAGGCCTCTGGCCAACAACCACATGAATGAACTTGGAAATGGATCTTCCAGCCCACCCCTTCAAATGACTGCTGCCCTGGCTGACATCTTGAGAGACCCTAAGCCAGAACCACTAGCTAAGCAGCTCCCAGATTCCTGACCCTTAGAAATTGTGTGAAATAGACCAGGTGCAGTGGCTCATGCCTGTAATCCCAGCACTTTGGGAGGCCAAGGTGGGAGGATCACTTGAGCCCAGGAGTTTGAGACTAGCCTGGGAAACACAGTGAGACCTCATCTCAAAAAAAAAAAAAAAAAAAAAAAAAAAGAAAATAAAATAAAAGAAACTGTGTGAAATTTTTTTTGTTTTTTAATTTTAAGCTGCCACATTTTGGGGGGTAATTTGCTACCCAGCAATAGATGGGTAGGAGAGGTAATTTGTTGGGGTAATTTGTTACCCAGCAATCGATAACATAATAACATAACATCAAACTAAGCAAGTTTGATGGGGAAATGTACCATTTGATATCATTATTTCATCTACTGGTTGAGAAAGAATCATCTGCAAATTAAAAGTGGTTATTGCCTATGATACCATTAAAAGCTAAATATGCCTAAAGAAGGGGCTCCACTGGAGGGAATGAATTGTCCTTCTCTTCCAACACTAATCTAAGGCTTGTCACAGCCAAAAAGGCCCCATCAGAAGAGTCCAACACAGTCCCCTCCCAGTAATTATATTACATATCCTACAGCCATAAATGGGGGTTAGTTAAGGGTAGGTTTCACATACAAGGCAGCCACTGTAAGGGTGTCGTCTCACATCAGAGCAGTCAAGGGGTTAAAGTTGAGGCAGCAAATTTATCCCCAGAGATATATGTCTAGCACAAAGCTGAGATTCACAAGATTCTCCCTGAGTTTTCCTTACCTCTAAATGCTGGAATAACTGATGCTCACTGAATTCCGATATTTGTATGAATAAAAATGAAGGGATTTAGCAAATCTTGTTCCTGCACACAGTTGTCAAAAAAAATCTGACCTTTACAACAGGAAAAAGAGGGGGGATTTAAAGATTTAAAGAAGAGGCAGTGACTGTCTGATGTATAACAAACCTTTGAAAAATTATGAAGCAGTGAAAATCCCCTACAGGTCCCAACAAAATGTGTCCAATTTGCATTCCAGCAAAGCTTTCCATACATACCATTTGGCTCCTGTGTGTACTTCCAGGCAAATAAATCCCGAGGAATAATCCCACTGGGACCTAAGTCTGATCTCTGATATATTACTGCTACACAGCTCCAGACCAGGCTCCACAAACTGCCTTTTTGGTTCCAAATAACTAAATCAAAGTCATCCTGATAAGCTTTGAAAACAGGGAATGCGAGGAGTGGTTTAATGAATGTTACAACTCAACCTATTATAGACCACAGTACATTAGGAGAAGAGAAAGAAAGACAGAAAAAAAAAAAAAAAAAAAAAAACCCTTATGCTTTTACATCCCCAAATCTCTCAAGGCCAAATCCAGACATACCTGTCATTCACCACACCTCACTATAAAGCCTTGTTCAAAGCCTGACTTTGATCAAATGGTTAGGATGAATTTGCAAACCCAACAACACTGTGTATTGTGGTGGGGAAAGGAGGAAGGTAAGTAGAGGCTACAATTTTGTTTACTTTGAAAACAGGTTCAACCTTTTTTTTTAAAGCAACCAATGGCAGCAATAAACACTAAAATGTATTCTGATTTATAATATTTCAAGGAGATACAGCAAACACATTAAATAGCAAAATAATTTTTTTCTAAAAGTTAGAAAAACCTACCACTCAACATATAAACTGGAGAAAACAGTCAAAGAAAAAAAAAGAAGGAAAGCTACAATTCTAGAAAAAACGGAGAGAGCTAGAAGTTCCAGCGTCCTAGATTTCTGTACCAGTTTTCTCCTTTCACAAGAAGAAACTAATTTTCACCTTTCACAAGAAGAAAATAATTTTCACAAAAGAAAAACAAACTAAAACATTAATCACAGTGACTATTAGACAAATCACAAAATATATAGATGCAAGAAGTAGAAACTGAGAGACTAAAAAAGAGAGGGGTAAGAAGAGAACACTTAGGAACTCAACAGTTTGATGTAGAAGACATCAAAATAAGAAACCACCCAGCCACACAGTAAGGAGATGGGAACATTAGAGTTTTAATATCTGTACATAGTATCATTGTAAGTAGTGGCGAAGTAACATCCAAATTCAGTTTATATAGCACCTTAAAAAGAGCCAGTCATTTATCAGGAATTAGAGTTAACTCCCTCCCCAGAAGGTTATTCTGTGAGCAGGAAGATAAGCTGGTAATGTGTAAGCAAACTGAGCTACCTGTATAGTCAGCAAGACCTAGCCTATTGCCTGGTCCAGGATTCTGATGGCAAATGAAACCAGAAATACCATCATCTACTTTCAAGACCCAAAGTGTAACTGACACTCTTCTTTTGGCAAGTCAGAATTCGACCCTGTCTAGGCAACCTGTAAAATCTGTAAAATCTGTGTTCGCTGTTTATTGGAAATTTTGGAAGAAAGTAATCCTTTAGTATAAAAGCTAAAATCTCAATACCTTATTTGGCCCAGAAGAGCCATCCAGTTATTTCAGGAGAGAAGCATGTCAGAAGATCCATAAGACCTGAAAGGAGCTTTATCATCAAAGTCCTATCCAGTCTCAAAAGCTTTTGAAGCTATATAAAACAAAACAAACACAAATAACAAGTGTTGGTAAGGATGCGGAAAAACTGGAACCCTCATGCATTCTTGGTGGGAATGTAGTATGGTTCAGCTGCTATAGAAAACTGTTTGGCAGTTACTCAAAAAGTTAAACATAGAATTACCATACAACCCAGCAATTCCAGTCCTAGGTATATATCCAAAGGAATTGAAAACAGATACTCAAATACATGTATACACATGTCCCTAGCAGCACTATTCATAATTGCCAAAAGGAAGAAATGGTCCAAATGTCCATCAACGAATGAATGGATGAACAAATTGTGGTATACACACACAATGGAATATTATTCAATCCTAAAAAGAATTGAAGTGCTGATTCATGTTACAGCATGGATGACCCTCAAAAACATTATGCTAAGAGAAAGAAGCCAGACATAAAAGGACACATATTATATGATTCCATTTATATGAAATATCCAGAATAGGTAAATTTACAGAGACAGAATGCAGATGGATGGCTACCAGGGGCTGGAGGGGAAGGGAAAGTGTGGAGCAACTGCTTAATGGGTACAGGATTTCCTTTTGGGGCGATGAAAATGTTTTGGAATTAGATAGGGTACATTGTGAATGTACTAAATGCCACTATATTGTTTCACTTTAAAATGGTTAATTTTATGTTATATGCATTTCACTTCAGTTTTTTAAAAAAGCTCTTGAAAATACAAGTAAAGATCCTCTTATCTCTAATTTGACTTTATTTTTCTAAAGTGCTTTAACAGGATATGAGCTTCCCTTCTAAGAAACCATGAACAATTTCCAGTTAAAGCCTGTCGTGTCTCCTCTATAGTTTTTGTAGAGACAAGCAGGTACCTCAGTCCATAGTGCAAAGGGTCACTTGGGATTCTTGCAAAAAGTGAAACTTACCTAGTTGCTTTCCACTCACCAAAACTGGTTGCAGAAATGTCAGTGGACGTCTATGTCTGTATTCCCACTGGAGGCTCACTGAACCTAAGCTTCTTTAGCAGCTAAAAAGTCTCCCCTCCTTGGAGACTTAACATCTATTGAGACTTCACAAAGATTTCACATTATACAAGACCACAGTAAGAAATTTCCTCCTCTTCCACCACAGCTCAATTCGGAGTTCTTTGGAAACACAGGTACTTCACTGTCTCCTGTTTTGCATTCTGAATAAGAGATCCTCCCACGTTTTTCCCCTACCTACAGGTTAAAACTTGCCAACAGACAAGACTTACTGGTAGAAGCACTTTGAATAGTCATTCTTCATATTGTCACTTTGTCTTTCATATTTCTCTTTCAAATTGTTGAGGCAAAAGCATTTTCAGAGTATGAGGTCTATCCTCTAGTATTCAATACCTGTTACATCTTTGCTGTCATCAACAACCTCCCAGCCTCCTAGCAGAAGGCCTCAGTCACCCAAGCCCTTAAAGACTCCTATAATTGGTGGTTTATACTTTCTCCCCTGTCCTAATCCCACTTCATCATGCCATGAAGATACACAATATTTGCAAATTTTCTAAAGCTCTTTCTCATTGTTTTGCTCATTGCTATTTCCACAGCTTCCTTTTGGAGATAAAGCCAGGCCCTTCCTGGCCTCAAGAATTTACCTGTGCCTGGACACAACTAGAAGAGGGCAATAGTCACCAGAGGGTCCAAACACAGCTTCTATGCTCATAGCTACATATAATAAAAGCATAAACGGAGAATGATCCCCTTTCCCATTAATTAAAATGGCTCTACTAACAAGTGGTTGTTAAGGGTATCAATAAACTGCCTACCCTCTGTCATCTTAGGTTGAAGTACTTTAAAAGTTACCTTTTAGGATCCAGGTACTATCTTCACTACTACTTCTCTGGGCAAGATGAGTGACTCCTTACCTTAAGATCTGATGGTTTGTACCTCAATAGTTTCCACCTCCTTGTGATAATCTTTTAATAGTATCTAGGATCATTAGTAACCCGCTACTTTACCTCCTCTCACCTCTCCCCTTTACTCATCCCTCCGGACAGAGCATTCAGAGTCAGTTAAGTGCCATGTCTTATTGAATTTTTAAATTTTTCTACTATCTCTTAGCACTGCAGTTCTGTGAATCTCCTTACTCCAAGCCAGAACTTCAGCCTACCCAATTAGAGACTGGAATTTAAAAACTCATGTTCCTATTCCCAGATAGTTAACACCACACGTGCTGGAAATAGGCTAGTTGGGTTAGTGTTCATGCTATACTCTCAGCAGACTTTCCTACTGAACCTGGTATCCAACAACAGGGACCAGTAAGCAGCCTGAAGTCTGTTGCCAGGGAACAAGGCTAACTCAGGATTTTCTGCCATCAGTTCCTTTGGTAGACATAGCAGAATCAAAGAGAAAGGGGTTTTCCCAAAATAATTGTGATTAAAATAATAATGTTAATTTGTCTCCAGCAAGACAGAAGAGTCCAGGAACAAGCTAGACTCACCTCTGTCTCTTGTTCCTCTTCAGTAAATGGCCCACCTGAAGGTTAGCTGTAAGTCTGCCCTTATTCACGTGAAAAGCAAATAAATAACCTCATCGCCTTTTTCCAAATCATAATCACACTTTAAAAGAAGCTTTTACTGTATAACCTTGAAAATGTTACTTAATTTTTCTGGAACCTGAGTTTTATCTGTAAAAGGGGAATATTAATAAAGGCACAGTCTATCTTGTGAGTTTTTGTGAAACTTGAAAAGAATACAGGCGGCCGGGCGCGGTGGCTCACACCTGTAATCCCAGCACTTTGAGAGGCCGAGGCGGGTGGATCACAAGATCAGGAGATTGAGACCATCCTGGCTAACACGGTGAAACCCCATCTCTACTAAAAAATACAAAAAAAAAAAAAATTAGCCGGGTGTGGTGGTGGGCGCCTGTAGTCCCAGCTACTCAGGAGGCTGAGGCAGGAGAATGGCAGGAACCTGGGAGGCGGAGCTTGCAGTGAGCCAAGATCGCGCCACTGCACTCCAGCCTGGGCGACAGAGCGAGACTCTGTCTCAAAAAAAAAAAAAAGAAAAGAAAGAAAAAAGAAAAGAAAAAGAATACAGGCAAACTGTTACAGCCAAGTGGAACCTAACAAGATGTGATGACTAAATGTAATGTGGTATCCTAGATGGAATCCTTGAACAGAAAAAGGCCATTAAGTAAAAACCTAATGAAATCTGAATAAAGTATGGACTTTAATTAATGATGAATCAATATTTGTTCATTAATTGTGACAAATGTGTCATATTAATGTAAGATGTTAATAACAGGGGAAACTGGGCATTGGATAGATGAGAACTTCTTTACAACTCTTCTATAAATATGTTTATAGAAATAATCTATTATAGATTATGTATGAGTCTAAGTTATAATATAACAATTTATATAAATATAATTTATAGATAATTTATAAAAATATAATTTATAGATTATAATTTATGTGCTTTATAGATTCTAAAATTGAAAGGCTATAATGAAAAACCACTTTATAAATTATAAAGTTCTAGTCAATTGTAAAATATCACATAATTTAGTAGATTTAGTATTTTATGCAGATTGTTGGTAAGGTAGGTAGCTATCTTAAGTAGCTCAGATAACAGAGATCACTTGAAGAGTTAAGTGCTGGTGTGGAAGAGTCTAGCCCCCAGAAATATCCCAGCTGTTTCCTGCCAGCTGGTGCCTCATGTCTGACTTGCAATAGAGTTGATTTTCTTTACGTAATTATTTTTGCCTCTCAACCCGTCTATTTCACTAAAAGAACAGTAACTTTTTAAAAAGAGGCTTTAAGCAGATAGGTGCTTTAATTTAAAACTTCAAAAAGTGAAACTTAAGGCATGGGTACGATAATTTATTAGGTCCATTTCCTAACTGGCTGAAACAGATCTGATCTCTACTCCCAACTTCAAATGTAGAAACATGCAGACATCCAGAGATAGAATTCAGCAAGTGTACCCATCCCCTGCCAACTCCTGCTCTGCCCTGGGAAAAAAAAGAAAAAGAAGAAAGCAAAAGTCCCAGAAGTGCAGGAAATTGTTTCTCAGACGAAAGACAACACTTCCTTTCCCAGAACAATCCATCTCCCACACTGACATCCTGCTCCTGCTATATTTACCCAACCCAAATCTGCCGATGATATACTTCCAGCTGCACTCCTGCCACATGGTCCTGTCACTCAACTGGAGCACTCAGAGGGGAATCTGTCCAGAGGGCAGAGCCTGGAAATCACTACACACTAATCCATGCTTCCTCTATTGCTAGCCTTCAGAGTAAAGTGAGACAAAATATGGACAGTATTACTCCCTGTTTATTTTGGAAGTGACTGGGGAGACAAGAGGTACTTCATTTTATATAGTTGCTAATTTTGACTGCTCTCATGGTAGCCAGCAGAGGAACCTGAACAACGAAGAGATTGAAATGGGAGGTTAAAAATAACTCTGTTAATGCTAGCAAGCCAAAAAACATCACTTAATAGCCTCTTCCTACCCAACCCACTAGGATCAGGCTATCAAGTCACATTACAGGGTAAAACCTTCAGTTCCATGTAAACAGATCCAAGGAGTCAAGGATGGGACAATTTCATTCACCCCATCTCATCCTATCTCATAGAACATTCTACTGAAAGGGGAAAACCCACACACTGGACTGGGTAAAGGTAAATGTTAGAGCTGACTCCCATTTTCCTATTTTAGGAGTTCTGTATTCTCTGTCCTTCTCTCCTACCCTTGCCTCCCCATCCCCAAGTTCTTTGCTTCTGCCCCTTTCCTCTTTCTGACTCTCTAGTTGTTTTCTTTTGTCTCTACTTATTTCTCTCTCTCTCTCTCTCTCTCTTTTTTTTTAAGACAGGGACTCCTCTGTCACCCAGGCTAGAGTGCAGTGGTGCCATTATTACTCACTGCAGCCTTGATTTCTGGGGTTCAAGAGATCCTCCTGTCTTAGCCTCTCAAGTAGCTGGGACTACTGGTGTGTGCCACCATGCCTGGCTAATTAAAACAAAAAAAAATTTAGTAGAGATGAGGTCTCACTAGTTACTCAGGCTGGTTTCAAACTCCTGAGCTCAAGCAATCCTCTTGCGTCGCCCTCCCAAAGTGCTGGTCATTACAGGCGTAAGCCACTTTTTTTGAGGGCAAGGTTCCCTCGAAGAAACAACTGATAGCTGATAAGGCATTCATTAGTAATGGTCATAATTATCATATCATTAGCCTATTCTCCGTAGTAATAACAATAAAAAACCTGAGTCTCAAGAAGCAATACTTCTTTTTCTCTCTGCTTTTGGAGGCTCAGTCATGCATCCTAATCATGCTTCAAAGGAATGAAAGGAAAGGCACAAGGAAAAAATACAGAAAAATAAGAGGGAAGGAAAGAAAAAAATGATAGAAAAGGAGAATAGGAAAACGTTTCTCCTAACCTTTTCTCTCTTAAAGCTCCTGGACAATGGGCATTTCCAAACTTTATGGATTTTGTTAAAGCTTAAGTGGAAGTGCTTAATAAGATGAATCAAGCTATTAAAATAGATTTGAGAACAAAAGCTGAAATATAATGATGAATTCATAGCAAATCCCACTTATTAAAAGAGGGAGTAAATTTTAAAAAAAGAATCCACTTCACATGGCTGTTGTCAGTCTGGCTTAGAGAAAAAGCACTTATGCTGTTGGTTGAGTGGAGAACAAATTCCACTGGGTGATGTGGCCATTCTAGGAAATTACCAAGTTCCAAGTCAAGCCTCATTGAGCCAAACCTTTTTCCAATTTTCAAACTCTTTTTAGTTATTAGATTTAGACATAAAAAAATATAGATCTTTAGGGTATGCAATTGTGTTTCTTATAGGAAGAGAAACAAACAGAAGCAAGCTAGAAAGACAGTTTGTGTCCACCTAAGAACAAGTATTTTAAGCAACCACTCAAATTTCACCATAACTGCAACCAGAAATTGGTTCAGGCAAGAATTATCAATGTATGTTAGGTATTAGAGGGAAAGTTTAAAGAGGAGTATGATCTTCAAATGTTTCCCTACAGATTGCTTATTAGTTGCAAGGGGAAATAACATCTACACAGTAAATAAATCAGATTAACACTTGACCAGATGATCAAAATTAGTATCACCAATGAACAGCACCTGCAGTTGTGATACCCTGAGAAGGACCCTATATCAGTAGTGGTATATATTACAGATTCACGATAGACACACACCACCTGAATCTAACCATAAGAAAACATCAGACAAACCCAAAATGAGAAATATTCTTGAAAGAAATAAATAAATTAGGGAGACTATAGTTAACAATAATTTGCTGTATATTTCCAAATAGCTATAAGAGAAGATTTGAAATGCTCCCAACACAAAGAAACGACAAATGTTTGAGGTGATAGATATCCTAAATACAATCATTACACATTGTACTCATGTATCAAAATATCACATGTAACCAATACATAAGTATAATTATTATGGATCAATTTTTTAAAAAGAAAGAACACAGACATGAACTGGTCTGTAGTTATAAAAAATGTCAATGTCAGCTGGCTGTGGTGGCTCATGCCTGTAATTCCATCACTTTGGAAGACCAAGGCAGGAGGACCAGTTGAGGCTGGGAGTTCTAGGCTGCAGTAAGCTACGATCCCACCACCAGACTCTGTAAACAGTTATGGAGTTACAGATAACTCCATAACTCTAAAAAAAAAAAAAAGTGTTTTTGTTTAATGTTTTTTTGTTTGTTTTCTTAATCACCCAGGCTGGAGTGCAGTGGCATGATCATAGCTCACCGCAGCCTCCAAATCCTGGGCTCAAGCAGTCCTCCCACCTCAGCCTCCTGTGTAGCTGGGTCTACAGGCACACGCCACCATGCCCAGCTAATTTTTTTTATTTTTTGAAGCAATGAGTTCTCACTATGTTGCCAAAGCTGGTCTCAAACTCCTGGCCTCAAGCAACCCTCCTGCCTTGGCCTCCCAAAACGCTAGAATTACAGGCATAAACCACTGGCTGAAAAAATTTTAAAAAAATGTTTTTAATGCTAATGTCATGAAGCATAAAGAGAAGCTAAAGAACGGTCCCAGATTAAAGGAGACTAAAGAAACATGACAACTAATGTAATTTGTGATCCTTGGCTGAAGGGGAAAAAAAAAACAAATAATAAAAGTTTATTGACAAAATTGGAATATGAATAGTAAATTATTGTATCAATGCTAAATTTCTTGAATTTGATAACTATACTTAAATTAGTAAGAGAATATCCTTGTTCTTAGGAAATATGCACTGAAGTATTAAGGGATAAAAGATCATGATAGGCTGGGTGCGGTGGCTCACGCCTGTAATCCTAGCACTTTGGGAGGCCGAGGTGGGCGGATCACCTGTGGTCATGAGTTCGAGACCAGCCTGGCCATCATGGCGAAACCCTGTCTCTACTAAAAATACAAAAATTAGCTGGGCGTGGTGGCGGGCGCCTGTAATCCTAGCTACTCAGGAGGCTGAGGCAGGGAGAATCGGTTGAACCCGGGAGGCGAGCCGAGATCACGCTATTGCACTCCAGCCTGGGTGACAGAGCGAGACTGTCTGAAAAAAAAAAAAAAAAAGTCACAATGTATATAACCTACTCTCAAATGATTTAGAAAAATTTATTTATTTATGTACTTTTCTTTTTTTGAGACAGGGTCTAACTCTGTCACCCATGGTGGAATGCAGTGGCATGATCACAGCTCACTTCAGCCTTCACCTCCCAGATTTAAGTGATCCTCTTACCTCAGCCTCCCAAGTAGCTGGAACAGCAGGCACATGCCACTACACCTGGCTTTTTAATTTTTTGTAGAGATGGAGTCTACCTATGTTGCCCAGGATAATCTCAAATTCCTGAGCTCAAGTGATCCTCTCATCTTGGCCTTCCAAAGTGCTGGAATTATATATGTGAACCACTGTGCCCAGCCAAAAAATAATTTTATGTCTATATATACATACATACATACATACGTGTGTGCATGTGTGTGTGTGTGTGTGTGTGTGTGTAAGTAGCAAAAGGACATATGGGAGACCTATTATTCTTGCACCTTTAAATTTGAAATTATTTCAAAATAAAAATTCAAGAAAATTCACCATCTGTTCATTTGATTCAATGTCCTGATACCAATTAGGTAAAAAGGAAATAGGGATGAATTCACATTCTAAATAGCAGTAAAACAACCTCTAGTAGCCAACTTTTTGCTTCCCTTTGGAGCTTTTGTTAGACTATTACCAACCCAAATATTTCCCATTCTCTACCTTCCTTTACTACATGCACACAACCCATTTTGTTGACTATTGAGCCTACGGCCTACCCAGGATTACTTAGGACCCTGGCACCATCTCCCATTCTCTAAATAAAAAGCAGTTCTACCAAAGGCAAGCACTACTCATTTTCTTCCTTATAGAACCTTGGCAACAGAAACATTTTTTTTTTTTTTTTTTTTGAGGCAGAGTCTAGCTCTGTCGCCCAGGCTGGAGTGCAGTGGTGCAATCTCAGCTCACTGCAACCTCCACCTCCCAGGTTCAAGCGATTCTCCTGCCTCAGACTCCTGAGTAGCTGTGACTATAGGCGCCCGCCACCATGCCCAGCTAATTTTTTGTTTTTTTAGTAGAGACGGGGTTTCACCGTGTTAGCCAGGATGGTCTCGATCTCCTGACCTCGTGATCCGCCTGCCTCGGCCTCCCAAAGTGCTGGGATTACAGGCATGAGCCACCGCGCCAGGCCTTTTTTTGGAGATGGAGTCTCCCTCTGTTGCCCAGGCTGGAGTGCAGTGGCGCGATCTCAGCTCACAGCAATCTCTGCCTCCCAGGTTCAAGCGATTCTCCTGCCTCAGCCTCCCCAGTAGCTGGGATTACAGGCGCTCACACCCATGCCCGGCTAATTTTCATATTTTTAATAGAGACGAGGTTTCACCATGTTGGCCAGGCTGGTCTAGAACTCCTAACCTCAGGTGATCCACCTGCCTCGGCCTCCCAAAGTGCTGGGATTACAGGCGTGAGCCACCACGCCCAGCCCAGAAACATTATTTAAAACCCCTGAAATGAAACTGATTAAGATGCAGTCTTGGCTCACTTGGGAGGATTAATGAAACCTACTTGGAGTCTGAGAACCGAAGTCCATTTTCCTTTGACTATTTTCCCTACAATGCTTCTGTCCAGGTGGACTGAACCAAGAACTTTTTTTCCCAGGCCAGAGGGAACAAGGATCCTATCAGAGTCAACAGATTCTGGTCACAAAAAGTATTTAGCTATAGTAGGTATTAAATAATGTAACTTGGATATAGATTCATCCCAGAAAAAAAGAGGCAAAGGAGAAAGAATTGCACTTTAAATTCAGAACACGATAAGCCATTCAAGCAAATGACAGGTCACAGGTCTTTCTGTGGACTACATTTGTACTCCAACATTCACTCCAACTTTCTCTTTTAGAAAGTTCTTAACCACTGTTTAACTGTTTCACTGCCTCACCACCTCTTTCTACCCTTGAAAATCCTAGGAATACTATTCCTACACAAGGGGACGGTCTCTCTGAGGTCTCAATGCTCCCAAAGGCTACTTCTAGGTGCTTTCTCTGGGATTCAAAAGACAAATATATGATGAAATGTCCTATTGATTATGAAGCTAAATCCTGTTCAAAGTTACAAGGGTTTTGGTACTACTTTCCTCACATGAGACCCTTGGGCTAAAGGTAGTAGGCTGCTACTAAAAAACACTTTTGTTATTTGTGAACTGGGACTATTAGACCCTGGCTGGAAAAAACAGCTTTCCTCATTCTTTTAGCAACATAAGGTAAACAGCTACTAAAATCTGTTTTTGGCTGGGCGCAGTGGCTCATGCCTGTAATCCCAGCACTTTGGGAGGCTGAGGCCGGTGGATCACTTGAGGGCAGGAGATTGCACCACTGCACTCCAGCCTGGGCAACAGAGCAAGATTCTGTCTCAAAAAAAAAAAAAAAAAAGTCCTGGCGCGGTGGATCACACCTGTAATCCCAGCACTTTGGGAGGCCAAGGCGGGCAGATCACCTGAGGTTGGGAGTTCAAGACCAGCCTGGCCAACATGGTGAAACCCTGTCACTACTAAAAATACAAAAATTAGTCTGGCGTGGTGGTGGGTGCCTGTAATCCTAGCTACTTGGGAGGCTGAGGCAGGATAATTACTTGAGCCCGGGAGGCAGAGGTTGCAGTGAGCAAAGATCACGCCACTGTACTCCAGCCTGGGCGACAGAGTGAGACTCCCTCTCAAAAAAAAAAAAAAAAAAAAAAAAAAAAAATCTTTGTTTTGCACCTGTAGACTTCAATGTCCTAAAAATTGTGTCAGAAGCCCAAGCCAAAGAGGACTCAAATGCAAAGTTGAATTTTATTAGAAAAAACAATCAGCCATTGATAACTTATCCTATGGTTCAACTGTGGTCAGTTGTGGTCCGTCTGTGATGTGGTCAGTCTGTGATGCACAGACTGATTAATCAAAGGCCAATATAAAGAGACTAATCATATCATAGAACATATTATAGGTGAAAAAAATTTTTTTAATAGACTAATCAACTATAAGACATTCAAGGCCCTAAAAGCAGCTAATGAAGCTGCCATGCACAGAATTTCCAGGGTCACTGCCAAGCAGGCAGGGCTAGGGCACAGGGTGGAGGTGGGACAGACAATGTGGACAACACCAATGCTATTCTTTTGACCATCCTAGAACCTCTTTCAGCAAACCAAAGCATACAACAATTTCCTGAGGTCACGTGTGGAAACTGGCAGACTTCAAACTAGTGCCCAGTTGTCTGCTCAAATTCCAGAGCTTCTCAAATCACCAGCCCACTAGACCATAAACTATGAGAACAGGAACTGTGTCAGTCTCCTTGAAAACTAGGTCCCTAGAACCTAGTTCCATTCCTGGCACATAGTAAGTAATCAACAAATATTTGTTGAACTTCCACTAACAGAAAAGTTCCTGGAGAAGATGCTCTTTTGGAGTCTTTCGAGGACAAATGATTCCCTCAGCTCACCAAGATGATTCAAAAGGGTGGCCATGTCTAACATGATATGTCTAAACAATCTGTATAGCATCACATAAAAGGGATAAGGTGCAAAGTGACTAATCAGTCATAATTACTTCCACAATTCTTATTTCCTTGGGGAAGAATACTTACTCTAATATTTTCCAGGATTATAACGACTCAAATAGGCTCAAATTAATCTCTGCCTGGCAAAAGCTGATTCATCCAGAAACAACCATCTAAATAGAACTGTCTTACTGAAATCAAAGTTGATAGGGATGAAGAATCCACTCATTCCCAAAAGTCAAGGGGGCTAAGGTGCCTCACAGAGTCCTTCACAGAATGTCAAGAAAATGGTGAGAAGGGCACCCTGACTCAATATCCTCCTTGACTCCTTGCCCATGAAATAACATTGCAGACAGACAAATTCAAACCAGTGCTAGAACAGGAGTACATCACAAACTTTCTACCAGTGCTTTCAAACTTTTTTGACCATGATGGATAGGAGAAGATACAGCTTACGCTACAACCCAGAAAATACAGGTTTCTAACTAAAACAAGTTGCGAAAAACAATACTTATCTTTCTTAAGTATGATACACTGATAATTTCTTTTTTTTATTTTTTATTTTATTTATTTATTTTTTTGAGACAGTCTTGCTCTGTCGCCCAGGCTGCAGTGCAGTGGCGCGACTTCGGCTCACTGCAACCTCTGCCTCCTGGGTTCAAGCAATTCTCCTGCCTCAGCCTCCTGAGTAGCTGGCACGTGCCACCATGCCTGGCTAAGTTTTGTATTTTTAGTAGAGACAAGGTTTCACCATGTTGGCCAAGCTGGTCTCAAACTCCTGACCTCATGATGCACCCATCTCAGCCTCCCAAAGTGCTGGGATTACAGGCATGAGCTACCACACTCGGCCAGATACACTGATAATTTCTATTCTATTCTTTTTTCCCCTTTATTGCTGGTTGATTGTACCAGAAAGCAAGGAAGTGTTCAAAGATGTCATGTCAAAAGACAAAGGAACCAGTCTGAAGGGGACGCACACTGGCCAAACTTGAAATAATGTGAGCACCAAAAATAACAATGGAAAAAAACATATCTGTAATTAATTGTAAAACACTAAAAAATACTCACAAGCCCCTAGGAGGAGGCAGACCCACATTTGCCACCACTAGTGATCATTATTAACACTCACTTCTGAATCTGAAAACTGCCAATTAAAGGGAATGAATTAAGCATTTATCCTGCCTTTTTAGAAGAAATTGGTTTATCCTCCAGTTGATGAGGGAAAATAGTTCTTTACAGAAAATGCTAGCTAATAAATGTAGAAAAAAATGACAGAATTAGAAAAATCATTCTGTGACCAGTGAAATAAAAGATTCAGTCAAATATTAATCAGTGGATAACCATTAGGTAAAAGGATATTAGAGGACAGGATATTTACAAGGTGCAAAAATATTACTTCACAGATTACTTAAAATTACAAAAAGAAAAATTAACGTATTTCAAAATTAGGAGATATGGCAGTCACCATAAGAAGCAAGTAACAAAACTGTTAAAATCAACAATTGCGGCCGGGTGCAGTGGCTCATGCCTGTAATCTCAGCATTTTGGGAAGCCAAGGTGGGCAGATCACCTGAGGTCAGGAGTTCGAAACCAGCCTGGCCAACATGGCGAAACTCTGTCTCTACTAACAATACAAAAATTAGCCATGTGCGGTGGTGGGTGCCTGTAATCCCAGCTACTGGGGAGGCTGAGGCAGGAGAATCACTTGAACCTGGGAGTGAGGTTGCAGTGAGCTGAGATCACACCATTGCAGTCCAGCTTGGGTGACAGAGCAAGACTCCGTCTAAAAAAAAAAAAATCAACAATTGCAGGACAACCTGACAGGATGTGCTTCCTGTGGTGATATAATATGAAATAAGGCTGGGCGCAATAGCTCACACCTGTAATCCCTGTACCTTGGTAGGCTGAGGTGGGTGGATCACTTGAGCTCAGGAGTTCAAGACAGGCCTGGGCAACATGGCAAGACCCTGTCTCTACAAAGAATACAAAAAATTGGCTGGGCATGATGGCATGCACCTGTAGTCCCAGCTACTTGGGAGGCTGAGGTGGGAGGATCACTTGAGCCCAGGAGGTGGAGACTGTGGTGAGCTGAGATCACACCACTGTACTCCAGCCTGGGGGACAGAGCAGGACTCTGTCTCAAAAAATAATGGTAATGATGATAATAATAATAGTAATAATATGAATTACATAGTATCATCTATAAAATACTCTTGCCAAAAATATTTAACCTGAATCTAATCAAGCTTTTAATCCTTTTAGTACATAACATACGGGAAAGAGGAACAAGTTAAATGATACCACAAGGACACAGACAAATCCAGAATGTAGAACATTCTAAACATAAATGGGCTGGTGTCCTCAAAAAGCCAATGCAAAAGAAAAAAAAAAAAAAAGGTGGAGAAAATTGTCTTTTAAAAGCCTAGGGCCAGGTGCAGTGGCTCACACCTGTAATCTCAACAATTTTGGGAGGTTAAGGTGGGAGGATTGCTTGAGGCCAAGAGCTTGAGAACAGCCTGGGAAACACAGCAAGATCCTGTCTCTACAAAAAATTTTAAAAATTAGCTAGGCATGGGCCAGGTGCGGTGGCTCACGCCTGTAATTCCAGCACTTGGGGAGGCCGAGGCGGGCAGATCACGAGGTCAGGAGATTGAGACCATCTGGGCTAACACAGTGAAACCCCATCTCTACTAAAAATACAAAAAATTAGCCGGGCGCAGTGGCGGGCGCCTGTAGTCCCAGCTACTTGGGAGGCTGAGGCAGGAGAATGGCATGAACCCAGGAGGCGGAGCTTGCAGTGAGCTGAGATAGCGCCACTGCAGTCCAGCCTGGGCGAAAGAGCAAGACTCCATCTCAAAAAATAATAATAATAATAATAAAATAAAATAAAATAAAAAATTAGCTAGGCTTGGTGGCATGCGCCTGTAGTCCCAGCTACTCAGGAGGCTGAGGCAGGAGGATCGCTTGAGCTGCTGGGAGCTATGATCGTACCACTGCACTCCACCCTAAGTGACACAGTGAGACCCCCATCTCTAAAATAAATAAAATAAAACGTCTAAAAAGACATAACTACCTAATGAAATGAGAATTGTGCTTGGATTTTGGTTTCTAAAACCAATTATAGCTATAAAAGTTTGGGGACAAACGGAAAATGTTTAATATGAACTGGATATTAACTAGAATTGGCAAATTATTGTTGTTTCTTAGTTGTGATAATGGTATTATGTAGGAGAACATCCTTATTTAGGATTCATGCTGAAGTATTTAGGGGTGAAATGTCAACATGTTTGCAATTTATTTTCAAATGGATCATGAAAAAAATGATAATACACATATACGGATAAAGCAAATATGCCTAAATGTTAGTAATTTTGACTCTAAATGTGAAATATGGGTAATCATTATGGTATTCTTTCAATTTTTGCTAAGTTTAAAATTTTTCATCATAAAAAACTGGAGAGCAGTCCGGGCACAGTGGCTCACACTTGTAATCCCAGCACTTTGGGAGGCCGAGGGAGTTCGAGACCAACCTGGCCAACATGGTGAAACCCTGTCTCTACCAAAAATACAAAAATTAGCTGGGCGTGGTGGCCCGTGCCTGTAATCCCAGCTACTCAGAAGGCTGAGGCAGGAGAATTGCTTGAACCCAGGAGGCGGAGGTTGCAGTGAGCCAAGATTGCGCCACTACACTCCAGCCTGGGTGATGGAGCTAGACTCCGTCTCAAAAAAAAAAGGCCGGGTGCAGTGGTTCACGCCTGTAATCCCAGCACTTTGGGAGGCCAAGACGGGCAGATCATGAGGTCAGGAGATCAAGACCATCCTGGCTAACATGGTGAAACGCCATCTCTACTAAAAATACAAAAAATTAGCCGGGCATGGTGGCGGCCGCCTGTAGTCCCAGCTACTTGGGAGGCTGAGGCAGGAGAATGGCGTGAACCCGGAAGGCAGAGCTGGCAGTGAGCTGAGATCGCGCCACTGCACTCTAGCCGCGGTGACAGAGCAAGATTCCGTCTCAAAAAAAAAAAAAAAATTGGAGAGAATGCCATGCAACCCATTACAGTGATGTAATTCACTAATGCAAATCAACCTACAGTCTGAAAAACACCACTGTAGCCCAGGGCAGTTGTAATACCATATCAGCTCTCATTTCATTTAATCAATTTGGTACCAGTTTTCTTAAATGCAAAAACTCATTTGGAATGAGGCTTTCTCATTCTACATCCTCTTGTCAAGGGTCTCTCAAATTTTAGATTTTTTTTCTTACAATAACTCACTTTACTTGAAAACAAAAAATAATCTGTGGAAAAGTCCCTGTCAGTGTCAGGGAAATCTCATTTGTCCCTCTACTTTTAGAGGATTTTTTTTCAATTCAGGGCCAATCCCAGATAACACTGAAGTGCTTTTGATCCTTTTCTTCCCCAGTGAATGTCCTCAACTACTCTTACCCTCTAGTTCCCAAGCTGCTTTCCAGGACACCTGGAAGCAAGCTGCATGGCTGACTGCAGAAAAACTCTAGCTCCCACACTACATCTGGCCCTGCCTTTCCACCAAATCATATGCCAATTTATTGCCCTCTGATGTACAGTCCATTAGGCCACTTCCTGGATGCCCCCACTTCACACTGGGCCAGAAATGCAAGACAATAATGTGAGTTCCACAAACGGGCAAGTAATTGCTCAATAAGCGTGGAACAAGGAAAGGTCAGTTGTGATCTGTGCACATGTGGCAGCCCTTCACAACTCGACCTACAGTGGTAACAGTGGTAACAGAATGCTGATGTTACAGAAGAGACATGCCATGAGAACCCAGCCAACAGACAGCCAGAAGTGCTTGTCCATCTAAGTTCTTTAGGATCTTCAAAGAATAAAGGAAAGGAATAAAGGCCCCTAAACTGGTGAGGTGCAAATTATCTCCTGGTTTCCTAGAGTAAAACTGAGAGCCTAAAGTAGTCATTGCTCTCCATCTATTACCCTTTCTTAATGAAGTGATCTGAGCTGAAATGATCTTATCTCCATTTTGCTCTATAGCCAACTCCATCTTCTAACAGATGCCAGGAGAGAAAAGACAAATGTACTCACCCTTTCCATAAACATATCCACTATCACTTCAGAAACTGGGTTATCAACTAAGTATCTATGAACATAGAGAGATAGTCAGAGGGGGGCAAGGCTGAGACAAACTCTTCACTATCTCTCCTAATCAAAACAACACATTGAATTTCAAGCATTTGGCTTCTTCTGAAACCCTTTTGGCACTTGTCCTGAGTTTGAATGGGTGGAAAAGCAGGAAGGGACTCTGCCTGCCTCCTTGTTTGAAAAAAAAACAGCAGCTGGCTTTCTTTTTACTCATCTGACTGCTGTCATGGTAAGTTGGGCATATACTCAGAAGTTTCAGGCCTCAAGAGGTAGCTGTGCTAAAGAGGACAAATGCAATAAAAACACCAGCAACTTTGATACCCACCACAAACCACACTGTTACACTGCCCCCTAACCTTTGCTACAAAGAAATTAGGTTTCTCTGTTTTTGAGAGCTAAACTATTAAGAATGCTTTTCCCTCTTTTTACACAATTCCTTTTCTGATACATGCAGTAGAAAATGTGCCCCCTCAACAGCCAGGAAACTAGTTCTGATGGCTAAGTGTGCCTGGGTATGAGGAAGAGAAAAAGAGAGAGCTGAACCCATGAGAGGACAGATTATGCAGAGCTGTTTCTTCTCAAGAGTCTTCATTTCCTAACCTTGAGTACAAACAAATGTTTGGAAGAACTTCTTGGTTTAAAAGTGTCAAATGAAGAGCATTCATAAATCATCTGGGGAAGGCCCCAGTAAAAAGAAATGGCAAAATCAAGTCATCAAAATATAGGCCTCTTGGAGCTACCCTTTTAATATGAATAGTCCCTGGGGAAAAAAAGAATCACAGTACCTTTATTCACTCTAACTGTGCTGAAATGTCTACAAGTCTGTGGCCACTCAAGTTACAGAGATTCTAAGGTGCCAAAGTCAGTCTGACTCAAATTCAAGTCACATTCTAATGTATTACTCAACTATAGTTTTATATTATAAACCAAGAAAGTAAAACAGGGCACAGGAAATGGATACTTTTAAGTGTGCCCATTGCCTTTCCTAACACTCAGCCCTTCACAAAATTTGTCTGCCAAATTTTATCACATTTGGTTCTTTTAGTTCCTACTTAGGCCTTGAACAATTCACAAGCTCAATTCCAAGTGGAACAAAAGCTGATGACCCATTCAACCTTCTTCTCATGCTGATTAATAATGATATATTACTTTACTCCCTAAACTATAGACCCCTGTAGGAAAAAATAAAAGTAGGCACTTAATCAATAGGACTCCAGCAAATTTTTTTCATATAACATACTCGCTTTTGTTGTTGTTGTTGTTGTTGTTGTTGAGATGGAGTCTTGATCTGCCACCCAGGCTGGAGTGCAGTGGCACGATCTCAGCTCACTGCAATCTCACCTCCTGGGTTCAAGCAATTCACCTGCTTCAGCCTCCTGAGTAGCTGGGACTACAGGCATGCGCCACCGCACCTGGCTAATTTTTGTATTTTTAGTAGAGACAGGGTTTCACCATGTTGGCCAGGCTGGTCTCGAACTGCTGACCTCAAGTCATCCACCCGCCTTAGCCTCCCAAAGTGCTGGGATTACAGGTGTGAGCCACCATGCCTGGCACATATAATATACTCTTATTCAATCTTTTTCCTGACAATGACTACTAAAATCTCTTTTCTCTACACCTCCCCATTTTCCAAATGAAACAGATTAAACTTGAGGTATCAGGCATTCTCAAACAGTTTCTTTTCTACCTAAGCGGCTACTGCTAAGAGGCCCAGGCCAGACAGGTGTTAAGTCATAGTTCCTCCCAAGTTGGCTTCCAGACTCTGTTTAAATGTTCTCTGCAAACCTCTGGAGGTTAGATGGACTCAAACCTCCTAGCTCAGACTCTGAATTCACAAAGCTTGAGACAGACAGTACCCTACAGGTGTGTTTGTCCAGGATAAACTATACTTAAATAAACTCCTGACACATCCACTTTCTCCTGGCACGTGCTTCTCCCTCTTAAACTCAAGCACGCCATAACCTGCTGTCCCAGTAAGCTCTGTAAAGAAATATCCTATCCCCCAGAATTACGCTATGCAACCCACCAATGTCTTTGGGAATAGCTAAACTCTGGCCATAACAGCTTTACATGTGAAAGCCAAATAAGCAAATATGAGCTATTGTTTTTACTTATTTCTTTGGCTTGTTCCTTAAGGAAAGAGCAGGAATAAGAAAAGCTGGCAGCAGATTGCTCTCACTCATGGTCATCCATTCCATGCCTGATAGGGACCATATAGCATAAAGTAGAGGCTACAAAATGTTAGCTTTGGAATGATCAGCTAGAGTCATTAGTCCTGTCAAACCAGTGGCTATGAGGGCAGGAAGTCTGACTGATTGTTTACCATTACAGACCCACTTCCTAAGTACCTAAGAAAAATGCCTGGCACATACCAGATAGTCAATAAATATCAGTTAGAAGCAACTCAATAAGCTAGGCCCTGAAGGAATCCAAATCTTGGAGAATCCCCAAAAGAAAAGGTCTAAGAAGCTAGAACAATGTTATAGTTAATATGGGTACCTATACTGGGCCTCAAGACCACCTTAGTTTTTTTTTTTGAGACAGAGTATCGCTCTGTCACCCAGGCTGGAGTGCAGTGGCACGATCTCGGCTCACTGCAAGCTGCGCCTCCCAGGTTCAGGCCATTCTCCTGCCTCAGCCTCCCGAGTAGCTGGGACTACAGGCGCCTGCCACCATGCCCGACTAATTTTTTGTATTTTTTTAGTAGAGACGGGGTTTCACCGTGTTCGCCAGGATGGTCTCAATCTCCTGACCTCGTGATCTGCCCGCCTCGGCCTCCCAAAGTGCTGGGATTACAGGCGTGAGCCACCGCACCCGGCCCTCCACCTTAGTCTTACACTGAGAACCCCAGTCCTGATAACCAAAACTGGACATTAGGTCCTCAGAGCTAAAAAGACCTGGGACTAAATCTCCAAAGGCAAACTCCTCACCACCACACCCTCACACGCACATAGACACACGCACACCCTAAGAAGTCTTCCTCAAGCCCTGGCCCTGAAGGCTTTAAAGTAAGTCATTAAAAGATGATCCCATAAGAGAAGATTTTGGTTGTGATACTTTCTTTCATTCATTCATTCATTCATTCATTCATTGAAAGGGTCTCACTCTTGTCACTCAGGCTAGAGTACAGTGGCGCAATCATGGGTCACTGTAACCTCGAACTCCTGGGCTCAAGTGATCCTCTCGCCTCAGCCTAAGTAGCTGGAACTACAGTTGTACGCCACCATACCCAACTAATTTTTTTTATTTTTATTTTTGTAGAGATGGGGGGAATCTTGGTATGTTGCCCATGCTGGTCTCGAACTCCCAGCCTCAAGTAATCCTGCTGTCTTGGCCACCCAAAGTGCTAGATTACAGATGTGGGTCACTGCACCTAGCCTGGTTGTGATACTTTTAGACTGTTCCTCTCCTGTTTTAAACCAAAAATTTTCTGGAAAAGAATCTCTTTGTAATGATCTAAGTTTAAAGACCAAGGACAAAGACAGACTATATCTGGAGGCAAATGACTACAACCAAACACCACAACTCACAACTGACTATAGCCCTTTCCATAAAGCTATACTGGATGAAGGGAACTAAGGCTTGCAAGAATTTATCTAGTCTGGGAACAAAGAGATCAAAGACCACAGACCATATTGGCTAGAAGCATTCCCATAAACTGTCTACTCTTGTCAGATCTAAAACCAAGAGCAATATCAAGTATCCTGATATTTCACTTTCCCTTCCATGCCCCATCCCATGCCACAGATCCTACCACAAGGTCTAGCTGCGAGACTGAAGATAACTCCCATATGCAAGAGCCCCAAAAGATTCTTAGAAGAATAAAAGGAAATGTGTCTTTGGAATCTAAACCCATGGCAGGGCTTGGGCAGATGTAAGAGAGAGGCAGTGGCCCTTCTGCCCCTAAGGCCAGGACACCCCAGCCCTGCAGGCAGCACAGAGTTAACTACCCACCCGCTCTGAGAAGCACAAAGGTACATCACTGCAACATGCCTAACATTTACATTGCCTCTCTCTGCTCATTAAACAGGTTTTGGTTAAATAATGAACAAACTGTATTACAGACTCCAATGAGAATTCCAAAATTATAAATCAACTGGGAAAGCCCAAAGGGGCAGACAGACAGGGAGGGGGGAGAAGGATAATATTGACTAATATAAAGGGCGCAGCTTGACAGTGGATATTCCTGCCACACCTGATCAAACACACTCCGTGGGGGGAGGGGAAAGAGAGCAAGAGAGGGAAGATGGGACAAGACAGCCTGAAATTTGCATCCGGAAAAGATTAAAACGGATTCTTTGGGGATAGAGAAAATACATAATATATATTACTATAAATGCAAAACTGTACTAAAAGCTAACTCAAATGTCAAAGATTACAGTTTGAATAAATTTAAATATAAAAGCCATGTGCTTCCTTGAGTTAATGAGAGAGACATAAAAGGACAAACTGGGCCAGAAGCTGAACAGAGCCTTATGCTGCCTTTGCTGGGTAATGGGTCCAAAGCACAGCAGTGACTACAGAGACTTCCCTCCACAGTTCTGAGACCTGAGAAAAAACTGGCAAATCCATCACTTCTGCAGCCTACATTTGCCTCCTTTATAAACTGAGATATGATTCACATACTATAAAATTATCCTTTTCAAGTATACAATTCAGTGGTTTCTTGTATACTCACAAAGTTGTGCAACCATCGCTACTATCTAATTCTAGAACATTTTCATTACCCCAAAAAGGAACCCTGTAGCCATTAGCAGTCACTCTCCATACCCCCTCCCAGCCCCTGGTAACCACACATCTGTTTTAACTCCTTCAGAATAATCTAAAAGGAGTCCTGAGAGGACTTCAAGACCAAATGAGGGACAGCAGTCAAGTCTCTCTCACTGGTGGTAAGCTAAAGCTTTATCCAAAGTAACAGTATGCAAACTTTGCTCTTGGACACCCTTTTTCTTCCAAGAGCAACCCTCTTTTCAAATTTGGTATTATTAGAATATCTTATTACTCTAAATGCTATAGACCTTGTAGTCATCATACAGTTTAGGCAAATACTGACTGTAAATGTGGTCCAATGACATACATCTGTGAGAAAAACTAGTATGGACTTAGCCAACCTTACTGGAGAAAAGGACTTATTTCCTTCACAATAATGAGATAATATTCCTGGAGGAGTAGTGTAGGTAGTACTTATACATTTTAAAGATTCTTTCTACAAAAAGAGAAAAAAAAATCATTTTGGTTTACTGACAATGTCCAATGAACCACCCATTTCCAACAGTGATAGTCTTACCAATCAAGCCAGCAGAAAGCCTAGAAAAATGCAAACAGAAACCCTTTGCAAAAAAGGACCATGTCCAAGTCAGTTTCATGAGAAACTGGGTAGAAGTCCTAGAATTCCTGCTATCCCTCCTCCAATCTAAGTGGTACACCTTAACTGGTCATCTAACACAAGCACATTCCCTTCAGTTTTCTCTCCAAGTTAAAAACCCTTTCCCAGCCTCCTACCATTAATAAGCTTCCAGGAAAGCAGTCCTCCTGACACTGCCAATCAGAAAAATCTGTTTGTTTCCGTAAAAGAAACAAGAAATTAGTCATGGGTTGCAGAGTCCAGGACCACAGGGACAGCTGACCCATAAACCTGCTCCTGGGAGCCGGCACTGTGTGTGGGGTCAGAAGCAATATGAAGACCATAAATGCTCTATTTTAGGTCTATTCTGTCATTTTCTCAGGCAGGTAATATGCTAAAAACCAAGAACAATGTAGCAACCTTGGCAGGCACCATTTCAAGACATGCCACAGCTGTTGGCCTTGGAAAACACTACTCCCTTCCCTCTCACTCCAGGGGAAAGCTTAGCAACACCCAGAGATGTTCCTACCACCAATGAGAGAAATGGCTCCTGAACACACTCTGGTTTTACTAGTTCCAAGAGCAGATAATCTGGCTGGATTTCTGACCCAAGGACGTAAGGAAATCAGGCGTCAGACTCAACTTTGATAGCTCTTAAATAGTCTACAATTCCTAGACTGCATCATTCACCACAGGTATGGTCTCTGAGGTAAAATCTTGGGACATGTTAGCATGAAGAAAATAAGCATGGGATCTGGATTCAGTAGCAGGCAGGAAATGTGGCTCTGTCAGGATAGCAGCACCACCTCAGCTCCTCAAGGTTTGCAGAATGACCAAAAGGCCTACAAGGCCAGGGTGATCTCAGTCATTTTAGGGTATTCCCAGTCACTTATAACAACAATCCTTCACTGTGTATAAGATGTTTACCAAGTGTTTCCAATTATATTAACTTGTTTGATCCTCTTAATATCTCTTAAGAAGACAGTACTCTGAATTCAAAACCAAACAAAAAGAACTGTAAATCTCCATTCATTATATTTCCTTTCTAATTGGGATATGTAAGCTTTATCTGTAAAATTAAAAAAAAAAATCTGTGCAAGTAGCCAACATTCTAAAGCACTCAAGTACCAGTCGGTACAGGCCATAAAATAAGAACATGCCACCTAGTAGCAGCATTTGCCCTGCTAACTAGTCAACAATTGCCTCCTCTATACTTGATCCTTCTTAGCTAACATTTCCAAGCTGTTTCAATTGAGTGAAATTTGCTCCTTTAAAGAAAATATGGTTGGGAGGCCAAGGTGGGCGGATCACTTGAGGTCAGAAGTTCAACACCAGCCTGGCCAAAACGGTGAAACATCATCTCTACTAAAAATACAAAAATTAGCCAGGCATAGTGGCACACGCCTATAATCCCAGTTACTCAGGAGGCTGAGGCAGAAGACTTGCTTGAACCCAAGAAGCAGAAGTTACAGTGAGCTGAGATCACGCCACTGCACAAAAAGAAAATATGGGCTGAGCACGGTGGCTCACGTCTGTAATCCTAGCACTTTAGGAGGCCAAGGCAAGTGGATCATCTGAGGTCAGGAGTCTGAGACTAGCCTGGCCAACATGGTGAAACTCCGTCTCTAGTAAAAATACAAAAATTAGTCGGGTGTGGTGGTGCACGTCTGTAATCCCAGCTACTTGGGAGGCTGAGGCACGAAAATCGCTTGAATCTGGGAGACGGAAGTTGCAGTTGCAGTGAGCCGAGATCACACCACTGCACTCCAGCCTAGGCAACAGAGAGACACACTGTTTCAAAAAAAAAAAAAAAAAAGAAAGAAAGAAAGAAAATATGTAGGGAACTCTTAGATAACTTTAGCCCATGTTTAGGAAAGTAAAATAGATTTTTTCTCCAGATCTTCTCCCATATTTCTAATGAAAAGAAGAAATTTTCTTATTGTTTGTTTAATTTGCAGAAGCCTAAACACTATCCAATTACAGTCTGACATATGTCACTAGCCAAAAGCATTCCAGGGTTATACACTGCAGGAGCCCTTTGTGGTCAACAAAGGAACATAGCTCTGAGGCTGTCCCTTTCAGTCTGTATCTACATCCCCTTGGTTTTGACACTTTCCTCCTTTCCTGCCAGTGTATATGTGTGTGTGTGTGTGTATATATATACATAAAATAAACACACACACACACACACACACAAATATAAGGTACTTAATGTGTACATTCTCTTCTAATCACATGTACAGAAGCAATATAGAGCAAAGAGCCCTAAACCAGGCAACAGAGGCCTGAATTCTAGTTTTGACTCCACCTCTTAGGATTAGTGTGACCTCAGCTAAATCACTTTAAACTCCTCTGGGCTTTAACTTCTTTCACAAAAAGGGGACAATAGCTGCCATGCCTCCCTCACAGGGTTGTATAAAAGTTCAATAAGGTAATAAATGTGAAAATGGCTTTGAAAATTCTAAACATATGAATATATTATATAAGGTTACCGTGATTAGGAAAATAGGGGGCAAACAAAGGGACAAATGATTCTAGAACACATGAAGACTGAAAGATCATGAAGACTGAAACCAATGCAATAAACCAAGGATTGGAAAACTGCACCCATGGGCCAAATCTGGCTTGCAGATTCTTTTTTTTAAAGAAAATATAGGCCAGGCGCAGTGGCTCATTCCTGTAATCCCAGCACTTTCAGAGGCCGAGGCAGTGGATCACCTGAGGCCAGGAGTTTGAGACCAGCCTGGCCAACATGGTGAAACCCCGTCTCTACTAAAAATACAAAAATTAGGCAGGTGTGGTGGCACGCGCCTGTAATCCCAGCTACTTAGGAGGCTGAGGCAGGAGACTGGCTTAAACCCAGGAGGCAGAGGTTGCAGTGAGCTGAGTTCATGACACTGCACTCCAGCCTGGGCAACAGAGACTCTACCTCAAAAAAAAAAAAAAAAAAAAAAAGAAGAAAGGAAAATATAGGCCAGGCACAGTGGCTCAAGCCTGGAATCCCAACACTTTGAGAGGCCAAGACAGGAGGATTGCTTGAGCTCAGGCATTTGAAACCAGCCTGGGCAACATAGCAAGACCCTGTCTCTATGAAATAAACAAAAAGAAAATATATATTTCTCATTTATTTATATATTATCTATGGCTGCTTTTGAGCTACAAAGGCAGAGTTAAGTAGTTGCAGTTGTGTATGGCCCACAAAGCCTAAATTATTTACTATAAAGTCCTTTATACAAAAAGTTTGTCTATCCTTTCAATAAATCAAACACATATTTTTTACCAAGATTAGTAATCCACATACATATGGAGACTTACCTGTTATACTGTTTAAAACCTCCTTTAGATGACCGAAACTATGCAGCAGAGGATCCCGTTCTTCATCCTGTAGAACACATAGATTAAAGTAAGTCATTATTGGGCCAAAAGAGGAAAAGGAAAATAAAGGACAGATCAAGGGCTCTTTCTATGAATCCAATCAGAAAATCATTTAAGTTTTCCTTCTGAGGAAAAGAAAATTAGCCATAGTTCATATTTTTCTGTACCCTAATCTCTTATTTCGTAGAGATACTCTGGGCTTATACAAAATAGTGAATTCTTAAGTGCTAATCTATATCATCACCATAACACTCAAGCTACTACAGATTGCCAGGTCCTTTATATGTGTATTATTCTGTCTTCTCTCCCTTTTCATACCCACTATGTCATCATACATATTCATTTCAAAGATATTCCTGATGCCATGCTCACTTTTAAATCAATACATTTTTATGAAAGAACTTGAGAAATTTCCAAATGCACTTACCAACTATGTTCATATAAACTCCCAAGTTGGCAATTTCTAAACTTGCTTTTACAACTGGGCCAAAAATTGTTTTACACAATTCTACAAAAAAAAGTCCTCAAACATATATAGCAAAGAAAGCCAACTGTATAACAGGTAAGTTTCTTACTCATCTGATTGGTAAGATATGGCCTACTCTATATATGGAAGTTTGCTGAACCCCCAAGAAGGAGTACCATCACTAAGTCATGTTCTATGTATCAATAACTACCCTGATTTAAATAAATTTGATAGCTAATTATAGCCCTAAAGAATTAGAAAATAAAGAATCTTTCTGATACTTTTAGGCATACTAAAGAGGTCCCAAGCACAGGACTAGCTTAAGCTGTTTACAAAAATATTTAGAAGAAGAATGGTGTCATCTTTTGGGTCCCAGAGAAAAAAAGATAGCCTATATATCTGATGCTAGTTGGGATACAAAAAAACAAGATATCAAGAACAACTCTGAATTCCTACTATTCTCATTATTACTAGGAATTTGATTACTCTTTTAACCATGCCAACAGATCCCCTATAAAAACTTAGTGACCAGGCTATTTATCCATTTCCCACTTACCAGTGGTGTATGGGTGCTCCATCGGGCATTTCGTTTGATGGCCCCAACCACAATGTTAATCTCCCCTTGAATGATGTAAATATTCTTATCCACCATCTTGGCAAACCTACCAAAACAGTTAAGATAATAGTCTGGTTAATATTTGGTTACCCAAAGCATACCCAAGTTTAAAAATCAGTACCTGATAAGGTTAGAATTGTGATTTAACTTTTCAGTACCAAGATTTTCTTTCTTTCTTTCTTTTTTTTTTTTTTTTTTTTGAGGCAGAGTTTCACTCTTGTTGCCCAGGCTGGAGTGCAATGGCGTGATCCTGGCTCACCACAACCTCTGCCTCCCGAGTTCAAGCAATTCTCCTGCCTCAGCCTCCTGAGTAGCTGGGATTACAGGCATGCGCCACCATATCTGGCTAATTTTGTATTTTTTTTAGAAGAGACGGGGTTTCTCTGTGTTGGTCAGGCTGGTCTCGAGCTCCAGACCTCAGGTAATCCACCCGCCTGGGCCTCCCAAAGTGCTGGGATTACAGGCGTGAGCCACTGCACCTGGCCAGTACCAAAATTTTCTATACTCATAAAATCTGTTAGCCAGGTGCAGTGGCTCAGGCCTGTAATCCCAGCACTTTGAGAGGCAGAGGCAGGTGGATCACCTGAGGTCGGGAGCTCAAGACCAGCCTGACCAACATGGAGAAACCCTCTCTCCACTAAAAACACAAAAAATTAGCCAGGCGAGGTGGCGCATGCCTGTAATCTCAGCCACCCGGGAGGCTGAGATGGGAGAATTGCTTGGACCTGGGAGGCAGAGGTTGTGTGAGCCAAGATCGCCCCATTGCACTCCAGCCTGGGCAACAAGAGTGAAACTCCACCTCAAAAAAAAAAAAAAAAAAAAAATCTGTAATACTAAAATGAGATGAAGTCCATCTTATGTTATGAATCCAACTATCTGGCTCTCCTGGGGGTCTTTAGAAGTTCAAGGTAGTTCAAGATACAACTCAAAGCGAGTCAATCCAGAACATTTTTCAAAGGCACCTCAACAATCCTCAGGAAGCATGTCAAATTCTTCAAAGTCAATTGTTCCCAAAGTCCTATGATGCCTTTAAGTACACAGATACAACTGTAATGTCAGCTTGTTAAAAACAATATTTCTGGCCAGACATGGTGGCTCATGCCTATAATCCTAGCACTTTGGGAGGACGAGGCGGGAGGATTGCTTGAGCCCAGGAATTTAAGACCAGCCTGGGCAGCATATCGAGACACTCTCTCTCGCTCTCTCCTAAGTATATAGTCTTCCCTTTGTTCTTTTTAATCTACTCAATAAAAATTTAACTTGAATTTAAAGATTCAAGTTAAAGAAAAGAATAAAGGTTGTTGGAAGCATAGTGTTGGTTTAGAACCACAGTTGCAATGTCAGCGTAAAGGCTGCATCCAGACAAGGTGAAGTGGCTCACACCTGCAATCCCAGCACTTTGGGAATCCAAGGCAGGAGAATCAGTTCAGCCCAGGAGTTGAGACCAGCCTGGGCAAACAGTGAGACCCAGTCTCTACCAAAAAAACAAAACTAAAAAATTAGCCAGGCATGGTGGCATACACCTGTAGTTCTAGTTACTGGGGAGGCTGAGGCGGGAGGATCACTTGAGCTCAGGAGTTCGAGGCTGCAGTGAGCTATGACCCCACAACTGCACTCCAGCCTGGGTCACAGAGCAAGACACTATCTCTAAAAATATATAAATATAAATATAAACAAATGACTGCATCCAATCTGCCCAGTCAGCTCCAGAAAACTGGACAGTGACAGTGACAAGACCTTTGAAAAGTTCTGAAAACTCATATTAACTGACAGCAAGAAAGCATTAATATGATATGTAAATATAAAATAAAAGGTCTGTGCTAATATACCCAAACTTATAACCATAATTATTCCTAGAGAAGGTGCTGTGAAAACAGGGTGCAATCAGAGGATACTTGAGCCTTATCTGTAATCGTTTTGTCTTTTGGGGTTTTTTTGAGACAAGGTCTCACTCTGTCACCCAGGTTGGAGTCCTGTGGCACTGTCATGCCTCACTGCAGACTTGAACTCTTGGGCTCAAGCAATCCTCCTGCCTTAGCCTCCTGAGTAGCAGGGACTTCAGGCGCACACCACCAACCCAACTAATTTTTGTACTTTTTGTAGAGATGGGGTCTCACTTTGTTGCCCAGGCTGGATCTGTAATATTTTAACTTTTTACAAGAAGGTCGGGCACTGTGGCTCATGCCTGTAATCCCAGCACTTCAGGAGTGTCAAGGCAGGTAGATAACCTGAGCTCGAGACCAACCTGGCCAACATGGTGAAACCCATCTCCACTCAAAATACAAAAATTGGGCAGGTGTGGTGGAGGGCGCCTGTAATCCCAGCTACTCGAGTGGCTGAGGCAGAAGAATCGCTGGAACCTGGGAGGCAGAGGTTAAAGTGAGCCGAGATCATGCCACTGTACTCCATCCAGCCTGGGCAACAGAGCCAGACTCCATCCCAAAAAAAAAAAAATTTTTTTTTTTTACAAAGAGAATGTATTACTGTACTATCAATATAATTAAACATTAATAATGATAAGAGGTATATAATTTATGTCCTTGAGGCATTTATACAGTTTAGTGGAATAGATACAAAAACAGACACAGCCAGAGATAATAGAGAAAGAAATGTACCTAGCAAGTAGCTCAATTTGCATATTTTGCATAAGATGAGGCCCCCCAAGAAAGTGAAAAGCATGAAAACCACCATGATAAAGGAAAAAGAAACTGGTACAAATTTTGTCCAGGGGCCATGCGCAGTGGCTCACACCTGTAATCCCTAACACTTTGGAAGGCTGAGGTGGGCAGATCATTTGAGCCCAGGAGTTCGAGACCAGCCTTGGCAACATGGCGAACCCTGTCTCTATAAAAAATACAAAAATTAGCCAGGTGTGGTGGTGCACACCTGTAGTCCCAGTTGCCAGGGAGGCTGCGGTGGGAGGATTGCTTGAGGCCGGTAGATTGAGGCTGCGGTGAACCGCGTTCGTGCCACTGCACTCAAGCCTGGGCAACAGAGCGAGACTCTGTCTTAAAATAATAATAATAATGTGTCCATGCCCATGACAGCTCCCCAGTCCACAAGGGAATCCAACACAAGATTTATATTAATGACAATTTAAAAAACTAGGTTAATCTCAGAAGACTATCTGCTTTCCAAATGCTCTAGGAACACAACAACGTTCTCTTCTGAGAAGTGTCAATGATATGAATGTACAACCACGCTCTCTTCTGAGGAGGAGGAGAACTTAGAAATAGAAGAAAGATATATTCAAAAATGATTTAAAGTATCAGAAGAGAAAAGATTAAATCTTTCCTGGTATTTCCCTTTCCTTAAATTATGTAGGCAAGATGAATATGCTCTAGGTCTCTGGAAGGACTTGTAAGAAAATGCTAAGAGGTTACGGCCTCCAGGGAAAGAAACTGGATGACTATGGAACTGAGTGGTGGAGGAGTGAAAGGAAGACTAACTTTTCTCTGTATATTCTTTTTTACCTTTTGAATTTTGTGTCACAAACATATATTACCTATTAACTACTTTTAAATTTTAATCAGCTGATTGACTAAAAATGAATAAGCCCTTTAGAAAAGAAGTAACCACTTTCTAAGACAGCAAAGGTCTAAGCAAAAAATCATTGTAAAAAAGAAACATCTAGGGCTGGGCGCAGTGGTTCACGCCTATAATCCCAGCACTCTGGGAGGCTGAGGTGGGCAGATCACCTGAGGTTGGGAGTTCAAGACCAGCCTGGCCAACATGGTGAAACGCCACCTCAACTAAAAATACAAAAATTAGCCAGGTGTGGTGACACACACCTGTAATCCCAGCTGCTTGGGAGGCTGAGGCAGGAGAATCACTTGAACCCAGGAGGTGGAGGTTACAGTGAGCCGAGATCGCGCCACTGCATTCCAACCTGGGCAACAGAGTGAGACTCTGTCTCAAAAAAAAAGAAACATCTAGGGAATGAAGAGGAATTATTTTCAAGTACTATGCAGAGCTGCCTAATCTCCTTCTAGGTCTCTGAGTATGTCCCCTCACTCAGGGAATCTCCAAACAGTTGTGCCCTTCAGCTTCAGATGGGAAACTGATGAACCACTTGCTGCCTGGTAGCCAATGGCCAAGAAATCCCTTGTCACAAGGTCATAAAGGCCTGCAGAAACCTCATAAAAGTATAGTAGAAACGAACTTAAGATTTATCTTGTGTCAGAAATAACAAGAGAAATACATTCATTATGTACCCACACAAATGAAAAATTAATAGAAAAAAATAAATAAGAGAGGGAACAACTAAATAAATACCAACTAACACCCTTAGCCAGATAAGCCACTGGCCCAGAGACTCTGAGTAACATGTACCCTTGAAACCACTGTCCATTTAAAGCTGGGTCTAGAACATTCCCCTAGTGCTTTGTGGCATCCCAGTTACCTCAACAGGATCCAAAGAGGAGTCACTGTATCACTTGGCAACTCTGTCTATATCCAACAAAAGCAGGAGAAAAAGAAACAATAAATTGTATTCTTATTTAATGGAATACCAAAAATATATCTCAGGTTATTTAAATATGAAAAGCAAAACTTGAAATCTCTTAGAAGCTAATATATGAGAATATTTTCTTTTTGATTTTTTTTTAGAGATAGGGTCTTGCCATGTTGCCCAGGCTGGACTCAAACTCCTAGGCTCAAGCAATCCTTCCACAACAGCCTCTTGGGTAGCTGGGACAACAGGTGTGTGCCACAGCACCTGGCTACAGGAGAGTATTTTTATAAACTCAGCATAAGGGAGAAGTACCTAAACAAGAAACAAAAAGCAAAACCTCTTTAAAAAATTGGTGAATTCAACCATGTTAAAATTAAAAATGCCTGTTCAAAAGACAACATAAAAAAGAGGGAAAAGATAAGGCACAAACCAGAAGAAAATATTTGAGGCACATATAACTAATATAAAGGAGTAATATCCAGAGTATACAATAACTGCTACAAAACTATAAGAACTAGACATATAACCCCTCCCCAAAATTGGCAACAGAGATGAATAGGTGTTTCACAGAATAGGAAACATAAACAGCAAATAAATATATGAAAAGATTATTAGCTTCATTAATAATCAGGAAAATTACAAAATAAGATTATAATGATATACCACTTTACATTCCTGAAATAGCAAAACACTTTAAATCTGATAATACTTAAAAGGCCAGGTGCTCACGCCTATAATCCAGCATTTTAGGAGGCCGATGCAGGAGGATCACTTGAGCCAAGGAGTTTGAGAACAGCCTGGGCATCATAGCAAAACTCCATCTCTACAAAAAATTTAAAAATTAGTAGGGCATGGTGGCATGTGCCTGTAGTCCCAGCTACTTGAGAGGCTGAAGTGGGAGGATCACTTGAGCCTAGGAGGTCAAGGCTGCAGTGAGCCACGATCACACCACTGTACTCCAGCCTGGACAACAGAGTAAGACCCTGTCTCAAAAAAAAAATTGTTTTTAAGTTGGTAAAAAATGCAGACCAAGTGGCTGGTATGTATCTAAATTAATATGAATTTGAATAACAATTTGGCATTATCTTACAAAGCTAAAGCACTTCATATCCTATATTTCAGCAATTCCACTTCTAGGACTATACCCCAGAGAAGCTCACACAAAAAAATTGAGAATAGTGGCAAGCGGCAGGGAGTGTGGGGGAACTAACAGGGAAGGGCATACATACATGCAGCCTCAGTTTTGGTGATGTTATTTTTCAAGCTGGGTGGCAGCCATTGGTGCCCCATATAAGCTACACATATTCTTTGTCTAAAATAGCCCCTCGGCTGGGGGCAGTGGCTCATGCTTGTAATCCCAGCACTTTGGGAGGCCAAAGCAGGCAGATCAACTGAGGTCAGGAGTTTGAGACCAGCCTGGCCAGCATGGTGAAACCCCCACTCTACTAAAAATACAAAAATTAGCTGGGCATGATGGCAGGGGCCTGTAATCCCAGCTACTCAGGAGGCTGAGGCAGGAGGATTGCTTGAACCCAGGAGGTGGAGGTTGCAGTAAGCCAAGATTGCATCACTGGTCTCCAGCCTGGGCAGCAGAGCAAGACACCGGCTCAAAAAATAATAATAATAAAATAAAATAAAAGACCCTAAAAAGTTAAAAAGTTCCTTTTTTTTTTTTGAAACAGGGTCTCATTCTGTCGCCCAGGCTGGAGTGCAGTGGTACAATCTTGACTCACTGCAATATCTGCTTCCCAGGCTCAAGCGATCCTCCCACCTCAGCCTCCCAAGTAGCTGGAACTACAGGCATGAGTCACCATGCCTGGCTAATTTTTTTGTATTTTTTGTAGAGACAACATTTTGCCATGTTGCCCAGGCTGGTCTCAAACTCCAGAGCTCAAAGCAATCTGCCTGCCTTGGCCTCCCAAAATGCTGGGATTATAGGTGTGGGCCACCACGCCACATCATTCCTACTTTTTAAAGTCATGGTCTTTGCTGCCTCTTTGCCTTTGCATATGAAGCTCCCTTTCTATTCTGAATGTTTTTTCTCACTCTTGTCCACCTGATAAACCCTTACTCATTCCATCCAAAAGTCAATGAGGGAGTCAGAATATCACAGTGGTTCTAAGAACAATCTTAAAACCACTTATTTATTTATTTATTTATTTTTCCACTTTTTTTTTTTTTTTGAGACAGCGTTTCCCCCTTGTTGCCCAGGCTGGAGTGCAATGGCACAATCTCGGCTCACCGTAACCTCTGCCTCCCAGGTTTAAGCGATTCTCCTGCCTCAACCTCCCAGCAGCTGGGATTACATTCATGCGCCACCATGCCGGGCCAATTTTGTATTTTTAGTAGAGATGAGGTTTCTCCGTGTTGGTCAGGCTGGTCTCAAACTCCCGGCCTCAGGTGATCTGCCCACCTCGGCCTCCCAAAGTGCTGGGATTACAGGTGTGAGCCACTGCGCCCAGCCCTTTTTTCCACTTTTTTAGCAGAGTATTTTTAGTAGAGTTGGGGTTTCACCATGTTGGCCAGGCTGGTCTCAAACTCCTGGTCTCAAACTCCTGACCTCAAGTGATCTGCCTGCCTCGGCCTCTCAAAGTGCTGGGATTATAGGCATGAACTACCATGCCCGGCCACCCACAGCACTTTGTAGTTATCTCTAAACATATCTTGGCTGGGGACAGTGGCTGATGTCTGTGATCCCAGCACTTTGGGAGGCCAAGGAGGGAGCATCAGTTGAGCCTAGAAGTTCAAGACCAGCTTAGGCAACATGGCGAGACCCTGTCTCTACAAAACATAAAGAAAAATTGGCCAGGTGTGGTGGCGCACACCTGTTGTCCCAGCTACTTGGGAGGCTAAGGCAGGAGGATCACTTGAGCCCAGGAGTTCCAGGTTGCCTTGCGGTATGATCGTGCCACTGTACTCCAGCCTGGGTGACAGAGTGAGACTCTGCCTCAAATAAATAAATGAAAATAAAAATAAACACATCTTATACTAATTTATAATTATTTATTTAGTGTATCACCACCATGGGACTATCAGGCTCTATCTCAGGGGGAAAGACCATGATTTATTTACCCTTTTATCTCCAAAGCCTGACACATAGTAAGAAAAATGATCAATAAATACTAGATGAACAAATGAAATAACATCAAGACTGACTCTTCAAGAGTGGTACAGCACACATCCACCTCATGAGAAAAATGACTTCATAGAAGACAATAACTCTGAGCCACACTGGCAAACCTTTTTTTGATAATATATATTTGCTTCTCTACCAGAAGTTACAAACCTTCCATACAGGTAAAAAGAACCCACATTTACCTACCAGCCATATCATAATGCTTCTTTTTTCACGTCTATCTTCCTGACATCTCCTTAAGTGTTATTTGCACATTCACATTTTTGTGAAATATATAATTTTTAATGTAACTGTCAATTCTTCATATATGCCTTATTTTCTTTGGCTCTAAATAGCTGTTTTTAGTACACTAGTGTTTAAGTGGTTTTTTTTTTTTTCTTAATCACTTTTATGGGGTTTGGTTTTGTGTTTGTTTGGTTGTTTGTTTTGAGACAGAGTTTCGCTCTTGTCGTCTAGGCTGGAGTGCAGTGGCGCAATCTCGGCTCACTGCAACCTCCACCTCCAGGGTTCAAGTGATTCTCCTGCCTCAGCCTCCCGAGTAGCTGGGATTACAGGCGCCCACAACCACGCCTAGCTAATTTTTATATTTTTAGTAGAGACAGCGTTTCACCATGTTGGCCAGGCTGGCCTTTAACTCCTGACCTCAGGTGATCTGCCTCCCTTGACTTCCCAAAGTGCTGGCATTACAGGCATGAGCTACCACGCCCGGCCTCTTAATCACTTTTAAACATTTCCTTGGCCAGGTGCAGTAGCTCTCATCTTTAATCCCAGCACTTTAGGAGGCCAAAGCAGGAGGAATGGTTGAGCTCAGGAGTCAGAGACCAGCCTAGGCAACATAAATTAAAAAAAAAAAAAAAAAAATTAGTGGGACATAGTGATACATGCCTGTAGTTCCAGCCACTAGGGAGCCTAAGGTAGGAGGATCAGTTGAGCCAAAAAAAATCAAGGCTGCAATGGGCTATGATGACACCACTGGACTCTGGGCAACATAGTAAAATCCTGTGTCTACAAAAAACACAAAAATCAGGCAGGCGTGGTGGCACGCACCTATAGTCCCAGCTACTCAGGAGGCTGAGATGGGAGGATCACTTCAGCCTGAGAGGCAAAGGTTGCAGTGAGCCGAGATCTCACACCACTGCATTCCAGCTTGGGTGGCAGAGAGAGACTCTGTCTCAAAAAAAAATTATTCTTATCCAACTAGCAAATAAATTCTCCAAAGGCAAAAGCGCAATTTTGTTTTTCTTTTTCATGATGCCTTTGTGTCTAATACAGAGCTGGGCAAACCAAGAAAAACTGATGGACTTTCTGAAAAGGTAGATGGTAGTAGGGAGCTAAAGGACCAGCAATAGGCCCTTCTAAGGTTTATGTTCACTCAATACCTTTAAAAGCCAGAGAAGGCTGGGCGCATTGGCTCACACCTATAATCCCAGCACTTTGGGAGGCCGAGGTGGGCGGATCACGAAGTCAAGAGTTCAAGACCAGCCTGGCCAATATGGTGAAACCACATCTCTATTAAAAATACAAAAATTAGCTGGGTGTGGTGGCGTGCACCTGTAGTCCCAGCTACTTGGGAGGCTAAGGCAGGAGAATTGCTTGAACCCAGGAGGCGGAGGTTGCAGTGAGCCAAGATCACACCACTGCACTCCAGCCTGGGCAACAGAGCAAGACTCCATCAGAGAAAAAAAAAAAAAAAGCCAGAGAAACACTAAAGATGCAGAGCTTTTAACATTTCCAGAGCTGGCCTAGGAACACATCATAGTTCTGTGCTTTATTGAGAATAACCAAAGTTACTAAACTAGGAAACAACTTACTGAGCTCAAGAAATTTACTTAAAGGGTGGAAGTAAAAGAAGGTTAAACTGGGAAAAAAGCTGGTGCCCTGACAATGCATCACTGGAAAATCCTCCCAGACCTGATAATCGGGTGACCAGGGTACCTCAGCTCTAGCATGCCATCTCCTCCCCCTGTGGAGATTCTGAGAGTATCTCAAAAACCGTTTACAAGGTAAGCTACTAATATGTCCAAAGCTGTCCCTTCTGCCAGCTTGGAGATGAAAAATAAAACAAACCTTCTCTATCTCACTCCATCTTTTAGCCACTCAGGGCACCCAAGGTACAAAGGTGACAGCTGGCAGAGTAGGACAAAGAAAAAAAGTCTATGTGATTATGTATAGAGAACTGCAGTGATTAAGTCTCATAAGGCCTGCCCATTTTGTTTATTGAGGGTCATCATCCAGTAACCATTGGGCAGAATCCAGTCCACAGACATATTTTCTTTGGCCTGAAAAAGGCTTAAAAATACTTTTAACTAGTTTCCAACAATTAGAAAACACAATGATCTAAATTTCCAGTTTCTCCTGAAAAATAGAAAGAGTGGTCATTCTGTGCCTGCACTCTAAAACAGTAACAATCTGCTGAAAAAGGAGCAGTTGGCTCTTCTAAATAAAGGAATGGGTTGAGCATGGTGGTTCATTCCTAAAATCCCAGCACTTTGGGAGGCAAAAGTGGGAGGACTGCTTGAGTCTAGGAGTTCGAAACCAGCCTGAGCAATACAGTGAGACCTTGTCTCTACAAAATATTAAAAAATTAGCTGGGCATGATGGCGCACATCTGTGTTCCCCGCTACTTGGGAGGCTGAGGTAGGAAGATCACTTGAGCCCAGAGGTCAAGGCTGCAGTGAGCTGTGATCGTTCCTCTGCACTCCAGCCGGGGTGACAGAGCAAGACCCTGTCTCAATAAAAAGAAATTAAAATTAAAGACAAAAAAAAAATAAAGGCATGGGTTGTCCAGTACACAACAGTCCCCACTAATCCTAATACATTCCCATGGGACTCAATTAACTCATTTACATTACCTGCCTGGCATTTAGGCACATGAGCTCGTAACCCCTGGTTTATATGATTGGCAAACCATTACTTTGCCATCATACTTCCATGATCATTTACACTACTATTGCATCTATCGTAATTTCCACTACTACTAGAACAAATAATCACTTCTATGATCACTTCTATTATTATTGGGGTTCCAAATCAGCACACTGCTTTATTATATTTTCATTTAGTTAAACAACTGCAGTTGAACATACTGAAATATTAAAAAAAAAAAAGAGTAACAGCTAAACAGCAGCTCATTATATTTACATAGCTCTTCTAGCCTGAGGATAAAATGTCAACAAAAACATACACCCTTAAATTCAATCCCACCATTAACCCAACAACAGAATCATTCTAATCAGTCACACAGAGCCACAGGGATATAGTGTGTGATCAATCAATGAGAAGTGTCATACAAAGATTAGGGTGATCCTTGCAGTGAGTACTCTATAAATAGAGTCTCCTCAAAAGCAAGAGCTGTGTCTTCTTCCTCTTTAGCTGCCCACAGCAGCCAGTCTAAGTACCCTATCAATGAGGTTATTATGTGAAAGTGGCAGTCATCCTGACTTCTGGAAAAGAGGGAAATAAAATAGTAGTGTAACTTTGAGAACTCTGAGCTGAAACTGGGATTGGTGCCCAGCTACTGAGGAGATATGTCTATAGCCTGAGTTCCCACTGTGCCAATGAGCATCACTGTCAAGACTGGAACATACTGTCTACAAACACCATTAAAAAGAAGCTCAAATACAAGCTTGGGACTTGTATTTGAAGGATGAATTTTCTGATTTGTGGGTAGGAGTGGGAATTATTCCTATCTAGAAAATTATTCCTATCTAGAAATGACATTTAGGATTAAAAAAAAGAAAGAGAGAGAAAGAGAAAACGTTTTGATGCCTCTATAGTCACCCTTAGGCTCAACTGAGGATGACTGGATCCTGGATTGATCACACTGCCTACCCAGAGACTAGATTGCCTGTTATGCAAAGCATATCAACTCAACAGGGCAATGGCCCAAGTGAGCAAGGCAGGATCATCAAACCTGGGTACCTCCTGAGGTATGTCATTTCATTTGCTGCGTTCAACTACTTTCTTGGGGGCGGGGAGAGGGGAGGAATTCTACAACTTAGATCAGCAAGTTAAAATGCAAATAGTTTCCTGTACCATTTCCATCTAAATCAACACAGGTGAAGCATAAATAATGCCATCCCCCTTCTCCCAACACACACAAAAATTTCAATTTCATAAGGACGAAGGTAGGAAGGGAAAAGGGAAATTATGAAATTTCAATTTCATAAGGACAAAGGTAGGAAAAATTGAGTTAGTCATTCCAAGATCCTAAATAGTTTTCTCTTCTGACACTATGAGGTTTTGATCCTCCTTGTTACTACCTCATCATGCAAAAGTGCAAAGTGTTCCTGACTGCCAGGGCCAAAAGCAGGCCACAAGTCCTGATCACATACTGAAACTAATCCCAGATAGAGATAACGTTTATTGAGTGCCCACTACATACCAAAAGGTATTAGGTTGATCCTGCTCTTAACCTACTACATGCTCTAGCTAGGCCACTGCACATACATGCTACTACTTTTAAGAAGTGCATTAACTGAGCAGTCCCAAAGCAGACCTTTCCATTTGTATCCTCCACAGGGCCTAGAGTGCCTTTTATACCTGAATTAATGCACAAGTTTCCACATTGTGCATTAAAAAACACCATCTACACTATTCCTTATTTCTAAAAGCATTCGTTACCCTTGGTGGACTTTTATAGCTTTACAACACAGCAGTTTATCAAAGGTCATCACAGTGCCATAAACTACTCTCTAGGGTTATGTTCCATCATTCACTCTGGGGCTCTGACCCTACAATTGGCTGAAAATCTCTCATGACTCTTTTTGCCCACTAAACATAATAGGCCGACAATACCAAACTTTGCCAGTATTCAAATATCTCTCTCTGCTGTCAGTCAAATATGTCATAATAGAGTGGTTTCCTTATGATTAAGCCTCATCTCCTTAGTGAAGATCTGAGAGAAAAATGTCAACAAAAACATACACTACAAAAGAATGCCTGTGAAAGATTGTATAAAGGAACAAACAGGCCCAGAAGATAAGTATAGTGTTTACATACAGACCCAGACTGGCAGCTGAGCTGTCCTGTAAGAGGGAAGCCTTCTCATAGCCCAGTTCCCTGCGCTGCTATAACCTCAAGCCTTCCACACGTCCCTCTGCTGACAACCTGATTCTAGGGTGCACTAGTTCATCATTATTAATGAAGCAGTTCCTTTGTATTAGTGAGGCAATCACAAAGAAGTAGACGCTGTACAGAATCTAGAGAGACTTTCACATCTAAAGTCTGAAAACCCATAAAAGTAGACACAATGCTCCTTAGGTTTGCTTTCAGCTTTTGAGTACTGGGCTCTTCAGGATGCAGAAAGCGCTGGAAAGGAGAAGCTAAATACTAGGTCAAGCCTGGGAAAACAGAAGATTTGGGCACCTGCAAAGGATCAGTAATGAGAGCAGAAATCGCCCCTCCTGCGGCAGAGGCATGACCTTTGCCCCTGCATACCTCCCTGTTCCCTCCCACAACAACCCTTCCCTCGTCTTATTCCTGTCCGCTGCGTCCTTAGCCCACCTTGGCTCGCCCAATTTAAGGGCCCTTCCCACTAATTCCCTATTGCGATGTCAGGGCGGCCTTCACGACACCGGAACTCTAGGAAGAGACTTCGCTGACCTGTCAGCGGATCCAAAATGGCGGGGCCTAGTCCCAGGACCGGCAGCCGCTGCTCATGTCCAGCCCGCACCCCGGAGGCGTCTCCGAGCAGCTCTCCCGGCTCTGGTAGCAGATGGGAGAAGAGAAGGAGCCTGTTTCCTGGAAATTGAGGCCGAAGTCAGGGTGGGACTGCACAGTCCGCCAGGATGAGTCGTCCGGGACGGGCAGTAGAGCCGGGTACCTTCCCTGTCAGCTCACTGACGTGGTAACTAGCCTCAGTCTAGCCCGCTGCCTGGTAACTGCGCGAGCCCTGCCGCGCGCAGCCAATCATAGCTTTGCACCGTGAAAAGTAGCATTCCGACTATCCAATCGAATAAAGGAAATTGGCTTCAGGAGGCGGGTAGTGCCTAAAGAAGCGCGATTACAAGGGAAAGAAAGGGTATGTTAGGGGACAACCAACGGATACGAGTACTCTCTGAGTGACAGTTTAAAAAACCAATAAAAAATGAGGAACTGGGCTGGGCGGCTAGAGAGGTGGAGTTAGGTAGAGTTCGGTTGCAGTGCGCGGTTTGGCAGTGGCTGCTGGGCATTATGGGGAAAAAGGCTACAATTGGCTGGAAAGGGGCGGGGTCCGCTTTGAGAACTTGAGCGGGCATCCCTACTCCCCTGTCCACGTATTATCAAAGTTACCTGGGCCAAGACCATGCCCCTTGAGGAATCACTCCTTTTCGAGGCAGCTCTGGGCTCCCTTCATTCTAAAAACAAGTCCAGCGATCTATTCCACACCCTGCTCTCCTCGCCCTCTTGTCCACCTTCCCTGTCGTGGCTTCTCACAGTTATGTCTGTCACGTCCCAACTCTGTTTCAGCGTCCTCTGCCCCACTCCCATCATCCAGAAATAGAGAAAATGGGACGTAGCAGAAGCCCTGGATATCTAATTTAAGTCTCTTCATTTTACATTATAGGAAACAGCCCCAGGGTGGAAGGCTGGGCCCATGTTCACATAATTAGTAAATAGCAGAGCAGAGAGACGAACCCCTGGGTCTCCTCACCCCCAGGCCAACTCTTTTCATCGCCTTTTGTCACCTCTTATGCCTTAGTATATCGGGCTTTGACTCCCGGTCTGCCTTTCATACCAAGCCTTTGACGGGCCTTATCCACCAGGCTAAATACGCAGCTTAGCCCACCTCATCAGTGATAGGAAACAGAAGTCTTTCTTGTTTGCCTTAGAAACGCTAAGGGGCCTGAGGGTTGGATGCCCACCTGTTTTCACTGTCTTGCCCCCAGCTGCCTCCTCCCCTTGCAAGAGATGATAGAGGTTACTAAGCTATTTAGAATTACCTGTATTACCTGGAAGTGAGAATGCGTGAGAAGAGGACAAGAGGATGGGTTTTCTCCTAGGAGACTGAATCATGAAATTCCCAGCCTATTTGGGACACTAGAGCCCCAGTGTCCCTGCAGACCTGGAGAAGCTGCTGGGAGGCAGTGAAAAAAAAATACCTAATTCTTTCCATACATCCTCCCAATTATGGACGACCCAAGTCCAGGGAAGCTCTATAACTAACCACATAGGAAAGTAGTCTCAAAACCAGACATCCAAAGACCATCCGTGTGCTACGATGCGCTATTTTTTTGTTTTGTTTTGTTTTTTTGTCTTTTGTTTGTTTGTTTGTTTTGAGAGAGTCTTGCTTTGTCATCCAGGATGGAGTGCAGTGCTGTGATCTTGGCTCACTGCAACCTCCACCTCCTGGGTTCAAGTGATTCTCCTGCCTCAGCCTCCCAAGTAGCTGGGATTACAGGCATCTGCCACCACACCAGGCTAATTTTTGTATTTTTAGTAGAGATGGGGTTTCACCATGTTGGACAGGCTGGTCTCGAACTCCTGACCTCAGGTGATCCACCCGCCTCAGCCTCCCAAAGTGTTGAGATTACAGGTGTGAGCCACCACACCTGGCCACGATGCTCTAGTGTAAAGCACCCATCAGATATCAGACGTGAAGAACCCCTCAGTAACTTCCTACACCTGCACATTGGGCTTCTGGTCGGTGGGTCCAGCTGAGGATCTAGCCTCTATCACCCAAAGAGAGTCAGGGAAAGAGGATATACCATCATAGCACCTCTTTCCACATTACCTCAAAGCCATTTTCCTCTTCATTTGAAAACTGAGAGTTGGTGTCCTGGGCCTGTCTCAGATTGAGAGGTCCTGGAAAGCCGATTGGAAAATCCTCTAAGTGGGCCAAAAATTTCTGCTCGCCAATATCTACTTCTACATACCTCCAGAAATTCATCATTCTAAAAGCATGTGATTGTGCAATAGAGATGGGGAGGAGAGAGATGACAATTCCCTAGTCCCTCCTAACCACTAATCATCATCTTACCAGGCAGAACATCTTCCTCATAGATTTCAGTGTGACATTTATTGAGATTCTACATTATGCCTGGGAATAACAGACATGGTCCTTACCCTCCTAAATTTTATTATCATAGCAGACAACACATAAGCTGATCCCTTCAATATGGTGGGTGGTGTAATAGAAGGTATACACTGAGGGTCATGAGAGCAAGGGGCTAAACTGAGAGTTCAGAAAAGGCTTCCCAGAGAAAATAAGACTTGAGTGGAACATTGGAGGAGTAGGAATTGACAATATAAAGATGGGTTACTTTCACAGGAAGGGCCAGAGGTGTGCAGGACACTACTAGGAAATTGGAGATGAAGACAAGGTCAGGTCCTGAAGGTCTTGTATGCCAGGCTAGGGAGCTTGACCTTTATCCTAAGGGCAATGGGAGTCACTGAACAGTCAAGACATGACTGCTCAGATTTGCCTTAGGGGCATATTGTGTGACTGGGCTTAGGCTCTTTTTTTTTTTTTTTTTTGAGACAGAGTCTTGCTCTGTCGCCCAGTCTGGAGTGCAGTGGCGCGATCTCAGCTCACTGCAAGCTCTGCCTCCTGGGTTCACGCCATTCTTCTTCCTCAGCCTCCCCAGTAGCTGAGACTACAGGCACCCGCCACCAAGCCCGGCTAATTTTTTGTATTTTTTAGTAGAGATGGGGTTTCACCGTGTTAGCCAGGGTGGTCTCAATCTCCTGACCTTGTGATCCGCCCGCCTCGGCCTCCCAAAGTGCTGGGATTACAGGCATGAGCCACAGTGTTTGGCCTGGGCTTAGGCTCTTCGGAGCACCCAAGCAACATAGCCTAACTGGGAGAAGAGAAGGAGCCTGTTTCCTGGAAATTGAGGCCTAAGTCAGAGAGGGCCGAAGTCACAGTCTGCCAGGATGTTCCTTGGTCATCTGTCCTGTCCCTTGCAAATTCCTAACCAGCAGGCACCAAGGCCACACCTTGCCCACAGGACTTAACCTGGTACCACCAGCGGGAAACCAGCCCTGCTGAAGGAGGGAGAGCACAGCCTAAGCAAGACAAGGGTACAGACTGAAAGGCAATGCCTTTGGAGTGCCCAGCCCAAGCCCTGAGATCCAGCAGGAACCTCCTCTTAATTGTTTTGCGCGGGGAGGGAGATGATAGTTACTCGTCCAAGTTCACTCAGTGATGGTGCAGTTCGTGGCAGCGTTGGAATACTACTTTGGTTTGTATCATTCCAAACCCTGCTGTCTCCACGAAGTCACCTTCCTTGGAGAAGAAGGGGGAAATGAAGAAGAGGAAAGATATGAGGAAAGAGGAGCAGAGAGAAAGAGAAATGAGTCTTTTAAAGTGGCAGAGGAAGGAGAATGGTAAACAGCAGGAGCGAAGCGGCTGAGGAGAAAGAAGAGGAAAGAAAGGCGAGACGTGGGAGGATTGGAACAGAGACAAAAGGGAGGAGAGACGGACAGCGACAAGTGGAGAAAATCGGCGAAACTTGAGTGGCAGAGAAGTCTGAGCGCTGAGACCCGGCGGCCCCGTGCGCCTTCCCACCTGGCGCCGATCCACTTTCCTCGGGGTAGCGGCCCAACCCACTTCGCTGCCAGCCGATCCCTTTTACCCGTGGCTACCGGGACCACTCTACTCTCGCCCACTTGGCTCTGCCTAAGCGTCCTAGCCGGAGCGCGGTCTCTGCCACGTGGGGAGGGGCGCGGCCGAGTTGCTGAAGAGCGCTTCTGATTGGCCAGAGGGCGGGGTTCTTGGCGTCTCGCCGGCCAGACCCCTCCCTCAAAGGCGGGGCCTGGAGATCCACAGCTGGAAAGGGCGGAGCCCCAGCAGGGCAGCTGGAAAGGGGCGGGGCCTGACGCGCGCGGCTCGCCGCGGCGGGCTGGGGGCGCCCTGGTCTGCCATAAAGTGAATGGGCGCCGGCTGGGGGTGGCAGTACGCGGTGAGGCTCACTCCCTCCGAGAGTCCAGGAGCGCCCGAGCGGAGAGGCGGCCCGGGAGCAGGGGGGCGGCCCCCACTCCGGCCGGGTGCCCGGCCCCTGGCCCCTGCCTGCCCTCTAGATCGCCGCCGCAGCCGCCGCTACTGGGAGTCTGCCTGTTGCAGGACGCACTGTGAGTGTTTGACCATTCTAAGGACAGGGGCTCATGGGGCCGAGGAGCTATTGCTGGACCTTGGAATCCCTAAAACGAGACCTGGGGCAGCTGAACTCCGGTGCCTTGGGAACAGGTCGAGAATGGGAGGGCGGACTGCAGACCTGGGGCCAGGACTTGGGAAAAGGGAAACTCAGGGTAAGAACCAGGGGATAGGGAAGGGGGAGACTCAGAGGATCCGGAACGAAGCCGGAGACTTGAAACCAGGATAGGGGCTTCGCGAGGCAGGGAGTAGGGAGTCTGGAAACCATTACCAGAAAGCGCCCTGGAATCCCAGGGCACGGGGCAGGCGGCCAGGGAGCGAAAGGGGTTACAGAGGCCCTGGCCAGCGGGGGAGCTGGCGGGGCGGCCCCCAGTGTGGGGGCAGTTGACGGCGCCCGATGCCCCTCGGCCTAGGCTCAGACTCCTGGGGCTGGGAGCCGGGGTGCGCCTGGTCGCACACGCTTCTCTTCCCAGCTGCTCCGCAGTTGGAATAGGAGCTGTGTTGTGAGAGCCCGGCCGCGACTGAGTCAGATGGCCGCTGTGCGGATCAGAGTGACCAGGCGGCGGGTATAGTGGATCTGGCTTGGGGTGTCTGGGCCCAGAAGGGTCCTGACTTGAGGCCGCCTCAGAATCGGACAGAATGTCCGCGGTGCATGGGGCTCGGAGCGGACAGAATGTCCGGGTAGCGAAGTGGGTCTCTCCGGAGCGGGAGTTGTGTCTGGCAGTGGCGGACAGAATGTCCCTGGCTGGGTGGCATGTCCGTCTACCCAGCAGCGCCTGCCCAGCTGCTGCGTGTGCGATGGGGTCGGCTGCGGTGGGTCACCTCAAATCCCAGCTCACACTTTGCAAACTTGTTTCAGCTCCTTCGGGCTGCGAAGCTGTGAGCAGGGAGCGAGAGTAAAGGCTACAACCTGGCCTTGGGGTGAGGTGGGCTGGGACACATGCCCCCTTCAATTCAGAATAGATCAGAGCATCACTCTGTACTTCCAGAATCCAAATTTGAGGACAGAAGGCCAATGAGGAGCCTGCTAGTGGGAATCAAGACCAGGAAAGGAAGGAATAGGTGACAAAAGGCAATGGGAAAACAGGAAGGAGCTGGGTACAAGCCCCTGGCAGCCTCAGTTGCCCCCTAATTCCAATACAATTAACCAGACACCCCCCAGACTCCTTGCTGGAGTATCAGGCGACCAATGGCTCCTTCCCTACAGTGGGCAGGAGCCCAGGCCAGAAGAGAAAACTACAGCCCCATTAGCAAAGCAAATCCTGTGGTCCTGTTTCCCTTTTTCTTCCTCAGCCCTACCAGTCCCAACACCACCCTGGTGGCTGAGCGGAGGTGGGAAGGAGGCTCATGGAATCCAGACTCTGGAGTCCAACAGGGGGCTATCTGGCCCTCTCAGTCTGGTTGGGAAGGATATCTTGGCCCTACCTAACAGCCGGGTTTACTTTCCCTGCAGCTGGGATACAGCCCTGACTCTGCTGGGCCCATACAGTGACCATCCACCCTGACCCCAATTCTAACCACAGCTCAATTATGCTGAAGAGGACAGAACAGGGAGAACGAGTCCATATAAGTGAGCAAGATAGCCCAGCTGGGGACTGAGTTTTCACAAGGACAAGTGCAAGGCATTGTATTTAGCAATGAGTAATCTAAACAGTGGTTTCAACCTTTCTTACCCTTCACCTGTGAGTGACATACAATACGTATTCCCCATACTCCCATGTCCATTCCTCAGTTCTAAAGTTTGCTTATTACTGGCTAGGATTCTCAACTTTTGTTTTTCATTTGCCCTATTTTGATCAATATAAAGACACACCACAATTATCCCCATCACATTCTGATACACTTTTCAGGGGCTTGTGCTCCCATTGCTGTGCTCCCATAAAATCACTGAAATTATAGGTGAAATGAAGGACTCTGTGTCAGGAAAGGAACAGGGAAAGCATTACAGATGGTTCCCTGAAGACTTTAGCTCAAAGTTGGCTTTTGCCAAAAAGGCCAAAGAGGTGGTATCATAATGAAGGTGATTGGAAACAAAAGACAGAACCTTTTCCCACCCTTGCATAAAGCCTTGTAACTGAACGCATGCCTGGTCACTGGCTCTTAGGAAGAATGTCATGGGCCTAGAGTAGGGTCAGAGAATGATTGGCAGAATGGGGAGCCAGGGGTTGCTGGTGAGGGCAAATTTCAAAGTTTAGTCCTCTGGAAGGTGAGACAGGATGGAAATCTACAGCATAATAAAAGACCTAGATATGCAGAAGAATTGCTTGCTCCCCAAATCTTGAAACTGGAGATGAGGGGGCCTTTTAGAACTGGAGTGATGCAAGCTCAGGATGAATAGAAAAATGTTCTTTGGCACACAGTGGGCAGCATACTTCCAGAGCTCATTTCCAGAGAGATGATAGAGGCAGGAAGTAGAAATGGAATCCTTCAGGGTTTGGAAGGATCAGCACATGTCAGAGTCACAAATGGCTACAGGGTGGAGGGAGTGAGGCATGGAAAGAGCAGAACTAGATGGTTTGAATCTCTTCAAATCTCTTCAAACTGTGTAACCTTGCATCCTGCCTTCTTAGAGGTGTAATGGGGATAGGCACTCCAGCCATGCAGGGCAGTTGTGCGAGTTAAATGAAATTATGTCTGTGAAGGCCCTCTGCAAATGGAGGAGCATCATATAAATAAGAAGCACTGCTATTATTATGCCCAAGCTGCAGAATCTTTGTTTGGAAAAGTGGGGCTGAGACTTAGAGCAGCCTAATCTCATCCCTGATGCAGCCATAGGAGGGATCTTAATGACAGACGGGCCACCCTATCGTGGACTTCAGATGCTGGCCACTACCCCTGCCGCTGTCTGAGAACTCTGGGGAGCTCCCCAAATGCTCAGCCTGTCTACCAGGCCAAATATCTCTGCCTGCCTCCTGCTCAGGGATGGGAACATTGGCCCAGGACTCAGGTTCAGGACGGGAGGGCAAACGCAGCAGGCTAGAGCTGACTTGTGGTGACTGAAGGATGGGGCCAGTAGAATCTTTTCTTCTCCATTCACACTAAATGATGCCTCCTAGACTAACCTGAAGGATCCATTAGGTCCTGAGCTTTGGGGTGTCTAGGGTGTCCATGGCCACTGCCAGGGACTCATGAAAAGAATGATGGGGAGGAAAAGGAAAAGATCATCAGTGGGGTAAGAGTTGGGGGAAGACAGAGAGGAATAACTTTCAAAACTCTATCTCTCCTTTCCCATTGTCCTGCCCCGGGGCCTTTTTTACACCTTTCAGTTAATAGTTTCTCCTTTCCTATTTCTTCCCTGCCCAACCCTTTATGCTCACCATGGTCAAATAAAGGTCACAAAGATGCTGTTTTTTGTCACACCCCTGGATACAAGCCTCCAGTGACCCCTACTGCTTGGTGCATTGCTTCTCATAGTGGGGTGGGCGGGGGAGGAGGGCAGTACGGGAGTGGAGGAGGCATGACACACAGTCTAAACAGGGCCCATCTTCCTGGTGTGGTGATATCACTTGAAGATTGGGGGGTTTTATATTAAAAAAAGCTTTATTTTTATATTAAAATATTTTATAATCCATGACTAAAGTATGGAATAGAACGAAAAATTTGTTTGCATTTTTAACATAAAGCTGGTGACCTCAAAACAATTTCATACTAGTGGCAGCTGTTTCAGGTCATGCTTCTGTTTTCTAGTAGATGTTGTTTTTGACTGGTCTTAGGGTTTTTTTCTTTATTCAGGGCTGTTGCTCAGTGTGAATCTTAGCGGTTTTTGATGAAAAAGCTGGACATACTGTAGCCTAGACTTTGTCAAATCTGAACCACTGCCCCTTGTCCCCCATTGGAGGCCCCCTCGGTTTGACTCGTTTCTCTCTGCAGATCTCCCGTGGCCTACACTGAGACTCTGACTAACCTAGGCTCACCACTGCCCTCCCAGCCTGCCAGCTTATTCCCAACACTGCTGATTATTTAGAATGCCATACCCCTTCTCTTCCTCTTGAACTCCCAATTCAGTCACGTGCCTATATTCTCTGAGCTCCCAACACTCGGTACCACCTTCCATGGGCTTCCCTCTCTCTGATCTCCCACAGTCTGGGAGTCAGACCCATGCGGTCCATCTTTCCATCCTGTGCTCTGTTTGCCTCCCTACACTGCAGACTCCTACAAGATAGGGTCTCTGCCTTACTGTTCTTGGGATCCCTCTTAACACCTAATACTTGCTGAAGGAAGGAAGCAAGGAAGAGCAGGAAGACTGTGGAGTCATTTCTCTGATCCCCGAATCGTCCCTTAATAACTTGAGTGCTTCAAATCTTTGCTGCAAATGTGTCTCGATTTGCTCCCATTTGCACACTGCAGTTCAGCAAACCATAGAGTCTGGGTGCTCAGCGTCCCTAATGAACATGCAGCCATGTCCACTTAAGGACCTCACTTCAGTTTCATGTTTATAAGATGAAAACATCACAACTCCAGCTCCTCTCATCTCTCCATTTAGCCCCTGAATGAGAAAGGTTTTCTCCTATTTGAGTTCCAGGTTATGCCTCCAGCCTCAGGCATTATTATTGCAACCGATTGTGGGCTCTCACTATGTCCCTGGTCTACCTCTCTGGCTTCAGGACTTAAGTGGGTCCACATGACAGCTGACTTATTGCCATGGGGTTGTGTCTCTTGGAAACCATGGCCTCCCCACTGTGGCCTCCCTGGCCTGGGATCTGCTCTCCACCTTCATATGTCCTGGATATTTCATTCTTGCTGCAGTCCATGACCAGGCTTCCTGTAATTCCAGCCTGTACTACAGAATCAGAGCATACCTGTAGGCCCTCTGTACTCCCTGGGCCTGGGATTGCCACCCTGATACCAGTGGGACTGGGCCACACATCCCTCACATCCCTAGCAGGGTGTGGCAAAAAGTCTAGGGGTGGGGCCGGCAGCCCCCTTCCAGAGCTGGACTCACCATCACTGTTATCTTCTGACTCTCTCTGTCCCTGCCTGGGCATTTCTTACTAGCATCAACCAATCCTGCGGCTTCCAGACCTACTGCTTGTTCTTCCCTATCCACTGAGTGAGGCGAAGTCCCTGGCCTCAGTCCCAACTCCCTAGCTTCCTGACCTCCAGCAGTTTGGGGGAGCTTAATCTTCAGCCAGCCTGTCTCCAGCTCAGACAACAGCTTGGCGCCCCCAGCCTTTGCCTGACCAGCCCACCCGGACGTGAGTCGGCTAGAGGTCTATGCCCCCACCCTTCCATCTCTCTATTGCCTGCCTGGCTTTACTGTTCTTTCCTTCTCTCTTCAGTTTCACGGTCAGGTCCCTTCTCAGCTGTGGCTCCTCTCTCTGCTGTTACTAGCCCATGCAAGAGCCTAAAGGCTTCATTCTTTCCTCTACCAGTCCCTTGTCCCCAAAGTGGCTCCCAGCTTGGGTTACTCTGCCCATTTTGCTGTTACCTTGTTGACTGGGTCACCTATGCTCAGGACAGAGTGTTCACAGCATGTGTTGCCTATCTCTCAGTAATGCAGCGTACTCACCTTCATTCACCAGGGAAACACTTCACTGGAGGATACAGAGTCTGGGCAGATGACTCACTCAAGGAAGGGCAGACACAGGGATGAGATCTTAGCCACCACTCCACCCTCAGTGCCTAACTCAATGCCCAGCTCATAGAATGTGCTAAATAAACATTTGTTTAATGAGTGAGGAAAAAAAACTACTCAGGTAGAGTTTTATCCCTACTCATATTTACATGTTTATGTTTTTATCTAAACCTTATAACAACACTGAAGGCAAGTAGGGAAGGGATCATGAACTTCCTTTCGGAGATGAAGAAATGTGCTCAGAGAGGTAAAGTAACTTGCCGAGGACACACAGCTAGTAAGTTGTACAGCCAGGACGTGAATCTAGATCTGCTGACTCTAAACCTAATTTCTTTGGGCTATACCAGATGACTTTCCTGAGAGGGGCCTGGGCACTTTCTGCCCCTCCTCCCCACCCCATCCTCTAGCTCCAGCATTCTCATGCCTTCTCCTCACTCAGCAGCATCCAGTGCAGAACACTCCCCTGGCCCCTTGGCCTGCTCCTCCCCCACACAGAGTCCTTAGCTCCTGGGACTGAGAGCTGAGGTTCAGAGGGGCCAGGGAGGCGGTGGGGGGGTGGGGGGTGGGGGAAGGGTAATAATGGCTAGCTCCAAAACAGCCCCGGCAGCTGTCCCTGTCACAGAGAGGAGACTGTGTGACGGTACGTGTCTGTCTGCCTGGATGTGGCAGCGCATGTGTGGGAGAGTGTGTGTTTGTGTGCCCCTAGCTCCAAGTCCAAGTGCTTATTATGTCTGAGTGGGGGCCTGTGTGTGTCTGCACATGTGTCTGTCTGTCTCTGGGAACACGCAGCCTGAACTCGGCTTTCTGGCCTCGGCTTTTCCTCGCCCATATCCCTTCTCACCCTGCCTCCCTCTGCTGAAATAAAGTGAAAGCAAGATGCAGGTATGGAATGCCGGGGACAGGGTAATTTGGAAAACTGCAAGTCGGGAGCCAAAGCTGACTGGAAGGCTAGGTGGCAAGGGTGGGACTGCTTTTCCCACAGGTAAACCCCTCTCTGGGTTTTTTCCCAGCTCCATGTTGCTTCCATGGCCTCTGGAAAAGTCAGGGGGATGATTTGCATTTCAAGGGCATCTTGGGTATGAAGTAAGGGGTATGAAGTAAGGGGAGACTTCAGAGCACCCCTTTTTCCAACTCTCAGTTCTAACCCTTCCTCCCTCATCTTCCCAGCCAAGGCTACCATAGTTCCTTCTCAGGGACATCTCCCTTCCATCAGAGCATTGTTGGCCAAAGTTTTCCAGCTCCAAACCCCCTGACCTGACCCGACCTGGAAGGGGAAGTAAGCTGAGCACACCTCCAGTTCTGGCCTGACTTTTCTCCTGTCCTGGGTTCCCTCCAGCCCTGTCTCTTCACACCCAATAAAAGGTCCAAGATCTAGACCCCTCTGCCTGTGGAAAGAGCAGGGACTCTTTCTCAACCTCCTGCCTTGACCTCGGTTCCACTCCCAACCTGGCTTGAGAGGTGGGGTGGGGAGTGGGGGCACAGCTGTGATCTCTGAGCTGTTGAAGGGGGCATTACCATGTGCAAATACAGGCTGCTGCCCATCTGCACCTCCCTGAGAAAGGCTCCTAATAAATCCAGAGCAGCCAAGTGACACACATCTCAATCTAGGCTAATCCACCACATTAATGCCATCCTGTGCAGCCTGCATTAAGCCCCTGTTAATGGGGAAGGGGTGAGAGAGGCAGAGAGGCCCCTCCCACTCAGCTCTCTACCCCTTCCCTCTGTCCCTAGCCTCCTTCTGTTCTCCTCCAACCAAAAGGCACCCAGAGTCTTGAGCCCCAGTATTGCCCATTTCCCTTCCTCGCAGCAGAGGGGTCCTGGGAGAGCAGGCAGAAAAGGGGACCCTGCGGGGGAAACTTGGAGAAGGACCCTGGGAGGCTCCTGGGCAATGTGAGGCTAAGTTTGGGAAAGGAAGTATGAGTAGGAAGGTGGTCTAATGAAGCTCCTGCCTATGGCCTGGAGCAGGCTTGGTAGAGGCTGTCCATGAGTGGAGCAGTCACTGGTGGGATGCAGTGTGTGTCGGTGCAGGCATGAGACCAGGCCCGGCCCAAGCACCCAGTGGTTTTTATACTTGTGTTTGATCTTGTTACCTTCTTTCAAATGAAATCTCTTCAGAAATAATAAACAAAACAGGCTGGGCATGGTGGCTCACACCTGTAATTCCAGCACTTTGGGAGGCCGAGGCAGGCAGATCACCTGCGATGAGGAGTTCGAGACCAGCCTAGCCAACATGGTGAAACCCCGTCTCTACTAAAAATACAAAAATTAGCCAGGCGTGGGGGCACGTGCCTGTAGTCCCAGCTACATGGGAGGCTGAGGCAGGAGAATAGCTTGAACCCTGGAGGTGGAGGTTGCAGTGAGCCGAGATCATACCACTGCACTCCAGCCTGGGCAACAAAGCGAGACTCCATCTCAAAAAAAAAAAAAAAAAGAAGGAAAAAAAAAAAAGAAAGAAGTCGTAAACGAAACAGACCAAAGCAGCGCTGCCCTAGCTGAAGCCGACCCAAGCAAGGCCAGGCTAGAACCGCAGCTGAGTCCCTGAGCGAATCTCGAGGGAAGGCCCCAGAAAGCACAGTGTGAGAAAACAAGCGTTCTGAGTTGACTGGATCAGAAAAATAAAATAATAATAAAAGAAAAATAAAAAGCAAACAAAGAAAAAGCATTAGGAGTCTCACAGACCTAGTTCAGATCTCAATCCCACTGCTTACAAGCTCTGTGAGCCTCATCAAGTTCCTTCAAGTTACGGTTTCCTCAGCAGAAAAAGGATGATCATACTTGAGGTATTCTTGTGAGGGGAGAGAGAATGAGGTAAAGGCTCACAGTAAGTATACATTATTCTTAAGGGAGAAATATCAGGTCTGGTTCAAAATACAATCTGTCCTAAGGAGAATGGGTAACAGACATCTGGTCTGTGTCTCAGGTATGATTGGCTGAGGACCATGTATGAGTATAGGGGGATACTAAGCATTCAGGTGAGAAGGATTTTAAGTTTTTGCAGATGTAGTATAGGGTATGTAGCGTGCTATAGTGTAGATTTTGTTGTTGTTGTTTTTTGAGACAGCATCTTGCTCTGTCACCCAGGCTGGAGTGCAGTAGCACCATCTCGGCTCGCTGCAACCTCCGCCTCCCAGGTTCAAGCGATTCTCCTGCCTCAGCCTCCCGAGTAGCTGAGATTACAGGCACGTGCCACCCCGCCCAGCAATTTTTGTATTTTTAGTAGGGACGGGATTTTACCATGTTGGCCAGGCTGGTCTCGAACTCCTGACCTCAGGTGATCCACCCGCCTTGGCCTCCCAAAGTGCTGGGATTACAGGCGTGAGCCACTGCGCCCGGCCTATAGTCTACATTTTTATTAATTCAATAAATATTGAACCCCAACTGTATACCTGGCACAGTTCTAGTTCCCAGCAGTAAACGAAACGAAGTCTAGTTTATATATCTATGCAGAGAACCTCTCAGCATGCACCTCTGCGTCCTTAGGATGCTATTTCCCGATTCTATCCTAAGGAGCCCCACGCAGCCCCAGCTTTACGGCTGGGGTTGAGAAAGGCGCCAGGGAATTTACGAGGAAACGCTGCTGGGACCTAGCTAAGCCGGAGATTTTACCCCCATTACCCTGGTCTGTGTCTTCTCTCGCCTCCAGAGCCCTCCCTCCATGGAGTTCGGCCTGCTCAGCGAGGCAGAGGCCCGGAGCCCTGCCCTGTCGCTGTCAGACGCTGGCACTCCGCACCCCCAGCTCCCAGAGCACGGCTGCAAGGGCCAGGAGCACAGCGGTAAGCGCGCCCCCTTCCGGGGGTGCAGGACATAACAGCTTCATCCCCAGTGCGGGTGGGACCCCGGCTGGGCAGCCCCGGTGGGAGCCAGCGAGTGGCTTAGGAGGTCCCCGAGCCGGAGAATATGCGCTGGCTTGGGCGCTCTGTGACCTGCCCCCACCCTGGCCCCCAGACTCAGAAAAGGCCTCGGCTTCGCTGCCCGGCGGCTCCCCAGAGGACGGTTCGCTGAAAAAGAAGCAGCGGCGGCAGCGCACGCACTTCACCAGCCAGCAGCTACAGGAGCTAGAGGCGACCTTCCAGAGGAACCGCTACCCCGACATGAGCACGCGCGAGGAGATCGCCGTGTGGACCAACCTCACCGAGGCCCGCGTGCGGGTATGCTCTCCAGACCCGCGACTCGCACCCGCGCGGGCCCTCCGCGCTCAGCCTGCGACCCGGAGGCCAGCGGTTCCACCCCACCTGCCCCCTCCCTCGGACCCCGGACCCCGGACCCTGGCTCCCGGCCGCAGCCCCACGCGGTCTCTTGCCCGCCAACCTCCAGCCTCTGCTCCCACTGCTCCCTACTACTCGGACCGCGCGCTTCTTCGGCCCTGACACCGTCTCTCCTTCCCCTCACCACCCCTCCTCAACCCCATCCTACTGTCCCGCCAGACCCTGGCGCCGATGACTCGGTCCAGCCGCCCGCGCCTTCTGTTCTCCGACCCCGGACTCCGTGCGCTCCTTCCCTCCCACCCCGTCTCTAGCCACCTCATCTCGTTTATTGACCGCAGGGCCCCGGCTGGAAGCCCCGTCGGGGTGGCCCGCCCTTCAGCCGCTGGGACCCGGCCCCGGGCCCTGACCGCCTTTCTCCCGTGCCCGCAGGTGTGGTTCAAGAACCGGCGCGCCAAATGGCGGAAGCGCGAGCGCAGCCAGCAGGCCGAGCTATGCAAAGGCAGCTTCGCGGCGCCGCTCGGGGGGCTGGTGCCGCCCTACGAGGAGGTGTACCCCGGCTACTCGTACGGCAACTGGCCGCCCAAGGCTCTTGCCCCGCCGCTCGCCGCCAAGACCTTTCCATTCGCCTTCAACTCGGTCAACGTGGGGCCTCTGGCTTCGCAGCCCGTCTTCTCGCCACCCAGCTCCATCGCCGCCTCCATGGTGCCCTCCGCCGCGGCTGCCCCGGGCACCGTGCCAGGGCCTGGGGCCCTGCAGGGCCTGGGCGGGGGCCCCCCCGGGCTGGCTCCGGCCGCCGTGTCCTCCGGGGCCGTGTCCTGCCCTTATGCCTCGGCCGCCGCCGCCGCCGCGGCTGCCGCCTCTTCCCCCTACGTCTATCGGGACCCGTGTAACTCGAGCCTGGCCAGCCTGCGGCTCAAAGCCAAACAGCACGCCTCCTTCAGCTACCCCGCTGTGCACGGGCCGCCCCCGGCAGCCAACCTTAGTCCGTGCCAGTACGCCGTGGAAAGGCCCGTATGAGCGGCCCCGCCCGTAGATCATCCCCGAGGGCGGGGGCAACGATTCACAGCCTCCGCGGACTGGGGTCATTTTGACTGGCTTGCTCCCGCCCCAGGGTCTGAAAGGGGTGTTTGGGCAGCTGGGGGGCACCGGCTCAGGAGAGGGCCTTCCCCTCCCAGCCCTGAGGGGTGGACTAGGCCCTACACACAGACCGCGCCCCTGGGACTAAAGCCAGGAACAGGGACCAGCTCCCCGGGGGCCAACTCACCCTTGGCCCATCCCGCCTTCTCCAGGCTTCCCCTCCCTCGTTTTCAAAGATAAATGAAATAAACGTGCGCGGACTGTCGAAGGCGTGATGATTCAAAGTTGCGCTTGAGTCCTCTTCCCTTCATCCTCCCCCACTGTCTACAGGCGAGCTGGATGTACAGGAACGAAGTGAGGGTCCAGGCTTCTAGGGACTCAGTCCCACTCACCACCCCCCCTACTCCAGGTCGGGGCAGCCCGGGATTCCTGCAGCAAAGAGGTGCGTGCGTGCGGGGGACGTGGGAAACCGGCTACCTGGCTGGCATCGGCCACAGCCGGTGCTGCGGCGCCACCTCGTGGTCTCAGGGAGGCTAGCTGGTAGATCTGGTCTCCAACGCTTCCTTGTAGGTGTCAGCTCTGCTATTCAGGGAGCCTATGACTTTAGATAAAGTTACTCCGCCTTTCTGCACCTGTTTCTCACTGTTCCTATGAGGGGCTTGGGTCTCTAACAGCAATAAAATTCTGGTCTGTAACAGACATTTGTTAAGTGCCTACCAGGCCTAGGATTCTTTCAGTGTCTGTGTGTGTGCCTCTCACCCTTCCACACACCCTCAGGCGTCCCACCTGCAGATCATCCCCTTGGTAGCAGCCTCCTGCCATCACAGCAGCCCTCTTTCCCCCCAAATCCCCCAACTCTCAAAATTTTGTTGAAATCTTTAATTTAAAAAAACAGAGCAAGAAGAAGAAAGATTTCTGGATAGAAATTAAATAATCAGCTCTTAGGACCCTCCTCCGCCCCACTCCCATCCCAGGGCCTGCTTGGCCTTCACATTAAAAACAGAAACATTAAAGTAACAGACCACACCCCCATCCCAAGGTCACCCTTCTTGTCTGTCAAAAATTCCAGCCACCTTGGGGCACACATCCTCTGGGGAAACCATGCAGGTAAGGCAACCTAATCATTCTCCCAAAACTAAGCCCAGCCTCTTGGTGCCCTGGAGAAGAGAGAGCCTGGAGCTTCATTGTTCTCTCCAAACCTTCACTGGCTCTTGGTCTTGGCTTTGACCTTGGGCCTGATGTAGGTCTGGCAGAAGAAGTGGGCAAAGAGGATGAAATAGGTCATATACAAGATGAAGGACCAGAATAAGTGTTCCATCGTGGTGTGGCATCCCTGATCCTGCCTCCAGATGTACGTGAGGATGCTGACGATGGCTCCTACAAACATCTGCAAGATCTGCAGGCTGGTGATGAGCATGGGCAGCATCTTGGGGGGCTTCACGTTGGCAGCCTTCAGAGTGTAGTAGGTGTACATGATGGCATGAACACCAAAGTTCATGGTGACGAACCAGCCTCCTGCAGGCACTTTGTTCTTGTATCCAAAGCTTGTGTACACGAGCACTGTGCTGTGGTGGTACCAGTGAATAAAGATGAGTGGCCGCTTACGCAGGATGATGAAGGCTGTGTCTCCTGGGAGATGGAGAGTCATAGTTGGCATACCACCCAGTGCTGGGACCACCCTCTGCACTGGATGTAGGGACACGGGAGAAATTCTCAGGGGAGGGAAGGGGGTCTTTGTGGCAGAGAATCTGTAGAGGGGCTTGGGTGAGAGGTATTATTGGGACCCAAGGGTAGGAAAGAGACCCTCCATGGGATGGGTGAAGGGAGGGCCCTGAGGAAGGATGCAGTTCACAAGGCACCAGAAAGACAAAGCTTTGCCACTCACCGAGTTCTATGACCTTGCTGAGAAGAAAGACCCAGGACCAGAATTTGACTGTGGAATTATCGATGAAGTTGATGAAGCACACGGTTTGCTTTAGGCCCCCGGTAAGTAGCACAGTCCCCATAATGCCCCACATCCTCACTGCCCCCAGGATACTGAAATGGGACAAAGGAAGATGGTGTAAGTGTCATCCCCAGGCACCAATAATCCACCCTTCCCCCGGCTTGGCCAGGTTACTGTGTTCCAAGCTCTACCACCTCCCCACCTGTCCACAGGGGGTGGGTCAAAGCTCCTGAGATCCTGAAGCCAATCTGGTAGATCCAATCAGTAGTCTAGAGGAGACGAGGGCTGGAGAAAGATCAGGGAATGCAGGGGGATGGGACTGAAAGTTGAGTTAAGGAATGGGGTTCTTGGGAGGGGTTAGGAGCCTGGGAGGAGATGTGTAGAGGGATAGGGGAAGACTGAAGGAGTTTGGGGGAGAAAATATGGGGAAGTTATTGGAGGGTCTTGAGAGAGGGTGTTAGGAGGTGACACTATTAGAGGCTGGAGAAATTAGTTGCGAGTACAGACTCTACGAAGGCAAGAGGGACAAAGCAGAGACCACCAGGTAGGGGTCTAAAAGAGAAGGAAAACAGGATAATATAACAGAAGAGGGTGAAGGCTGGGAGGGGAACTAAAGCCGAGAATGAGATGGGGAGAGTGTTACAAGGCAACTTGGGGACAGGATGGAGGTTGATGCAATCGGGAAAGCTTCAAGGGATAGAATGGTGGTCTAAGATCTAGAGAAGAGGCAGGGAGTGGGATGGGGTCTTACCTGAAGATTGCAAGGCAGAAGGACCAGAGGATGAGAGGCCCTTGCAGGTTGAAGCCCTTGCGTTCCTTCATGTAGTTCTGCCCCACAGCGATGAGAACCAGGTAGATCAGGGCTATGGGGAATGAGGTTGCCCTGGCAAGCAGAAGGCAGAGGGATGGGCTCATGGGTGGGTGCTGATTAGAGAAATGCCCACTCATCTCTCCAGGTGAGTGCTCTGGGTTGGAGTCCCAGTTCTGCCACTTACTAGCTATGTGACATTGGAAAAACCAACTTAATTCTCTGAGCCTTGGCTTCCTCATTTGTAGAGCGCGAATACTACATCTCTCCTGGGGGTATTAACGTATACAAAGTATCTAGCACAGGGCAGGAGCTATGTCCAAGGTTTCTGTGATTATTGCTCTCTCAGTGGGGTTAGAGGTGGGTGACGGCTGTCTGGCCCGCGCCTAGAAGCAGCCCAGGGCTGTGGTGTAAGAAGTGTGGCAATAGCTTCTCCCTGGTTGGGGCTCCTAGAAGCATACCAGGGCTGTGGCGTAAGAAGAATGTGGCAATAGCTTCTCCCTGGCTGGGGTATGGCAAATTGGTTGGAGCATAAAGTCAGCCTCCAAAACCTCTGGGGAGCTTTAAGGCAAAGCCAGAGAGCTCTTCCTGGGGAAAGCTTGGAAGAGCTCTCTGACTTCGCCTCCTTCTCCACAGCAGGAACGGTGGAGCACCTGGGGAACGATGGGATAATTGTAAAGGGCAGGCTGTCCCCCGGGCCCTGCACTGTGCACACACGCGCGCACACACAGCCACAAAGGACGGGGAAGTCATCTAGTAAGGCTTCAGATCAACCTCACGCCTCCAAGACCCTTCTCACTACACGCTCTCTTTGACTTCTGTATATTTCCACGTTCTCCCTCATCCTCTTATTTCTGCTTGCTTGCTTTCAGCTCTAATCTCTTTGAGGTGCCACATACTACCTGCACCTCGGACAAAGGTAGTGTGAAGCCAGTACAAGGGAGTCCCATAACTCTGCTCTGTAAGAAAATCATTGTGGGCATTCAATGCCACCCCCTCGCGCCCCGGCCCCGGGGCCCTGGCATGGCCTTTCCCTCTCCCAAAGTCTCACCAATACTCCTCGAAAAAGGGCCTCATGTCCTTGGACAGCTCGAAGTTATAGGGCTGGAACAGCTGATTTACTTCATGTGAGACATTCATGGCTGTGACCATCTAGTTTTGCAGAAGTCAAGGTCCAAAGCTTGGAGGCGCTGGGTGAAAGGCTGGGGCTCCGAGGATGGCGTGAACCTCGGGGCGAGACGGAACAGAGCCGGGACAGAAGGAACTCCTGGGCAAAGGGAGGAGGGCGTCGAACCTAGGCATGTGCGCGGCGGCGCAGCCAGCTATCCCGGGCGCAGCCACTGCGATATATAACGCGGACTTGCAAAGCTGCCTGCCCGGGCTGGCGCGACCTCTTTCCTGCGCCCCGCCGCTATCCAATCTCGACCAAGATACGCCTCTGCTCCGCCCCTGGGACGCAGTCCGCATTCTGATTGGTCATACTCAAGGGCCCGCCTGCCAGGCGTTTCGCACACCCCGCCCCAAGTCCCGTCGTAGGCCATCGCCCGCCCACTTCCCCAGCCTTTTCTCCCGTAAAACGTCCACCCCATCCTGTGCGGCCTTGCGGGTTCCCTTGGAACTGTCAACCGTGGCCTTTGCCTCGGTTTGCTTTAATCTTGACCTGCTTAGCAGTGAAGAGAGAGGAAAGGTGTCCTTAGGCTTTGGTGCTCCCACCCAGAAATGGAGGCGTCAGTTTCCAGGCTCCCTGAGATCCTGGGAAACCCAGGCCTGTGATGAGCAAATACTAACCTGGGCAACGCAGAGCTTCTGTAGTCCCTTCCACCTCCTAGCTTCGAGTCTGCGGTTGTGAGTGGGTGGAAGGAGATGAATTTTAAGGAGTTTTATTGTTGAGGTTGTTGATGTTGATGTTTGGGTTGTTGAGGCTGTTGTGGTTTCTTTATAGTTTCCTGAATTCCTGAACTGCTCCAGACTGACAGTAATAACCATGGAGAGAGGAAATGGGGTCACCCTCTGGGCTTCTGGAATTATTGTCTTCAGGTTTCCTGGAGGCCTCTTAGGGTTTAGGGAGGGGGAGAGCCAGTGTATCTCCCCAAGGCCTGTTGTTTTCTCTCCCTAACCAAATCTACTTCTTTCTCGCCTGTGTAACCAGCCCCAAAGAAATAAATGTTCTAAAACTTTTAAAAGTTTTACTTGGCTGTCCCTTATTTCTTTCCTAGGTTTTATGAAAGCGAAGGAGAAATACAAGGCTTGAGGGCAGTTTGAGATAAGGTGGAAATTTGCAAAAAGTGCTAAGAAACATAGATATAAAATAATTAAAATCAAGATGTGGGTATAAATGGCTATGTGCAGTAAAGCTCTAGAGCCAGAGGATCCAAGTAGGAACCCCAGCTCTATTTCCTGAACCTCAGCCACTGTCTATGCGAGGGTGTAGTGGAAGTCCTATCAGTGCCATCTAAGTGACTCAAAAGTGCATCTCTTTGTCTCTGTACCTCATCACTTCTCACCTGGTCACGTTACCTGGTTGCACTGCCTCTTTCTCTAATACAGTGCTTCTGCTCTTCACTGCATTGCAATCAGAAAAGAGTTCCTATACCTGGCTGATTACCAGATTCCTGAGCCTCAACTGCAGAGATTCTGGTCCTATAGGTTGTCTCAGACTGTACTTGGAAAACCACTACTTTCTGTTTGCTCATCCAGAAAACAGCTCTGCTTTCCTGCTTAAAAACCTTCAGTGGTTCGGCCGGGCACGGTGGTTCACGCCTGTAATCCCAGCACCTTGGGAGGCCGAGGCGGGCAGATCATGAGGTCAGGAGATCGAGACCATCCTGGCTAACACCGTCAAACCCCGTCTCTACTAAAAAATACAAAAAATTAGCCGGGCGTGGTGGCAGGCGCCTGTAGTCCCAGCTACTCGGGAGGCTGAGGCAGGAGAATGGCGTGAACCTGGGAGGCAGAGCTTGCAGTGAGCAGAGATCGTGCCACTGCACTCCAGCCTGGGTGACAGAGTGAGACTCCGTCTCAAAAAAAAAAAAAAAAAAAAAAACCTTCAGTGGTTCCTGATGGCTCCATATATAGCCTGACAGCTAATCAAAAGGTGATCAATACATGTCTATGGATGAATGAATAAATAAAAGAATGAATATTACAAGAATAATGCCATCTAGGTCTTACAAGACCCAAGTTCAAGTCCCAGCACCCCCATTAATGAGCCATGTGATTTTAGGCAAGTTACCTAGCCTTTGTCACATTCTACTTCAGAAAAAAATGCATATAGTCATACTCGCCTGCTTATGTCACAAGGTTGTGATTAGTATGCAAGCCAGATAATGTAGATAAAATGATATTGTGGACTAGACACATGGAAATGGCAAGGTGAATCATTATGGGAGGTTTACAAGTGCATATGGAGAATATATACTCAGTCCTGGATTTCTCTGTGAAGATATTTAACATTGTCTTTCCCTGTGAGGTTTAATGGTGAGGCTTGGAGGAGGTGTATGTGGAAGAGGGAAAGAAGAACACTCGGGGCTGGGCACGGTGGCTCACGCCTGTAATCCCAGTACTGTAGGAAGCTGAGGTGGGGGGATTGCTTGAGCCCAGGAATTTGAGACCAGCCTGGGCAACATGGTGAAAATCCATCTCTACAAAAAGTACAAAAATTAGCTGGGCATGGTAGCGCCCACCTGTGGTCCCAGCTACTCAGGGACTGAGGAGGGAGGATCACTTGAGCCAGGGAGGTCAAGGCTGCAGTGAGCTGTGATCGTGCCACTGAGCTGTGATCACACCACTGCACTCCAGCCTGGGTGACAGAGTGAGACTCTGTCTCAAAAAAAAAAAAAAAAAGCTAGGTGCAGTGGCTCACGCCTGTTATCCCAGCACTTTGGGAGGCTGAGGTGGGCAGATCACCTGAGGTCAGGAGTTCAAGACCAGCCTGGCCCACATGGTGAAACCCCATCTCCACTAAAAATACAAAAATTAGCTAGGTGTAGTGGCGGATACCTGTAATTCCAGCTACTTGGCAGGCTGAGGCAGGGAGAATTGCTTGAATCTGGCAGGCGTGGGTTGCACTGAGCAGAGATTGTGTCACTGCACTCCAGCCTGGGCAACAGAGCGAGACTCTGTCTCAAAAAAGAAAAAAGAAGAGGAAAAATCTTCAGAAATTATATTCTAGAGGAAACATTCCTTGACCCTTGGACTTGGTCTGGTACCCTTATTTTATATAAACTGTTCTCAGAGCATGGTATTTCTTTTCTTCAGTGAGAGTTTATAATTAGTTGTTTTTGTGATTTCTTGATCAATGCCTGTTTTTCCTACTAGTTCTTGAGCTCCATGAATGCAGGGACTATGTCTATTTTTTAAAATTTTTTATTATGAGACAGAGTCTTGCTCTGTCGCCCAGGCTGGAGTGCAGTGGCCTGATCTTGGCTCACCGCAACCTCTGCCTCCTGAGTTCAAGCGATTCTCGTACCTCAGTCCCCTGAGTGCTGGGACTACAGATGTGTGCCACCACGCCTTGCTAATTTTTGTGCTTTTAGTAGAGACAGTTTTCGCCATGTTGGCCAGGCTAGTCTTGAACTCCTGACCTCAAGTGATCTGCCCACTTCAGCTTCCCAAAGTGCTGAGATTACAGACATGAGCCACTGCCGGAATATGTCTGTTTTTTTCATCATTCTCCTAACCCTGAGCATAACCCAGGTAATATTTGTTGCGCAAGTGATTGAATGGATGAAATCCTTGGCATGTAAACCTGAGTGACATTATTTATTCTCCAGGATAAATACTCCAAGCCTATCTTTTGTGTGGTCACTGGTTTTGTTTTGTTTTTTTTCCCCAGTAGCCCTCCTGAAAGCCTCAACATAGAGGAAGAAGCGCTAAGCATGGGATGGTGTGAGCAGATGAATAACTGAGCAGGCTTTGGAAGTTTATAGAACACCAATCACTTGTATTACCTGGTGCCAAGTAGCTGCCTTCTGTGTCTATGAGTTCTCAACCCAACTTCTTTCTCTCCCTATTTCCAACTGCCTGTTGGACATCTCTACCGGTATGTTCTGCTAGCATCCTTAGCAATACACACCCCAAACAGAATTTGTTATCTACCTCCAAAATAGGCTGATTTTTCCAGCCACTATTTATATAATTTTTCAGGCTAGAAATTGTGAGGTCAAGTTATATTCTTCTATAGGACACAAGGTCCTGTCATTTCTTCTGGAGGTGGCATGGTCATCAGAATGCCTATATTCAGATTTTATCTCTGCCACTTACTACCTAGGTAACCTTGGCGAAGACATCATCAAACATATCATGGCCTCAGCTTTCTCATCTGTACAATGGAGATAACTACTTCAGAAGGATGTTTATGAGGATCAAATGAAATAATATATGTTAAAGAGCATTGGCGGGGCATGATGGCTTATGCCTGTAATCCTAGCACTTTGGGAGGCCAAGGCAGGAGGATCACTTGAGGCCAGGAGTTCAAGACCAGTCTGGGCAACAGAGTGAGACTCTGTCTCAATTTAAAAATAAATAAATAAAGAGCATTATACAATGTAAAGAGTTGAGTAAGCATCAGTAATTATTTACAAAAAAAGCGACATTTTTACCTTCTTTTTTTGTTTGTTTGTTTGTTTTTTGCGATGGAGTCTCGCTCCTGTTGCACAGGCTGGAGTACAGTGGCGCGATCTCGGCTCACTGCAACCTCCACCTCCCGGCTTCAAGCGATTCTCCTTCCTCAGCCTCCAGAGTAGCTGGGATTACAGGCGTGCGACACCACGCCCGGCTAATTTTTGTATTTTTAGTAGAGACGGGGTTTTGCCATGTTGGCCAGGCTGATCTCGAACTCCCGACCTCAGTTGATCCACACGCCTCGGCCTCCCAAAGTTCTGGGATTACAGGCGTGAGCCACTGTGCCTGGCCTGAAATGTTGTTTTAAGTAGGTCAGATAAAGGGTTAATGTGCATACTACACAAAAATCTTATTCATAGTCTTATCTTCGACCCTTGGTAAATGGCTAAGGATACAAACAAGCTCATTTCATACACTCCAGTGTCTCCAAATCTGCCTCTCATTTGCTGCCAGAAAGGTCTTTCTAAAACACATGAGCTCATGTCATTCCTCATTAAGAACAAAAATAATCCTCAGGACAAAGATCAGATTCCTGAGTTTAGCCCTGACCATTCATTTCCAGCCAAAATCCCACCATCCCTCAGCCCCAGCATTCCGCATTGTAGCCATAATGGACAACTCTACATACTTTTACCCCTTTACCTCTCTACGCATCTTTCCCTCTCCCCCCAGCATTCCGCATTGTAGCCATAATGGACAACTCTACATACTTACCCCTTTACCTCTCTACGCATCTTTCCCTCTCCCCCCATACATCATTTTCTCACCTGGACAAATCTTAACTCTAGCTCTAGCTCTAAAGTCACTTGCCCTGCAAAAGCCTAATATATTTCAGAGTCAGGCCCTTCCTTCTTTGTCTTTCATTCAAAAAACTTTGCCCAAACTGCCTGCCAGTATTGTGCTTCTACTTGTGGAGGACAGTCAGTCATATATTTTCTGTACTATTCTGGCTCCCTCACCCTATCCCAAATGGTCATTTTCACTAGGTCACTCATCCTTGAGGGTAGCACATACTACCTGGCACATAGTGGGCACTCAAAATATGTCTGTTGCTTTGAATTGAGTAGGCACCTAAGAGGAAATACAAACAATAAACATTTTTTTAAAAGACTCAACTTTCTTAGTAATTAAGGAAATGCAAATTAAAGACTGTATGTATAGTGTGGTCCCAATTAATAGCTAAGCAGCAATTAAATACCTAATGCCAGTCAAAGCTTTAGGAAACAGGTGCAATCACACCTGGCTAGTGGCCAAGTAAACTGATATAATCCTTGTAGAAACACACTTAGGCAACACTTAGCAAGAGCTGGTATGCTTTGACCCAGTGTCTCACCTAGGAATTCAACCCAGTGAAATAATCCAAAAGAAAAAAAAATCTGTATGTATTAATATATATATATTTTTACATTCCACTGAACATTTAATAAGTTACATTCAGCTACAACTTTTTTAAAGGGACAAATTATAATGCAAGTATTTATTCAAATGCTGACCATTAAAACACCATCTGAACCATGTCAAATAATACTCATTTCCTTTTGTGAAATGTGTTAATGAGAACTTAAGAATTTCTATAGAAGGCTGAGCATTTTCAACATCCCCAGCCTAGATGAGAAAAGACTGTATTCGCTTAGTGGTGATTCAGGAAATACAATACAAAAGGAGCTTCAACTCCTATGTGGATACAAGGCTGGCATCCACGATGGATGGGCTCCAGAAAACAATCATGCAGTGTTCCCGTTTTGGTCTGAGAACCAAGACACAAAATCTGATCTAGGGTGAAACTACATATAGGACATGGAGAGGACTGGACCAAGGGGCTCACTGTATCTGGGGGACCAAAGAGAAAGTAGTGTGCAGATATTGCTTTGACCTTAAAATAAATGTTAAGTGAGACAAAGAAGAAGCCAGGAGCCTTCTCACAACCTTTCCAGGCCAGCAGCTCCCAAGATATTTACTTCAAGGTAGTTGGTAGGAAATATAAATGTTCACTGGCTCTGACTCAACAATTAAACCATCATAACAGATGCAACGTTGAGGAGAGGCAGCTGTCAAACCACCTATAAACTCGAGTGGGGATCAGCTTGAAAGATGCCTATCTATTATCAGTGTCTGGGAAGACTAAAAAAAAAAAAAAAAAAAAAAAGGCCAGGTGAGGTGGCCCAAGCCTGTAATCCTAGCACTTTGGGAGGCCGAGGCAGGTGGATCACCTGAGGTCAGGAGTTCGAGACCAGCTTGGGCAATGTGGTGAAACCCCATCTCTACTAAAAATACAAAAATCAGCCAGGTGTGGCGGCACATGCCTGTAATCTCAGCTACTCGGGAGGCTGAGGCAGGAGAATCACTTGAACCCGGCAGGTGGAGGCTGCAGTGAGTGGAGATCCCGACAGAGCAAGACTCTGTCCAGCCTAGGCTGGAGTGTAGTGGTGCAACCACGGCTCACTGCAACCTTGACCTCCTGGGCTCAAGCAATCCACCCACTCAAGTAATTAGGATGACAGGCATGTGTCACCACATCAGCTTTTTTTTTTTTTTTTTGAGATAAGTTCTCGCTATGTTGCCAAGGCTGGTCTTGAACTCCTGGCTCAAATAATCCTCCCTCTTTGGCCTCCCAAAGTGCTAGGGTTATAGGGATGAGCCACTGCACCCAGCTGAGACTGTTAATTATATATAAAGAGTACTTGACCAGACACAGAAAATATTAATAAGTGTGGTTTTCTTCCCCATGAAAACCAGCTTTTTAAAAAAATTGAATGTTCCCAATGCAAAGAAATGATAAATGTTCCAGATGATGGATGTTAATTGCCCCAATCTGATCAGTATACATTATAATGTATCAAAACATCACTATTTGCCCCATGAATATTCACAATTTTACTTGTCAATTAAAAAAATGATTAAATACTTTTTAAAAAAAGCAGTGATTTGTAGAGCAGGTTTCTGATGATTGTAGACTGGATTGTAAACCTTTTGTAAATGCTTGCATTTAGTGGCATTTGTTATTTGCAGTAAAGGGCCAATCACAAGTAATACATAAATAGACTATTATTCCTTTATTGTAAGTAGCTTGTTGCAAAATAAATATGTCAGCTATTAATGAAATCATTTCAAAAAGGAAAAAAATTAGCCTTACAAAGTAATATCAACTGATTAAATTTCAACCTACTTTAATTCCCCATCAATGGCCCAATAGCCTGGAACATTCAAAGCAGTTTCTTTGGCTACCAAATTATGTCACCATTATTAAAATGTATATTTTAGGCCAGGTGAGGTGGCTCATGCCTGTATTCCCAACACTTTAGGAGGCCGAGGTGGGTGGATCACTTGAAGTCAGGAGTTCGAGACCAGCCTGGCCAACATGGTGAAACCCCATCTCTACTAAAAATACAAAAATCAGCTGAACGTGGTGGCCTGCTCCTGTGGTCCCAGCTACTCGGGAGGTTGAGGCAGGAGAATTGATTGAACCTGGGAGGCAGATGTTGTAGTGAGCCGAGATAACACCATTGCACTCCAGCCTGGGGGACAGAGTGACACTCCATCTGAAAACAAAACAAAACAAACAAAAAATATATATATATTTGAAAGTCATATTTTAAGTCACATATTAAGTCAGTGGGACTTAAAATAATAGAAAGCTGGAAGGCTAGGGGCGGTGGCTCACGCCTGTAATCCCAGCACTTTGGGAGGCTGAAGTGGGTGGATCATTTGAGGTCAGGAATTTGAGACCAGCTTGGCCAACATGTTGAGACCCTGTCTCTACTAAAAATACAAAAATTAGCCGGGCGTGGTGGTGCGCGCCCATAATCCCAGCGACTCCGGAGGCTGAGGTAGGAGAATTGCTTGAACCTGGGGGGCAGAGGTTGCAATGAGTGGAGATCAAGCCACTGCACTCCAGCCTGGGTGACAGAGTGAGGCTCCATCTCAAAAAAAAAAAAAAAAAAAAGAAAAAAAAGACAGCTAGAAACAACCCACTGATGGATAATTACTGAATTTAACATCGCAACAAACATTTAACTAACATCACAGAACAGCTTGCATCTATCAGAATATGAAGAAACGTGAAACTATGTTTCCAAAATAATGTGAAAGAAAAACAATATTCAAAACCATACCTTTCCTATTACCTCAATTATCTAAAAGCAATAATGTTCCTAAAGACTGAAGTTGAAAAGAAGCACTAAAATGTGAAATCAGTTGATGGTGTGGGTGAGATTATAGGCATAAACTTAGAAGTATTTTAAATTTTCTCTCATGTTGTTTTAAAACTGATGTATACATTTTGGAATGCTTTGCATCCAATAAATAATGCTTTTTAATGGCATAAGAAATGCTCAGAATATTATGTTAAGTTTCAAAATGTAGGATATGAGACGATATGTATAGTATGGTCTCAAATTTGTTGACTAAAAATGTGGAGGCAATTCAGATGGGAAGAATGTTTGTAAAATTTTTGTAGGGAAAAAATATGCAAGAAAACCACATAGAGAAAAAAGATTGGAAGGAAATATACCAAGATGCTAATGGAATTTGTCTCTGAATGGCAGAATTTTAAAATTATTCTTATAATGAGTAAATGTTTAAAAGTAATAATAAATGTATTGAAATATCTTGAAGTCTTTTTTTTTTTACATGTGCTCTGTCACTAATTGACTTCTCTGCTTCCGGTTCCCTACCCTGGGATCCTGCATTCCTCCCAAACTCATCGTTTCCCCGGTATTTTACTGTCTTGTTTTTTTCTTGATATTTCTGGCTGTGCCTTTGTGAGATTTTCTTCCCCTTCTTTCCACCTCTTTAATGCTGGTTCTTCTTCTTCTTCTTTTTTTTTTTTTCTGAGACAGAGTCTCGCTCTGTTGCCCAGCTGGAGTGCAGTGGCACAATCTCGGCTCACTGCAACCTTCACCTCCTGGTTTCAAGTGATTCCCCTACCTCAGCCTCCCGATTAGCTGGGATTACAGGCGCCTGCCACCACGCCCGGCTAATTTTTTGTATTTTTAGTAGAGGTGAGGTTTCACCATGTTAGCCAGGATGGTCTCGATCTCCTGACCTCGTGATCCGCCTGCCTTGGCCTCCCAAAGTGCTGGGATTACAGGCGTGAGCCACCGCGCCCGGCCTGTAATCCAAGCACTTTGGGAGGCCGAGGCGGGAGGATCACCTGAGGTTGGGAGTTTGAGATCAGCCTGACCAACATGGAGAAACCCCGTCTCTACTGAAAATACAAAATTAGCCTGGCGTGGTGGTGCATGCCTGTAATCCCAGCTACTCGGGAGGCTAAGACAGGAGAATAGCTTGAACCCAGGAGGCAGAGGTTGCAGTGAGATGACATCACGCCATTGCACTCCAGCCTGGGCAACAAGAGCAAAACTCTGTCTCAAAAAAAAAAAGAAAAAGAAAGAAAAGAAAAGAATTCCTCTGGTTGTTGTCAGGTTTTTTATTATTAGATTCCAGAATTCCAAAAAAGTAGATTCTGACAGTTTTTGCAGCTTAATCATTGCCCTAATGGAGGGATGGGGTTTTGAAGCTGCCTGTTCTACTTTTGTTTTGTTTTGTTTTGTTTTTTGAGACGAAGTTTCACTCTTGTTGCCCAGGCTGGAGTGCAATGGCACGATCTCAGCTCACCACAACCTCCGCCTCCCAGGTTCAAGCTATTCTTCTACCTCAGCCTCCCGAGTAGCTGGGATTACAGGCATGCGCCACACACCCGGCTAATTTTGTATTTTTAGTAGAGATGGGATTTCTCCATGTTGGTCAGGCTGGTCTCAAACTCCCGACCTCAGGTGATCCACCCGCGTCGGCCTCCCAAAGTGCTAGGATTACAGGCGTGAACCACTGCGCCCGGCCTGTTCTACCATTTTTGATGACCCTCAAAACTTATTCTGAAGCCCTGTCCTAAGCCTCTCCCCTCTCCCATAGCTAGGAAAAACCTGTCTCTTCTGAATACTTTAGAATTATCCTTTCCTTGTCCAGAAAGTCTTCTGAAATTAATCAGAAGAAAGGAAAAATGGTGTTTTTTCCATTACTAACATATATGTGCACACACACACACGCATACACGTGAAATTGAAGTGAATGGTAAAAAAAACTTAAAGAGAATAGGCCAGGTGCGGTGGCTCACACCTGTAATCCCAGCACTTTGGGAGGCGGAGGTGGGCAGATCATCTGAGGTCAGGAGTTCGAGACCAGCCAGGCCAACATGGTGAAACTCCGTCTCTACTAAAAATACCAAAAGTAGCCAGGCGTGGTGGAGGGCACCTGTAATCCCAGCTACTTGGGAGGCTGAGGAAGGAGAATCGCCTGAACCCAGGAGGCAGAGTTTGTAGTGAGCCGAGACTGCGCCATTTGCACTCCAGCCTAGGCAACAAGAGCAAAATTCTGTCCCCCCAAAAAAAAATTTTTTTGAAGAAGAAGAGGTAAACTGATAAAATTAACTGTCTCCCACTGCTGTCCTCAGTGTTCTCCTTCCAGAGGCACTGCAATGACCTGTCTGCTACATACCCTTTCTAATATCATCTATGCATAAAAGGGTATGTTTGTATATAACTTCTTAAGTGGTAGCATGTTTCCATATATTTTTTTTTTTTTTGAGACAGAGTCTCGCTCAGTTGCCCAGCCTGGAGTGCAGTGGCGTGATCTTGGCTCACTGCAAGCTCCGCCTCCCGGGTTCACGCCATTCTCCTGCCTCAGCCTCCCAAGTAGCTGGGACTACAGGCGCCTGCCACCACGCCCGGCTAATTTTTTTGTATTTTTAGTAGAGATGGGGTTTCGCCGTGTTAGCCAGGATGGTCTCAATCTCCTGACCTCGTGATCCACCTGTCTTGGCCTCCTAAAGTGCTGGGATTACAGGCGTGAGCCACCGTGCCCGGCCTTCATATTTTTTTTTAATTAAAATTTTTTTGGGGGCTGGGCGTGGTGGCTCACGCCTGTAATCCCAGCAATTTGGGGGGCTGAGGCAGGCAGATTACTTGAGTCCAGGAGTTCGAGACCAGCCTGGCCAACATGGCAAGACCTGTCTCTACAAAAATATAAAAATTAGCCAAGCATAGTGGTGCTTGCCTGTAGTCCCAGCTAGTTGGGAGGCTGAGGCAGGAGGATCATTTGAGTCCAGGATGTAGAGATGGCAGTGAGCCAAGATCATGCCATTGCACTCCAGCTTGGGTGACAGAGTGAGACCTTGTCTTGAAAAAAGAAAAAAGAAAATTTTTTAAAATTTCATTTTTAATTTTTGTGGGTACATAGTAAGCATATATTTTTATGGGGTACATGAAATGTTTCAATACAAGCATGCAATGTGAAATAAGTACCTCATGGAACATGGGTATTCATCCCCTCAAGCATTTATCCTTTGAGTTACTAACAATCTAATTACTCTCTTTATGTTATTTTAAAATATGCAATTAAGTTATTATTGACTATAGGCACCCTGTTGTACTATCAAATAATAGGTCTTATTCATTCTTTCTGTTTTGTTGTACTGATGAACCATCACCACCTCCCCTAGCCAGCCCCTCACTACCCTTCCCAGCCTCTGATAACCACCATTCTACTCTTTATGTCCACGAGTTCAATTGTTTTGTTCTCACTTATACCACAAATAAGTGAGAACATGTGATGTTTGTCTTTCTGTGCATGGCTTATTTCACTTAACATAATGATCTCCCATTCCATTCATGTTGTTGCAAATGACAGGACCTTATTCTTTTTTATGACTGAATAGTACTCCATTGTATATATGTACCACATTTTCTTTATTCATTCATCTGTTGATGGATACTTAGGTTGCTTGCAAATCTTGGCTATTATAAAGAGTGCTGCAACAAACATAGGAGTGCAGATATCGCCTTTTTTTTTTTGAGACGGAGTCTCACTGTCTCCCAGGCTGGAGTGCAGTCATGAGATCTTTGCTCACTGCAACCTCCACCTCCCAGGTTCAAGCAATTCTCCCTGCCTCAGCCTGCCAAGTAGCGGGGATTGCAGGCATCCACCACCACGCCTGGCTAATTTTTGTATTTTTAGTAGAGACAGGGTTTCACCATGTTGGCCAGGCTGGTCTCAAACTCCTGACCTCAGGTGATCCACCTGTCTTGGCCTCCCAAAGCGCTAGGATTATAGGCATGAGCCACCGCGCCTGGTGCAGATATCTTTGATACACTGATTTCCTTTCTTTCAGGTACCCAGCAGTGGGATTGCTGGGTCATATGGTAGCTCAATTTTTAGTGTTTTGAGGAACCTTCAAACTGTTCCCCATAGTGGTTGTACTAATTTACATTCCCACCAACAGTGGTAAAGTGGTTCCCTTTTCTCCACATCCTCACCAGCATTTGTTATTGCCTGTATTTGTTATGGCCTTACCGATATAAGCCATTTCAACTGGGGTGAGATTATATCTCATTGTAGTTTTGATTTGCATTTCTCTGATGATCAGTGATGTTGAGCACCTTTTCATGTGGCTGTCTGCCATTTGTATGTCTTAATTTGAGAAGTGTGTATTCAAATCTTTTGCCATTTTTTGATCAGATTATTGGATTTTTTTCCCTATAGAGTTGTTGGAGCTTCATATATATTCTGGTTATTATTCCCTTGTCACCTGGGTAGTTCGAAAATATTTTATCCCATTCTGTAAGTTGTCTCTTAACTTTGTTGAGTGTATTCTTTGCTGTGCAAAAGCCTTTTAACTTGACATTATCCCATTTGTCCATTTTTGCTTTGGTTGCCTGTGCTTCTGGGGTTGCTATTTAAGAAATTTTTGCCCAGTTCAATGTCCTGGATATTTTTCCCAATGTTTTCTTGTAGTAGTTTCATAGTTTGAGGTATTAGACTTAAGTTTTTAATCCATTTTAATTTGATTTTTATATATGGTGAGAGATACAGGTCTAGTTTCCTTCTTCTGCATATGGATATTCAGTTTTTTCAGCACCGTTTGTTGAAGAGACTGTCTTTTCCCAGTGTATGTTCTTGGCACCTTTGTCGAAAATGGGTTCACTGTAGGTGTGTGGGTTTCCATATTATTTTATACCTTGCTTTTTTTTTTCTTAAATAGGTATGAGATACCATTATGTTGCCTAGGCTTATCTTCAACTCCTGGGCTCAAGCAATCCTCCTGCTTCAGCCTCCTAAAGTGTTGGGATTACAGGTATGAGCCATTGTACCCAGACTATACCTTGCTTTTTAAATTTGTCTCAGAGAGTGTACCATATTAGTACATTTTTTGAATAGCTGTGTACTATTTCATTACATGAATGTACCATATCCTATAACTTAAGAAAAAGAAAAAGAAGGCCCAGCGCGGTGGCTCACACCTGTAATCCCAGCACTTTGGGAGGCCGAGGCAAGCGGATCATGAGGTCAGGAGGTCGAGACCATCCTGGCTAGCACGGTGAAACCCTGTCTCTACGAAAAATACAAAAAATTAGCTGGGCATGGTGGCGGGTGCCTGTAGTCCCAGCTACTCAGGAGGCTGAGGCAGGAGAATGGCGTGAACCCAGGAGGTGGAGCTTGCAGTGAGTTGAGATCGTGCCACTGCACTCCAGCCTGGGTGACAGAACAAGACTCCGTCTCAAAAATAAATAAATAAAAAGGGCAAATGACTTGAATAAACATTTTTTCAAAGAAGATATACAACTGGCCAATAAGCACAATGTGTTTAACATCCTTAGTCTAGGGAAATACAAATCAAAAACACAGTGAGAGGTCATTTTATGCCTACTAGGATAGCTATTTTTTTTCTTAAAGGAAAAAGACAAATGTTAGCAAAGATGTGGAGAAATTGGAGCCCTTCTGCATTGTTGGTGGAAATGTAAATGGTGCAACTGCTATCGAAAACAGTCTGATGGTTCCCCAAAGAGCTCAACATAGAATTACCTTATGACCCAGCAACTTTACTCCTATGTATATACCCAAAAGAATTAAAAACAAAGATTCAGTCAGATACTTGTATGTGAATATTCATAGCATCTTTGCTCACAATAGCCAAAAAGTGGAAACAACAGAAGTCTCCATCACCAGATGACTGGATAAACCAAATGTGGTGTATACTCAACAACAGAATATTACTCAGCCATACAAAGGGATGAATGAAGCTCTGATACATGTTACAACATGGATAAACCTTGAAAACATTATTCCAAGTGAAAGAAGTCAAACATAAAAGGACAAATATTGTATGATTCCAGTTACATGAAATATCTAGAATAGGCAAATTCACATATACCGAAAGTAGACCACAGCTTGCAAGTGGTTAGTGCAAGGGGTGAATAGAGAGTTATTGCCTAATAAGTACAGAGTTTCTGTTTGAGGTGATTAAAAGTTTTGAAACTAGATAGCAGTGATGATTGTACAACATTGTGAATGTAACTGATGCACTGAATTGTACACTTAAAATGATAAATTTTATGTTTTATATATATTTTGCCACAATTTTTAAATTAGTAATGTAGGCCAGGTGCAGTGGCTCACGCCTGTAATCCCAGCAGTTTGGGAGGCCAAGGCGGGCTGATCACCTGAGGTGAGGGGTTCGAGACCAGCCTGGCCAACATGGTGAAACCCCGTCTCTACTAAAAGTACAAAAAATTAGCCAGGCATGGTGGTATGCATCAATAGTCCCAGCTACTTCAGAGGCTAAGGCAGGAGTATCCTCTGAGCCTGGGCAGTTGAGGCTTCAGGGAGCCATGACCACACCACTGAACTCCAGCCTAGGCAACAAAATGAGAACTTGTCTCAAAAAAGAAATGGGATTAATAATAAAATGAACATCCACATACTCTATCTATATTCACCAATTGTTAGCATTTGCCACATTTGCTTTATTGCTCTTTTCCACCACCAGTTACATTCCAGCTGTTACAATGAATGAGGCAAACTAGAGCTCCAAAACATTGTAGGTGAGATTTGCAAAATAGTATAGACACTTGGGAAATAGTTTGGCAGTGTCTTATGAAAGTAACAATACTTTATTTACCATATGACCCAGCAATCCTACTCTCAGGTATTTACCCAAGAACAAAAGAGAACACATGCTTACTTAAAGACTTGGTATGCAAATTTTTACGGCAGCATTATTCATAATAGGGCCAAACTGGAAACAAACCAAATATCCATCAACTGGTAAGTGAATGAACAATTTCTTTATTATGGAATACTACTCTGTACTAAAAAGAAATGAGACATTGATATGTACAACAATGTGGCTGAATCTCAAAAACGTTATGCTAAGTGAAAGTAGTCAAGCATAAAAAAATATATCGTGGGATTCCATTTATAAGAAATTCTAGGAAAAGCAAAACTACAGTGTCAGAAAGCAGGTCAGTGGTTGCCTAGAGCTGTTAGGTGAGGGGATTGAATTGTAATAGGGCAGGAGGTAACTTTTTAGGGTGATGGAAACATTTTATATCTTAATTGTAGTGACAGTTGCATGACAGTATACGATTGCCAACATCTATCAAACTGTAAAGTTAAAATGGATGAATTTTACCTTATGAAAACTATACTTCCCTGAGCATGGTGGCTCATGTCTATAATCCCAGCACTTTGGGAGGCCAAGGCGGGCAGATCACCTGAGGTCGGGAGTTTGATACCAGCCTGACCAATAAAGGAGAAACCCTGTCTCTATTAAAAATACAAAAATTAGCCAGGAATGGTGGCAGGTGCCTGTAATCCCAGCTACTAGGGAGGCTGAGGCAGAAGAATCGCTTGAACCTGGGAGGTGGAGGTTGCGGTGAGCCGAGATCATTCTATTGCACTCCAGCCTGGGCAACAAGAGCGAAACTCCATCTCAAAAAAAAAAGAAAGAAAACTATACCTCACCAGGTGCGGTGGCTAATGCCTGTTGGGAGGCCAACACAGGTGGACTGCTTGAGTCCAGGAGGTCAAGGCTGCAGTGAGCCAAGATCATGCCACTGCACTCCAGCCTGGGTGACACAGTGAGACTCTGTCTCAAAAAAAGAGAAAAAAGAAAGAAAGGAAAAAAAAGGATAGTACACACATACCTCAATAGGTTTGGGAGTAATTAAAGGGAAGAATTAGGCAACTCAATAAGAATTGACACTCTCCAAAATATATAACTTGTATTTGTACAAGGAAAAACATATCAGTGTCTGTAATTGCATAGACTCTCTTCAAGTCCATGGAAGAAGTTGGTAAGAGGGGCATCTGTGGAGAGGGAAACTTGGGGGTTGGGAAAAGTGGCAGGCCTTTTGACTTTCTTAGAATTTTTCTGGGTGCACATATTACTTATGTAAGGAATAAATAAAGTAAAACAGGTATAAAAATAAACTGAACTTTGAATTTTTTAAAAAGAGAGAGGAGAGGTCAGGTGCAGTGGCTCACGCCTGTAATCCCAGCACTTTGGGAGGCCAAGGCAGGCAGATCATCAGGTCAGGAGTTCAAGACCAGCTTGACCAACATGCTGAAAACCCATCTCTACTAAAAATACAAAAAAATTAGCTGAGCGTGGTGGTGCGTGCCTGTAATCCCAGCTACTCAGGAGGCTGAGGCAGGAGAATCGTTTGAACCTAAGAAGCAGAGGTTGCAGTGAGCCGAGACTGCACCACTGTATTCCAGCCTGGGTGACACAGCGAGACTCCATCTCAAAAAAAAGAGAGAGGAGAAATGTGACCATCCTTTTAGACTCAAATTTGGTGAAGTGGGTCATACTTATTTATTTACTTTTGAGACAGAGTTTCACTCTTTTCACCCAGGCTGGAGTGCAATGGTGCGATCTCAGCTCACTGCAACTTACGCCTCCCAGGTTCAAGCGATTCTCCTGTCTCAGCCTCCTGAGTAGCTGGGACTACATGCATGCGCCACCATGCCCGGCTAATTTTCTATTTTTAGTAGAGACGGGGTTTCTCCATGTTGGTCAGGCTGGTCTCGAACTCCCGACCAGGTGATCCGCCTGCCTCGGCCTCCCAAAGTGCTGGGATTACAGGCGTGAGCCACCATGCCCAGCTCGTATTTATTATATGAGCATATTGGTACTTTTTAAATCTAGTAATAATAATAATAGCTAACATTTATTGAGTTTTGCCTTTAAATAAAAAAAAAAAAAGGAGACTGTATTTTACTGGCCACATCCATTCGAGAGCTTGGCATGAAAGCCTGGGCTGAAACAGCTGGCAGGCCTCAGATGATGGGTCCTGGGCCCAAGAGATAAGGATCATGTTATGGGAGTTACACACCAATCAGGGTTTTATGGATTGAATCCAAGGGAAATAAACCAGGCAGGAATCCAGGGTTTCCAGTGTGACCCGGGAAAATCTCAAATGTGTGGGTCACTCCTCTACCACAGACACCCTGCCTCCTGGCAGAGATGTAGGTTTGATATGTGTAGCTGGGAGAGCCAGAGTGGGAGAGAGGCCTTTGGGGAAAACAAGGAAAGTGGGGAAGTAGTATGGAGGAGATAAGTGAGGCAGGGCCTGTAATGGAGAAATATACTCTTTTTGCTCCATACGTGGCTTCAGGGAGGGAACAGGTTCAGGAGGACAGCTGATGGATGTAACAGGGTATTGCTTCAAAAACCCTGAAGTCGGCACACATCCACAGCTGGGTGTTCCCATTTATCTCAGGATCACTGGTTTGGAGGTTGAGCCATTATAAGTCACTGTCTGGATCCTGACACTTCACCCAGTTGATTAGACCTGTTTTCTGGGATCATTTCCAAGAACCTCTATTTCCACTGTTTCTCGGGACACTTGAGTATTCTGAGTCTTCTGTGGAAACTAGCCAAACACTTCCAACCTCTCTCATACTTGAAGAAGAGTCAATTCTGTCCCCAACATAGGAAAACAGACGAATTAGTGCATTAAGTACCTGCTATCAGCCACTTTGCAAATTGAGCCTATACTGGACTTCACTATGATTACTTGCTATGAGTGTGAATCTTGTGTTTTTTCTAAGCTATGTGTCTTGTCTCCCCCAGTTTATGAGAACTTTTCTGAGAGCCAGGGGCCAAGTTTGCCAAACCATCCAAACTACCAAAACCTCAAGGCTCTACCTCCACATAGATTTAGTGCTCTCTCTCCATCCTAGTCTAAGGCAGGAAATAGACAGCACGGTCAAACTGGGTAATTTGATGAAAGCTTAATAAAGGAATTATTAAACTAATAAACTCATGTAGGAAAACACACAAAGGAAAACACACAAATGGACCGTGCTGTCTACCCCCTGCCTTAGACTAGTTGGGGCCATTTTTCCCCTAGGAGGAATGGCGGAGGGAGCCATTACTATTTTATTATTATTATTATTATTTTCTGACACAGATTTTCGCTCTTGTCACCCAGGCTGGAGTACAGTGGCATGATCTTGGCTCACTGCAACTTCTGCCTCCCGGGTTCAAGCGACCCTTCTGCCCCAGCCTCCCAAGTAGCTGGGATTACAGGTGCCGGCCACCAGGCCTGGCTAATTTTTTTTGTATTTTCAGTAGAGACGGAGTTTCATCATGTTGGCCAGCTGGTCTCAAACTCCTGACTTCAGATGATCCACCCACCTCGGCCTCCCAAAGTGCAGGGATTACAGGCTTGGGCCACCGCGCCCGGCCAAGCCATTACTATTAATACAATACAGAGACAGAGCTTTGTGGAGAAGGCTGCCTGACAGGAGCTGTGACCTTTGGTCAAGGGATACAGCAGCCCACAGCAACCTGAAGATTGGGAGCCAGGGGACTACCCTGCTGTCACTTTCCTCTCACTCTTGGATCACTTGCCAGTGCTCCACATTGGTCAAATTCAACCAGAAGCCAGAGGGCCTAAGAATCTGCTAATCAGTCAACACAGGTCAGCATCCTGGAGCACAAAGCAAGGAAGAGGGCAGTGTGCACCTGGAAGGACAAACAGAAGATGATCTTTAGCCTGGATTACTTCAGTAACCTTAACCTAGAGTCTAGTTTCTTTTTTTTTTTTTTTGAAACGGAGTCTCGCTCTGTCGCCCAGGCTGGAGTGCAGTGGTGCAATCTCGGCTCAGTGCAAGCTCCACCTCCCGGGTTAACGCCATTCTCCTGCCTCAGCCTCCCGAGTAGCTGGGACTACAGGCGCCCGCCACCACGCCTGGCTAATTTTTTGTATTTTTAGTAGAGACGGGGTTTCACCGTGTTAGCCAGGATGGTCTCAATCTCCTGAACTCGTGATCCACCTGCCTTGGCCTCCCAAAGTGCTGGGATTACAGGTGTGAGCCACTGTGCCCGGCTAGTCTTGTTTCTTTACAGCTGCCAAAGTGTCTTTGTTTTGTGTGATGAAAATGTATAACATAAAATTTGCCATTTTAACCATTCTTTTTTTTTTTTTTTTTTTTTTGAGACGGAGCCTAGCACTGTCGCCCAGGCTGGAGTGCAGCGGCACGATCTCGGCGCAATGCAACCTCTGCCTCCCAGGTTCACGCCATTCTCCTGCCTCAGCCTCTCTAGTAGCTGGGACTACAGGCACCCACCACCACGCCTGGCTAACTTTTTTTGTATTTTTAGTAGAGACGGTGTTTCACCATGTTAGCCAGGATGGTCTCGATCTCCTGACCTCGTAATCCACTTGCCTCGGCCTCCCAAAGTGCTGGGACTACAAGCATGAGCCACCATGCCTGGCCCCTTTTAACCATTCTTTTTTTTGTTGTTTTTTTAAATTATATTTTAAGTTTTAGGGTACATGTGCACATTAACCATTCTTAAGTGGCATTAATTACATTCATAATGTACAACCATCACTACTGACTAGTTCCAAAACTTTTTCATCACTCCAAACAGAAATTCTGTACTTGTGAGGCAACAGCTAACCATTGCACCTTCCCTCTGGCTCCTGGTAAGCTCTCATCCACTTTCTGTCTGTATTAATTTGCCTATTCTAGGCATTTCTTTTTTTTTTTTTTTTTTTTTTGAGACGGAGTTTCACTCTTGTTGCCCAGGCTAGAGTGCAATCGCGTGATCTCAGCTCAGTGCAGCCTCCACCTCTGGGTTCAAGTGATTCTCCTGCCTCAGGCTTCCCAAGTAGCTGGGATTACAGGCGCCTGCCACCACACCTGGCTAATTTTTGTATTTTTAGTAGAAACGGGGTTTCACCATGTTGGCCAGGCTGATCTCGAACTCCTGACCTCAGGTGATCCACCCGGCTTGGCCTCCCAAAGTGCTGGGATTACAGGCATGAGCCACCACGCCTGGCCTTTTTTTCTTTTTTTTTTTTGAGACAAGGTCTCACTCTTGTCACCCTGGCTGTAGTGCAGTGGCACACCTCACTGCAGCCTCAACCAGCCAGGCTCAAGCGATCCTCCCACCTCAGCCTCTTGAGTATCTGGGATTACAGGTGTGGACCACCACTAATTTTATTTTATTTTTATTTTTATTTTTTTAGATAGAGTTTCACTCTTGTTGCCCAGGGTGGAGTCAACGGCACGATCTTAGCTCACTGTAACCTCCACCTCCTGGGTTCAAGTGATTCTCCTGCCTCAGCCTCCTGAGTAGCTGAGATTACAGGCATGCACCACCATGCCCAGCTAATTTTTATATTTTTAGTAGAGACAGGGTTTCACCATGTTGATCAGGCTGTTATCAAACTCCTGAGTTCAGGTGATCTGCCTGCCTTGGCCTCCCAAAGTGCTGGGATTACAGATGTAAGCCACTGCATCTGGCCTAAGGTTTGTTAATTTTGTTGAACATTTTTTTTTTTTTTTGAGACAGAGTCCCTCTCTGTCGCCAGGCTGGAGTGCAGTGGCACTATCTTGGCTCACTGCAACCTCCACCTCCCGGGTTCAAGTGATTCTCCTGCCTCACCCTCCCAAGTAGCTGGGACTACAGGCACACACCACCATGCCCAGCTAATTTTTGTATTTTTAGTGGAGATGGGGTTTCACCATATTGGCTAGGATGGTCTCAATCTCTTGACCTCGTGATCCGCCCACCTCAGCCTCCCAAAGTGCTGGGATTACAGGCGTGAGCCATCGAGCCCAGCCTTTTGTTGATCTTTTCAAACAAACAACTTTTGGTTTTTATTGATTCTCTCTATTGTTTTCTCTATTTCTTATTTCATTTATCTCTGCTCTAGTCTTCATTTCTTTCTTTCTGCTACCATTTGTTTTTCTTTTTCTACTTCCTTAGATTGTAAAGTGTGGTTGTAGATTCAACATCTTTCTCCCTTTTTCTTTTTTTTTAAATTTTTTATTGATATATAATATTTGTACATTTTTATGGGGTGCATGTGGTATTTTGTTATATGCATAGCATATGTAATGATCAAGTCAGGGCATTTAGGGTATATGCCATTGTGAAAAAACATTTAAATGGTTCATTTTCAGGGCATGATAAATCTATGTACTAGCAGCCACCCTGCAGATGTGACAAACTGAATGGCTCATGCACCTAGAAAATCATCATAAGAGAACAAGATGTAGAAGAAGGGTCAGCCCATAAAAGGTGAGAAAGTTTCATTATTGGGAAGTTGAAACATAGGCAGGGAAGGGGACCAGAGTATAACCTTATAAGGGGATAATGAAACTTAGGTGACGTCTGGGAAGATTGTAACCCTGTAGTACTCAACCAGTAAGGAACTGGGGGAAAGACTTGCATGCTAGGAGATAAATTACCTGCTGTAACTGCCCCAGGTGTGCCTGCCTACCAGACATCTGATCTTGCAAGATTGCCATTAAAAGTCTTGCTTCTGCTGCACTTCCTGTCTCTGAGTCCATTATTTGATTTTGGACAGGTGAGCGTTTCTCACAAACTTGGGGGCTCATCCAGGATCTCTGTGCCTGCATGGAATGGGACTCCAGCCAAGAGGGGAGACACATCTCACCCAATTTTAGGTGGCCCGCTCTGTGCAGGTGTCCCAGCTCCCCACATAGGCCATAGACAAACCTGAGATTGTTATTCAGCAGGCAGCAGAGGTGACATAGGGAGAAAAGCAGACACTATGGCAACCAGGCAACCTTGTGCATGAGCCAAGGTAGGAAAACCAGACTGTAAGTACCACCTTGGTGGTTGGGCATTTTTGGAGGTTGAGTGTGTGTGACTGAGACATACCCTAGATACGAAGCAAGCACGGAGTCCCAATCCACAGTTCCGTTCTCCTGCGAGGGAATCGGCAGGAAACAGATGAAGCGATTCTCAGGGTGTGCAAGAAACCTCCAGTAGGAGGGTTGAGTACATAGGGAAAGGCCCAGACACAGAGACTGGCCAAAAATGGGAAACAGAAATTCTAGGCCTAGGGACAAAGGAAAGAGGGAGCCAAAGAGACTCCCTCTGACATTCCCCCAGATAGTCCTTTGGGGTGAATGAATGTTGCAGGTTTGGAGGGACAACCCTGCAGCCAGGGACAAGGAAAAGCAAAAGTTGATAAAGTATTGCTGTTTTACCTGACCCAAAGACCCCATTCATAAGCCTTCAGTCTTTTGGCCTAAGGTTGGCTCAGATGAGGATTGGGTGTGCCAAGCTTTAATTCTCTATGTGAATGATAAAACCCCATCTGCACAGGAGAAGATAGGTTATGCTGTCTGTGGGATCAAGGAATTAGCCCCCATGTTCCCCCCTCAAAGAAGAAGAAAAAGAGCCTAGTAAAAAGCCCTTGCCCAGTGAAAAGCCCTGGGACCCCCTATCATGGGAGCCCCCTCCATATGTCTCACAAAATAGGGGACAGGGAGATCAAGGGGCAGCAGGAGAGTTAGAGAAAGAAAGACCTGGAGACCATGGGGGAGCTGAACCAACTGCTCCTTTAGACCCTTATCCAAATTTAAGAAAAGAATTAGAATAATGTAAAAGAGATATTGAGAACTTCCCTATCCCCTCCAAACAGCAAACATCTAGCATGTTCCCTCTTAGGGAAGTTCCCACAGGACAGAAAGAGATTGGCTTTGTAAACGCTCCTCTTACAAGTACTGAAGTTAGGAATTTCAAGAAGGTAATGAAACCACTCCTAGAGGATCCCCTTCATTTAGCAGACAAGTTGTACCAATTCCTAGGACCAGCTTTTATACCTGGACTGAAATAATGCCTATCATGAATATCTTATTCACAGGAGAAGAAAGAGGAATGATTAGGAGGGTGGCAATGACCATCTGGAAGAGGCAACATCCTCCGAGGAAAGGAGTCTTGCCAGCCAAACAAAAAATTTCCAAATGTCAATCCCGAATGGGATAATAATGATCCCAGGGACCAGGCCCAAATGCAGGACCTCAGGGAACTAATAATTAAAGGGATCAAATAATTGACTTCTAGGACACAAAATGTCTCAAATGTCTCAAAGATTCAACAAGAAAAAGAGGAAACTCCCTCTGCATTCCTGCAGAGGCTCAGAGATCAGATGAGAAAATACTCTGGATTAGATCTGGAGGCCCCAGTAGGGCAAGGCCTTTTGAATGTTAACTTTGTAACTAAGAGCTAGCCTGACATTACAAAAAAATTACAGAAGATTGATGGTTGGAATGAAAAATCAATTGAGGAATTACTGAGGGAAGCTCAAAAAGATCTTTGTGAGAAGAGAAGAGGAGAAACAGAAACAAAAAGCGAAAATAATGGTTTCCACTGCAGAGGAGGTAGTCAGGAAGAAGTTAGATCAAGACCCCTCTCAGAGGAGACAAGAAAATACTAGGTTTCAGCAAAAAGACAGAAGAGAAATACAAGGAAAAACTCCTAAGACTGTAAGTGGATGTTACAAGTGTGGAAAACCAGGACATTTTAAAAGAGAATGTCCAGAATGGAAAAAGGAAGAGAAGTAATCCACTGTATGACTTTTGATGAAGATTAGGGAGTCAGGGGTTCCTTGTAAGTAGGTCCCACCAGGAACTCTTGATAAATTTGAGGGTGGGACCCGATGGGGAAGAAGTAACATTTTTGCTTGATACTGGGCTGTCTCTCTCCTTCCTAATTAATCAACCAAGGGGTACAGGACTCGAAGGAAAAATTGACAGTATCAGGGGTAAAAGGGGAGGGATTTCAGGTTCTGATATTCAAGAAAATGGTAATTAGATTAGGACCAGAACAAATAGAGGGGTCACTCTTATATGTTCCTGAAGCAGGCAACTAACCTCCTGAGTTGAGACCTGATTGTGAGATTGGGTTTAGGATTAGGAATAGAGGAAGGACAAATAAAAGTAATGATGGGCCTCCTAACAGAGGAGCAGGAAAGAAAAGATGTCCCCTAGACTTTAGGAGTAGGGATCTCTTTGCCTTTGAATGGGAAAATCCCATAACTGGCAGAAAACAACAGTACTGCTGGACTGTGCTGCCACAAGGCTTCACAGATGCCTCAAACTTATTTGGTCAAATCTTAGAAAAAGTCCTGAAGGAATTCCAACCTTCCAGGGGAAACCAGTTATTACAATATGTAGATGATCTTTTAATTTCTAGGGAGAGGAAGACCAAAGTATCAGAAACCACCATAAGCTTGCTTAATTCCCTAGGAGAAAGGGGGTTGCAAATCTCTAAGAACAAATTGCAGTTTGTAGAAAAATAAGTTAAATATTTAGGATACCTGATTAATGAAGGGAGGTGGAGAATAAACCCAGAAAGAATACCAGGAATAGTGGGCTTCTGCCTAAGACAAAGAAAGAACTCTGAAAATTTTTAGGTTTAACTGGCTACTGGAGGTTATGGATTGACTCATGTGCTCAAAAGACAAAGATCCTGTATCTCAAGTCACAAGAAGAGGAACCTGATCCTTTGCAGTAGTCCCCAGAGGAAATTCAGGCAGTGAAAGTGAGAGGTGACAGCGTGCTGGCAGCCCTCGCAGCCCTCGCTGGCTCTCAGCACCTCCTCGGCCTCACTGGCCGTGCTTGAGGAGCCCTTCAGCCTGCAGCTGCACTATGGGAGCCCCTCTCTGGGCTGGCCGAGGCCGAAGCCAGCTCCCTCTGCTTGCAGGGAGGTGTGGAGGGAGAGGCATGGGCGGGAACCGGGGCTGCATGTGGCACTCACGGGCCAGGGCGAGTTCCAGGTGGGCACAGGCTTGGCAGGCCCCGCACTCCGAGCGGCCGGCCAGCGCCGCCGGCCCCAGGCAGTGAGGGGCTTAGCACCTGGGCCAGCAGCTGCAGAGGGGGCGCCGGGTCCCCCAGCACTGCTAGCCCGCCTGTGCCATGCTCAAATTCTCTCTGGGCCTCAGCCGCCTCCCCGCAAGGCAGGGCTCAGGAATGGCAGCCCGTCATGCCCGAGCCCCCACCCTGCAGTAGTCTCCCGCATGGCCTGAGCCTCCCCGACAGGTGCCACCCCCTGCTCCACAGTGCCTGGTCCCATCGACCGCCCAAGGGCTGAGGAATGCAGGCGTACACCCGCTGCCCCGGCGAGGGATCCACTAGGCAAAGCCAGCTGGGCTCCTGAGTCGGGTGGGGACTTGGAGAACTTTTATGTCTAGCAGGAGGATTGTATATGCACCAATCAGCACTCTGTGTCTGGCTCAGAGTTCGTGGATGCACCAATTAGCACTCTGTATCTAGCTAATCTGGTGGGGACTTGGAGAACTTTTACATCTAGCTAAAGGATTGTAAACGCACGAATCAGCACTCTGTGTCTAGCTAAAGGTTTGTAAATGCACCAATCAGTGCTCTGTACCTACCTAATCTGGTGGGGACTTGGAGAACTTTTATGTCTAGCTAGAGGATTGTAAATGCGCCAATCAGTACCCTGTGTCTAGCTAATCTGGTGGGGACTTGGAGAATCTTTATGTCTAGCTAAGGGATTGTAAATACACCAATCAGGACTCTGTGCCTAGCTCAAGGTTTGTAAACACACCAATCAGCACCCTGTGTCTAGCTAATCTGGTGGGGACTTGGAGAATCTTTATGTCTAGCTAAGGGATTGTAAATACACCAATAGCACTCTGTGTCTAGCTCAAGGTTTGTAAACACACCAGTCAGCACCCTGTGTCTAGCTCAAGGTTTGTAAATGCACCAACCAGTGCTCTGTGGGGACTTGGAGAACTTTTGTGTCTAGCTCAGGGATTGTAAACACACCAATCAGCACCCTGTCAAAATGCACCAATCAGCAGGATGTAGGTGGGGCCAGATAAGGAAATAAAAGCAGGCTGCCCCAGCCAGCAGTGGCAACCTGCTCGGGTCTCCTTTCACACTGTGGAGGCTTTGTTCTTTTGCTCTTTGCAATAAATCTTGCTGCTGCTCACTCTTTGGGTCCGCACTGCCTTTGTGAACTGTAACACTCACTGTGAAGGTCTGCAGCTTCACTCCTGAGCCAGCGAGACCACGAACCCACCAGAAGGAAGAAACTCCAAACACATCCAAACATCAGAATGAACAAACTCCAGACACTCTGGCTTTAAGAACTATAACACTCACCGCAAGGGTCTGCGGCTTCATTCTTGAAGTCAGTGAAATCAAGAACCCACCAATTCCAGACACAAAAGAGCTAAAGCAGGCCCTCCTTACAGCCCCGGTCCTGGCCCTCCCATCTTTAGAGAAACCATTCCATCTATTTGTAACAGTAGACCAGGGTGTGGCTCTTGGGGTGCTCACTCAAACCTGGGGAGGGAAGAGGCAACCTGTTGCTTTTGTCTCCAAGCTTCTCAATCCTGTCTCTTGAGGATAGCCCAAATGTGTGCAAGTAGTAGCTGCCACAGCCCTGCTGGCAGATGAGAGTCAAAAGTTAACCTTTGCTGGGGCCTAACAGTGAGCACCCCACATCGGGTCAGGAATATATTAAATCAAAAAGCCAAGAGATGGTTAATGGATTCTTGGATTCTAAAATATGAAGCCATGTTACTAGAAAAAGATGATTTGGTCATAACAACAGATACTTGCCTGAATCCAGCCAGTTTCTTATGGAAAGGAGAGAAGAACAAAGAGGCATCAGTCCATAACTGCCTTAGATATCATAGAATACCAAATCAAAGTTAGCCCAGACCTTAGAGAAGCTCCCCTACATGGTAGGATAAGCCTGTTTGTGGATGTGTCATCCAGAGTGATAGATGCCAAGAAACATAACAGTCATGCTGTCATTAATAAAAATAAACACTCCTTATGTGAGGAAGGTAGATTACCTAATGGCTGGTCAGCCCAAACTTGTGAATTATATGCTCTTAACCAGGCCATAAAGCTCCTTGAAGGCCAAGAAGGCACTATATATACTGATTCTAAATATGCCTATGGGGTGGTACACAGTTTTGGAAAAATCTGGACAGAGCAGGGCCTAATAAATAGCAAGGGAAAAGAATTGGTACTTGGGGAACTGGTCAGACAGGTTTTAGAAACCTCCTTCTTCCAGCAGAAGTAACCATAGTTCATATAAATGGTCATCAGACAGGCTGGGCGTGGTGGCTCACACCTGTAATCCCAGTACTTTGGGAGGCCGAGGTGGGTGGATCACCTGAGGTCAGGAGTTCGAGACCAGCCTGGCCAACATGGCAAAACTCTGTCTCTACTAAAAATACAAAAATTAGCCAGGCTTGGTGGCAGGTGTCTGTAATCCCAGCTACTCAGGAGACTGAGGCAGGAGAATCACTTGAACCTGGGAGGTGGAGGTTGCAGTGAGCTGAGATCACGCCATTGCACTTCAGCCTGGGAGACAAGAGAGAGACTCCATCTCAAAAATAAATAAATAAATAAATAAATAAATAAAAATAAAAGTAAATGGTCATCAGAAAGGAAACACTATAGAAGCTGCAGAAAACAGGCTTGCAGATGAAACTGCTAAGCAAGCCTCCCTGGAGAAAGAAATTAGACTATTTAGCCTGATCCCAGACATCCCTAAGGTAGTATGAAGACCCCAGCTTACCAGAGAGAAGAAAGAAGAATTAGACAGGATAGAGGGTCACTCGAACTAAAGATGGGAAATGGGTACTTCCTGATGGGAGAGAAATGATAAGTAAACCCCTGATGACAGAACTAATGTCTATATTACGCAAAGGGAGTCATTGGGAACCCCAGGCTCTGTGTGATGGAATACCTAGGAATAACTGGATCCACACCCTCACTAAACAAATATGTGGAAGTTGTGTAACTTGTCAAAGGACAAACAAAAAGGTAATTAGAAAACAGGCCACAGGAGGAAGACCTCCCAGACTGAGACCATTCCAGAGCATTCAAGTAGATTTCACAGAAATGCCTGAAGTAGGAAAACTAAAGTATTTGCTGGTGATAGCAGATTACCTTTCCAGCAGGGTGGAAGCCTTTCCCCTTCCAACAGCTACTGCCACGAATGTGATCAAAATAATCTTAGAGCAGATTATACCCCGATTTGGCTTGGTAGAAAATACTGATTCAGACAATGGGAGCCATTTTACCTCAAGGGTATTAAGGGGAATTACGGAAGGTTTACAAATTACATGGGATTATCACACCCTTTGGCATCCCCCTTCCTCTGGAAACGTAGAAAGAATGAATCAAACTCTCAAAAAGCATATTACCAAACTAATCTTAAAAACTAAAATTCGGCTGGGCACGGTGGTTCATGCCTGTAATCCCAGCACTTTGGGAAGCCGAGGCAGGTGGATCACAAGGTCAGGAAATTGAGACCATCCTGGCTAACACGGTGAAACCCTATCTCTACTAAAAAATACAAAAAATTAGCCACGCGTGGTGGCGGGCGCCTGTAGTCCCAGCTACTTGGGAGACTGAGGCAGGAGTATGGCGTGAACCCAGGAGGCGGAGCTTGCAGTGAGCCGAGATAGCGCCAATGCACTCCAGCCTTGGCGACAGAGTGAGACTCCATCTCAAAAACAAAAAAAAAAAACTAAACTAAACTAAAATTCCTTGGACCAAATGTCTTCCAGTAGCACTCCTTAGGGTAAGGACAGCCCCCAAAAACAGACTTGGGACTGTCCCCATATGAGTTATTATACAGACTCCAATATTTGGGCAGGGCTACAGATCTTCCTACTATGAAAACCAAGGACCAATTCTTAAGAAATTATATACTGGCCATATACTCCACCTTGTCATCCCTTAGGTTAAAAGGACTTCTAACTCAAACCCTGCCTCTTGAGTTCACAGTTCACCACTTCCAATCCAATGACTTGGTGCTGATTAAGACTTGGAAAGAAGATATGCTCCAACCCAGCTGGGAAGTTCCCTATCAAGTGCTCCTGACCACCAAGACAGCTGTATGAAAAGCTGAACGGGGGTGGACTCACTATACATGAGTCAAGAGACTGGTAAAAGAAACCCCAGAAGGGAGGAAGAAAGACCAGTGGAAAGTGTATCAGTTACCCGAGAAATCTTTAAAGTTGAGTCTGAAAAAAAACTTAACAAAGAAGACCATGGGAAGGCCCTACTTTTGGAAATTAATGTGGTTGGGATGGCTTACTATACAAAGGGTGGAAGGTCAAAATGGAAATTGGCAGGAGACCCCTTCCTACCCGATCAAATTGGTGATTAATGTGACTAGAACAATAGCACCCCAAACTATAGTTTGATGCCTGCCAAATTTTATCCTGTAGAAGTTTAGAAAACCAGAGGCAGCTTTCACAGGCAGATAAGTATATCTCTGCCCTGAACCAGACAAAGGCTACCGTAGGGCAAGTCCCTGACCTAGCTGGGATGATGTTTGCTGGACCACCAAATACCAGGGTTGGACTGTCAATATGGGGTGGGTAACCCCATCTTGGAGGGCCCTAAATAATAAAATACAACTGTCCAAGGGCTCCCCACCAAATAATTGTCAGAATCTACAATGTAATGCTATACTCATCTTTATTGACAACCCAGTCATTTTAAACCAAAAGCCAGAGGTAGCATCTTGAGTATATGAGTTAGGGGCAGATATTATTGGGAGGGATCCTTTAGGTAGATTTATCCTCAAGTTAGTCGAGAACTCAACCTCTCATTTGCCTGGGACCACTCCAACTCCAGACCCCAACAAACACTCTAGTTCACCCAACAATAATCCTAAAAGAATAGAAATAATTGAAGGATTTAAGGCAAACCTTAGAAATTGGGACGGGGGCCATGTGCGGTGGCTCACACCTGTAATCCCAGCACTTTGGGAGGCTAAGGCGGGTGGATCACCTGAGGCCCGGAGTTTGAGACCAGCCTGGCCAACATGGCGAAAACCCGTCCCTATTAAAAATACAAAAATTAGCCTGGCATGGTGGCATGTGCCTGTAATCCCAGCTACTAGTGGGGCTGAGGCAGGAGAATAGCTTGAACCTGGGAGGCGGAGGTTGCAGTGAGCCGTGATTGTGCCACTGCACTCCAGCCTGGGCAACAGAGTGAGACTCTATCTCAAAAAAAAGAAAGGAAAGAAGGAAAGAAAAGAAAGAAAAAGGAAGGACAGAAGGAAGGAAGGAAGGAAGGAAAGAAGGGGGAAAAAGGCAAAAGAAATTGAGACAGGGTAAGCAGATGTGAATGCCTGGGTCAAATAGGTCAAATTTTTGGTACAAGCCCTCAACAAGAGTAACTGCTACATGTGTGCTGCAGGATGACCACAAGCACAGGTGGTTCCGTTTCCCCTAGGACGGGATACCAATCCTGAAGGAATGCATTGCATGTTGGCTCTATACCAGGACAAGAATGCATGGGGAGATGAGACTTGTAAGAGTCTGTCATTACTCTTTCCTGCATTGCAGAGGTCGGATCCCACAGCAATCCCCTCATTCTCTATAGGGAGTATGAACCACTCCTCTTGTCTCTCCAGGCAGGAGGCTGAGTTCAATAAGTCCATGGGAGAACTCTTGACTTGTACCCACATCCTAAACGTCACTGGTGAGTCAGGCAATGGCAATTACTCAGTTCTCCATATACCCTGGGCTGATGTCTGGTGGTACTGTGGGAAGAGGAACCTCCATAACCTGTTACGGTCCAATTGGACCGGTACTTGTGCTTTAGTCCAACTGGCTGTTCCCTTTACCCTGGCATTCCATAAGATACCTGAAAATTCACATGGCCACCAAAACCGGAGACATTTAACAAATTCCTTTAATCCCAATATCTACATTGACACAGTGAGTCCCCAGGGGGGTGCCTAATTAATTCAAGGCCCAAAACCAAATAGCTGTGGGGTTTGAGTCAGCACTCTTCTGCTGGTCAACTATTAACAAAAAAGTAGATTGGATTAATTACATCTATTATAATCAACAGACATTCATTATACTCAAGATGCCCTCAAGGGGGTGGCTAGCCAGTTAGATGCCACCAGCCTAGGAAAACAGGTTTGCATTAGATATGATATTAGCAGAAAAAGGAGGTGTATGTGTTATGCTAGGTGGAAAATGTTGTACTTTCATTCCCAATAATACTGCCCCAGATAGAACTATCACAAAGGCATTACAAGGGCTAACAACCCTAGCCAACAAACTGGCAGAAAATGCTGGGATTGATGACCCATTTATAGACTGGCTAGAAAGATGGTTTAAAAAATGGAAAGGTGGGCCAGGCCCGGTGGCTCACACGTGTAATCCCAGCACTTTGGGAGGCCGAGGCGGGTGGATCACGAGGTCAGGCGATCAAGACCATCCTGCCTAACATGGTGAAACCCCGTCTCTACTAAAAATACAAAAAAATTAGCAGGGCGTGGTGGCAGGTGCCTGTAGTCCCAGCTACTCGGGAGGCTGAGGAGAGGAGGAGCTACTCAGGAAGAGAATGGCTTGAACCCGGGAGGCAGAGCTTGCAGTGAGCCGAGATCGCGTCACTGCACTTCAGCCTGGGCGACTGAATGAGACTCTGTCTCAAAAAAAAAAAAAAAAAAAAATGGAAAGGTGGCTGGGCATGGTGGCTCACGCCTATAATCCCAGCACTTTGGGAGGCCGAGTGGGGCGGATCATAAGTTCAGAAGTTTGAGACCAGCCTGGCCAATATGATGAAACTCTGTCTCTATTAAAAATACAAAAATTAGCCAGGCATGGTGGTGTGTGCCTGTAGACCCAGGTACTTGGAAGGCTGAGGCAGGAGAATCGCTTGAACCTGGGAGGCAGAGATTGCAATGAGCTGAGTTTGCACCACTGCACTCCAGCCTGGGCTACAGTGAAACTTCATCTCAAAAAAAAAAAAAAAAAAAAAAAAAGGAAAGGCATGGTACATGGTAGCTTCAATCCTTACATCTCTCATAATTGTAGCAGAAGTCTTAGCAGTGGGATGTTGTATTATCCTTTGTGTGAGGGGACTAGCACAGAGATTAACTGAAACATCTATTTTTTCTTTTCTTTTTTTTTTTGGAGTCTCCTTCTATCGCCCAGGCTGGAGTGCAGTAGCACGATCTCAGCTCACTGCAACCTCTGCCTCTCGGGTTCAAGCAATTCTCCTGCCTCAGCCTCTGGAGTAGCTACGATTACAGGTGTGCACCACCATGCCAGGCTGATTTTTGTATTTTTAGTAGAGATGGGGTGCTGTTATGTTGGCCTGACCTCAAGTGATCCGCCTGCCTCAGCCTCCCAAAGTGCTGGGATTACAGGCATGAGCCACCGCGCCCGGCCTGAAACAGCTATTAATAAACAAATGCCCATGATTTACCAGAAAAATAACCTACTACTATTAGAAACCAAATTAAACTCACTCTCCTATGAGGAAGAAAGTAAATGACTTCTAGAGCAATTTCAGGACCAAAAGGGTTTAGATAAAAATGAGACTGAGGAAAGTAAATAGAAAAGAGGAGGGAATTTGTGAGAGAATATTTTAAATGGTCTATTTTCAAGGCATGATAAATCTGTGTACTGGCAGCCAGCCTGCAGATGTGACAAACCGAACAACTCATGCACCTAGAAAGTCACGATAAGAGAACAGAATGTAGAGGAGGGGTCAGCCCATAAAAGGGAAGAAAGTTTCATTATTGGGAAATTGAAACTTAAGTGAGGAAGGGGACTGGGGTATAACCTTATAAGGGGATAATGAAACTTAGGCGATGTCCGGGAAGATTGTAACCCCATAGTACTAGACCAACGAGGAGCTGGGGGAGGGCCTTGCGTGCTAGGAGATAAATTACCTGTTGTAACTGCCCCGGGTATGCCTGCCTACCGGACACCTGATCTTGCAAGACCGCCATTAAGTCTCGCTTCTGCTGCATTTCGTGTCTCTGAGTCCATTCTTTGATTTTGGACAGGTGAGGGTTTCTCATAATCACTTCAAGTATTTATCATTTCTATGTGTTAGGAACCTTTAAAGTCCTCTCTTCTAGCTATTTTGAAATAGACAATATATTGTTGCAAATTATAGTCACCCTACTCTGCTGTGGAATATTGGAACTTATTCCTTCTATTTAACTGTATGTTTGTGTCCATTAACCCATCTCCCTCAGGCTCTAGGGACTTTGTGTTTTGGCTCTGTTTGCCCCAGGGGCAGCTTCCCTGGTGTGCTATACTACCTGTTCCCTAGGGTACAAGATACTGTGTGCTAGAGCAACCACATCAGAGGGAACCTCTACTGGGTCCAACCACGTCTGCTGCTTCAGCCCTCCAGGTGGACACAGGTGGATGTCAGTGAGGCTCCAGAGATGTGGAGATGCAAGGGCTGTTGGGCCCCAGGACAGAATGCAGTCTGATAGGTGCTTAGCTCTAAAAATGATCCCATGCTGCAGCTGCTTAGGGGTCATGGAGGAGGGGTGTGGGACCCAGTGTGAGCTCCCTCTCTAGAGCACTGACGTCACACAGTCTCCAGGCAGCTCCTACACTATTCTCAGGGCCTGCAAGGATCACGAGGTTCTCCCATGTCTCGGGTTTCAGGTGGGAATGTGGATCACTAGGGATCTCTCATTTACACTTTCCCACACTGGGGAAACTCCTTGGCCTCCCAGCCAATCCTGGCCTGCAGAGCTGGCTGTCTCGCTTCCCTCTCCTCCTGTGCCTCAGGTGTTTCCTGTCACTTCCCTGTTGAGTTCCAGTGGTCTCCCTTAGATGCTTGATTCAAAGTATTATTATCTATTCGCTATTTTGGTTCTTCTTTGTGGAGGAGGCAAGTGCAAGATGCCTCCAGTCAGCCATCTTCTTTTTGTGTTACCAAAACACGAGGGGTTCAGTCCAGGTCCTGCTGCTCGCCACACTGAAAGCCAATGACTGAGACGACAAGTATTGCCAAGGAAGAAGGCTTTAATCGGGTGCTGCAGCCCAGGATATGGGAGCTCAGCCTCAAATCCATCTCCCTGACTGACTAAAACAAAGGGTTTATATAGCAGGGAAGAAATGTAACAATGTGTAGGCAAACAGGAACTAGAGAAGGGTAAGAAAGCAATCGCGATGAATGAGGGGTCCAAAGTCTATCCAAATGTAATGATCTGATGAGTTTCAGTTTTCTTTTTTTTTTTAAAAGGCCTAAGGGTCCTTTCCTGAGGAAGGAACTCAAGTAGAACAAATATAAGGTTCAAGCTTTAAGATCAGAAAGGTCAATTTCTATGTTTATCCAAAAGAACAGTCTATGGGACTATTGGGTTGGTTTCAGTGCCCCCTTTCTATTGATCAATTCCTCAATCATGAGGAATCTGGTTGTCTATCTTTCTGGCTGCTTCATAATGAGGAGGGGTGTCATAGGCAGCTCCATACCATGGGTGACCATGTAGCCATCCAGGGATCAAAGGTTAATCTAATGTAGAGTTTCTTCTGACACATGATATTTCTCTCTACAGTCCACTGCTTCCACCAAAGACAAATCACAGCAGGACCAATCTACCTGCAAAATAAGCTGCAGTCCCATATAATCGACCTGATTACCCACACACAGTGCAGCAAGAATCATTGTCCATATAGACTCTCCCAAATCAGCTTTGCTGGAACATCTCACAAGACCATTTCAGTCAAAGCCCTGAGAAAATAACCAGTTCCTGGCCAGGTGTGGTGGCTCACACCTGTAATCCCAGCACTTTGGGAGGCCGAGGTGGGTGGATCATGAGGTCAGGAGATCGAGACCATCCTGGCTAACATGGTGAAACCCTGTCTCTCCTAAAAATACAAAAAAAAAAAATTAGCCAGGCGTGGTGGTGGGCACCTGTGGTCCCAGCTATTCGGGAGGCTAAGGCAGGAGAATGGCGTGAACCCAGGAGGCGGAGCTTGCAGTGAGCCAAGATCATGCCACTGCACTCCAGCCTGGGTGACAGAGCAAGGCTCTGTCTCAAAATAATAATAATAATAATAATAATAATGATAATAAAACCAGTTCCTTCAATTGTGCCCTGTTACAAAAGAAAATATGTTGTTGGTTTTTTTTTTTTTTTTTTTTTTTGAGATGGACACTCGCTCTGTTGCCCAGGCTGGAGTGCAGTGGCACAATCTTGGCTCATTGCAAGCTCTGCCTCCTGGGTTCACGTCATTCTCCTGCCTCAGCCTTGCGAGTAGGTGGGACTACAGACGCCCACCACCACGCCCAGCTAATTTTTTGTGTTTTTAGTAGAGATGGGGTTTCACCGTGTTAGCCAGGATGGTCTCGACCTCCTGACCTCGTGATCCGCCCACCTCGGCCTCCCAGAGTGCTGGGATTACAGGAGTGAGCCACCGCGCCTGGCTGAAAATATGTTGTTATTAAGTATATGCAAACATATACATTGCCATGAATTAAGAATATTCACAAATAGTTTACAAATTTTGGAGAAATTAGGCAGAGAGAGATATATGACTCAAATTCTGTTTACAAAAGTATACTCAGCTGGGTGCGATGGCTCACGTCTGTAATCCCAGCACTTTGGGAGGCTGAGGCTGGTGGATCACTTGAGGTCAGGAGTTTGAGACCAGCCTGGCCAACATGGTGAAACCCTGTCTCCACTAAAAATACAAAAATTAGCCAGACATGGTGGCGCACGCCTGTAATCCCAGCTACTCAGGAGGCTGGGGCAGGAGAATCACTTGGGTCCAGGAGGCGGAGGTTGCAGTGAGCCAAGATCACGCCACTGCACTCTAGCCTGGGCAACAGAGTGACACTCCATCTCAAAAAAATTAAAAAGTACACTGCACTTTTGCTGGGTGCAGTGGCTAGCACTTTGGGAGGCTAAGGCAAGCAGATCAGCTGAGGTCAGGAGTTCAAGACCAGCCTGGCCAACATGGCAAAATCCCATCTATACTGAAAATACAAAAATTAGCTGGGAGTGGTGGTGCACACCTGTAATCCCAGCTACTCAGTAGGCTGAGGCAGGATAATTGCTTGAACCCAGGAGGTGGAGGTTGCAGTGAGTCAAGATCACACCATTGCACTCCAGCCTGGGCAACAGAGCGAGACTCCATCTCAAAAAAAAAAAAAAAGTATACTCCACTTAATACACTTAAAGTATGCTTAAAGGCTATAAACAGCTCAAAAGGAAAAATTATTCAGACTCTGAAAAAACAAAAAGAATCAGCAATATAGCTGGGCGTGGTCACTCACACCTGTAATCCCAGCAGTTTGGGAGGCTGAGGTGGGTGGACCACCTGAGGTCAGGAGTTCGAGACCAGCCTGACCAACATAGAGAAACCCTGTCTCTACTAAAAATACAAAATTAGCTGGGCATGGTGATGCATGCCTGAAATGCCAGCTACTCAGGAGGCTGAGGCAGGAGAATCACTTGAACCTGGGAGGCAGAGGTTGCAGTGAGCCAAGATCCGCCACTGCACTCCAGCCTGAGCAACAAGAGGGAAACTCCGTCTCAAACAAACAAACAAACAAAAGAATCAGCAATATTTCAAACAAAAAGCCATAAAAACTATTTCAGTTTCAGTTTCAATTCATGCAATCAACTCTTGCTCTGTTTCATATTGAGTTAGCAATCTTTATGAACACACCAGCTTTTCAATTACAGTCCTGGAAGTTTTCTCTCTAATTCAGTGGCACAAACCCCAAAGTTATCAGAAACCTGCAAATCAAAAGTCCTTTTAATGAACTCCTCCAAAGAAGCAAGCCCTGGACTGTAGCTGATTGTAAGTCACTTTTTGAGAAGAATCAAAGCAAAACATCGATTGTGGTTGACAAAAGTCTTTTTTTTTTTTTTGAGACAGAGTCTTGCTTTGTTCCCTGGCCTAGAGCACAGTAACACAATCTCAGCTCACTGCAATCTCTGCCTCCTAGGTTCAAGCAATTCTCCTGCCTCAGTCTCCTGAGTACCTGGGACTACAGGTGTTCGCTGCAGATCTGAGCCTCCCTGTGCTCTTGTTGGGGCCAGGAGCAGGCAGGATCCATCCCTTCCTGGGTGCAGCTGCAGCAACTTGGTCCACAGCTCCAGATACAGGCCTCCAGTTCCACAGAGCAGGCAGGAACCCCACCCCGCTGTGGGGTGCTGCAGCCGCCCAAATTGGGGCTGCAGACCCAGGCATCCCTGCACTCTTGGGGGGCCTGAAAAGGCCCCCTCCTTGCCCTTGTAGGCTCAGAGTTGCCTGCTCCTGCTGCTTGGCCTCTCCCTGCTCTTGCTGCTTGGCCTTTCCCTGCTCCCGGTGCCCACTCTGATCTTGGACCAGGCTTGGGGCCAAGTCCAGGGGCTGTCACAGTGCTGCCAGGTGTGTGCAAGCTCAGGGCAGTGCTGACACGCCAGTCCCCTGCTGCCCTGCCCCCCTCTGGACTTTGGGCACTGAGGAGTGCAGGAAGGGAAGTTGAGAGGGGCTGAGAGTGACTGGTGCTGGCCTGCAGGTGCCCCTTGGTGCCAGCAGCCTGGGCACTATGGATGGCTGTGGAAGGCAGACAGGCTCCTGGGTGGAAGGGGGCAAGTCCCCAGTGAAGCCCCACCTTCATGCCAGGACAGGCCTGAAGTGTGGGGGCCAGGCTGCCATTCCTGCTGATTGGAGGAGGAACTCATGGTGCTTTTTCCTGTGGACCAGTCAGCACACACTCCCTTCCCCGAGCCACATAAAAGCCCTGGGCTCAGCCACAGCAGGGCAGAGGTTGGGGAGACAACAAGAGGACCAAATGCAGAGAGGAGCTATTCCCCCTGCTGATAGCTAGAGACAATGGGATGGCCAGCTGGCAGAAAGGAGCTACCCTCTCTGCTAAGAGCTTCAGAGACCAGAAGAGACATTGCGTGGACCAGCTTCAGAGAGGAGCCATCCTCTCCAGGGCCTCCTCTCTGCTGAGGGCAGCATACGTCAAGATGACCAGTAGCAGACAGGAGCTGTCCTCTCCAGGGCCTCCTCTCTGCTGAGAGCAGCAGACGTTGGGACAACGAGTAACAGAAAGGAGCTACCCACTGTGCGTCTCCCCTGAGCTGCTCTAATACTAAATAAAGCTCCTCTTTGTCTGGTTCACTTGCCTGAGTACCTCATTCTTCCTGAACGCAGGACAAGAACTCAGGCAAAGCACCACTGGCCACAGAGGTTTCTGGCCAGAAAAATTGACATCCAGTGATCCCGTAATACTACTTTTCAAAAAATTTTCATGAAGATCATTTGTTTTGGCTGGGTTTATAATTTTATAACCTTCTATGCCAAACCCTGAAACCTCAAAATATCTACCAGAGACAAATATAAAATCCAGACAAAAATGTATGCTCACAATTTTGAAGACATTTTTATTTTCATTTTACCAATAATTTTACAGCCAGCTGGTTTCGAAAAAATTTACTTAACTCACACGAACTTGAAAATTGCTTTGACTTATTTAATTTATGAGTGCTGTTTTACTTATAAGCCAATTTGGTAGACACAACATATACCAATAAGGGTACATACAAATAAACACATCTAAACATGAATATACACACATAAACAAAGATCCAATAGCTTTTACCTTGGAACTATAGCTATGAGATAGCAATACAAGCTTACTGGTTTTACATGGTTACACTTTGTCCCAGTAGGTAATTCAGTGAAGGCTGTGAATCAAAATTTTGGGTATAGTAGTTTCCATGGCAGTTTGATTTTTAAAGGCCAAACCTCCTCAGACTCCAAAGAACATTGGGGTCAAACAGCAACAAAGGAGAACATCACATACCTGCCAGGCCCAACCTTGCTTAGAACAGCAGCACAAAAGCCTGGATACACACAACTCCATCCCACTTTCCCATTCAGCAGCAAACTCCAGATTCCAAACAGCAAACGCCAGATTCCAAACAACACTGGGGCCAACAGTATTGCAAATGAATATCAGTTTACCGAATTCTAACTTCTCATGACTATATAAAACACACACAAATGATCACCAAAACACAATCCAACTGCTGCAGCAAAAAACAAGCCCCAAGAGTGTCCAAACTCAAACAGTCAGGGTGCTTCCTCTCTTCATTGGTTGGGCTTGATCAAATGCAAACAAAAATTCCTTAGGAAATTTCCCAAATTGAGAGGAACTGATCCCGCTGTCTGGTACACACACGAGGCACTCACTTGCCCAGACACAACATACAATTATAAACTAGCCCCCAAGAGTGTCCACATAAAAACAGTCAGGGTGTTTCCCTCCCTCAGTCAGTTGGGCTTGTTCAACCTGCAAATGAAAATTCTTTTAAAAATTTCCCAAATTGAGAGGAGCAAATCCTGCTGTCTGGGCCCACAAAGGATACTCACCTATCTGGATGCAGATGTCCAATTTCGAAGGCTATTCTTCCAAGGCAATCAGGAGGATGGTTGGGGCTGACCATGGTGGGGCCAGAGAGAAACTGAAACTCACTTCCAGCTGATATTGGTCAATAGATGGGCATGGTGCATGCCTGTAGTCCAGCTACTGGGGAGGCTGAGGCAGGAGAATAACTTGAACCTGGTGAAGTGGCTACATTGTCTGGGGTATATGCCCTCAGGTATATATTTATCATTGTCACAGGCCAGGAAAATTTAGGACACAGACACACACAAGGGGTTTAGGAGCAGAGGTTTAATAGGTAGAAGAGAAAAGAGAAATAGCTTCCTCTATAGAAGAAGAGGTCTCCGAATGGAAAGGACTGGCTGGTAGTGAAGACACCAGTTTGAGGAGGCAGTGTCTGATTTAGTGTGGACTGTTTTAATGTGTCTTGATTTACATAGGGCTCACAGATTGGTTTGATCAGCTATGACGTTTACATAGTGCTCAGGAAAGGCTGGTTGCCCCACCCTAATCTTGTTACGCAAATGGCCTTTCCAGTTGATCGACACCATCTGTTTTTTTTTTCTTTTTCTTTTTTTTTTTTTTTTTTTTTGAGACAGAGTTTTGCTCTCGTTATCCAGGCTGGAGTGCAATGGTGCGATCTCAGCTCGCTGCAACTTCTGACTCCCCGGTTCAAGCAATTCTCCTGCCTCAGCCGCCTGAGCAGCTGGGACTATAGGCGCCCACCACCACGCCCAGCTAATTTTTATATTTTTAGTAGAGGCGAGGTGATCGACACCATCTGGTCTGCTCCTTACAGTACACATGACTGGCAGAGAAGGGAAGATGAAGTCGCTATCTTGAACATGTCTACTCCTTAGTTCCTGCTGGCATTCACCCTTGCAAACTCCCAGGTTTCAGGCTGCTCTTTGTTAGAAAATGATTTGGGGCAGCTTTTCATTAAAAAAGAAAAAGAAAAGCCTTACTGAGGATTCCCGTACCCTGGCTATCTGCCCAAGTGATTTCTTCTGACTCCTATAGCACTGGGAGGCAGAGGTTGCAGTGAGCCAAGATTGTGCCACTGCACTACAGCCTGGGTGACACTGTGAGACTCCATCTCAAAGGAAATAAAATAAAATAATAAAATAAAATAAAATTTGTCAGGCAGCTGCATAAGAGGGCTTCTGAGACTCCACCCATGGCAGCTGAGCCACAAGCAACATGTTCCCAGTCAGGGAACCAAAATATGTTATTGAAACATCAGGGGTTCAGTCTAGGTCCTACAGCTCGCTGCACAGAAAGCCAATGACTGAGATGACAAGTATTGCCAAGGAAGAAGGCTTTAATCGGGTGCTGCAGCTGAGAAGATGGGAGCTCAAAACCTCAAATCCATCTCCCTGATCAACTAAAACAAGGGTTTTATACAGAGGGGAAGAAATGTAATGTGTAAGAAAACAGGAAGTAGGGAGGGCCAAGGAAGTAATCATGATGAATGAGGGGTCCAAAGTCTCATTGTCTGGATGTAGTGATCTGGTGAGTTTCAGTTCATTGATACTTTTTTTTTGCGGGGGAGAAGCCTGAAGGTCATTTACTAATGAAGGAACTCAAATAAAGCAAATATAAGTTTCAAGCTTTAAGACCAGAAAGATAAATTTTTATGTTTATCCAAAACAATAGTCTCTGGAACTATTGGGTTGATTTCATTTGTTTGTTTTTTACCTTTTAAGTTCAGGGGTACATGTGCAGGTTTGTTATATAAGCAAATTTGTACTTGTCACAGCGGTTTGTTGTACAGATTATTTCTTCACCCAAGTATAAAGTCTAGTATTAGTTATTTTTTCTGATCCTCTCTCTCCTCCCATCTTCCACCCTCCAGTAGGCTCCAGTGTCTGTTGTTCCCCTCTTTGTGCCAATGTGTTCTCATCATTTACCTCCCACTTATAAGTGAGAACATGCAGTGATATGTTTGGCTCTGTGTCCCCACCCAGATCTCATCTTGTAGCTCCAATAAGATGTGGGAGGGACCCAGTGGGAGATGACTGAATCATGGGGGTGGGTCTTTCCTGTGCTGTTCTGGTGATAGTGAATGGGTCTCAAAAGATCTGATGGTTTTAAAAATGGGAGTTTCTCAGCACAAGTTCTCTTTTTGCCTACTGCCATCCACGTAAGTTGTAACTTGCTCCTCCTTGTCTTTCTACTGTGATTGTGCGGCCTCCCAGCCATGTGGAACTGTAAGCCCATTAAACTTCTTTCTTTTGTAAATTGCCCAGCTTCAGGTATGTCTTTATCAGCAGCATGAAAATGGACTAATACAGTAAATTAGTACCAGGAGTGGAGTGTTGCTGAAAAGATACCTGAAAATGTGGAAGCAACTTCAGAACTGGGTAACAGGGAGAGGCTGAAACTATTTAGAGGGCTCAGAAGAAGAGAGAAAAATGTGGAAAAGATTGGAACTTCCTAGAGACTTGTTGAGTGGCTTTGACAAAAATGCTGATAATGGGTCAGGCATGGTGGCTCACACCTGTAATCCCAACACTTTGGGGGGCCGAGGCGGGCAGATGACCTGACATCGGGAGTTCAAGACCAGCCTGACCAACATGGAGAAACCCCTTCTCTACTAAAAATACAAAATTAGCCAGGCGTGGTGGTGCATGCCTGTAATCTCAGCTACCCGGGAGGCTGAGGCAGAAGAATCACTTACCTAGGAGGTGGAGGTTGTGGTGAGCCAAGATCACACCATTGCATTCCAGCATGGGCAACAAGAGCGAAACTCCGTCTCAAAAAAAAAAAAATGTTGATAGTGATATGAACAATAAGGTCCAGACTGAGGTGGTCTCAGATGGAGATGAGGAACTTGTTGGGAACTGGAGCAAAGGTGACTCTTGTTATGTTTTAGCAAAGAGACTGGCAGCATTTTGCCCCTGCCCTAGAGATTTATGGAACTTTGAACTTGAGAGAGATGATTTAGGGTATCCGGTGGAAAAAAGTTTCTAAGTAGCAAAGCATTCAAGAGGTGACTTGGGTGCTGTTAAAGGCATTCAGTTTTGGTTTTGTTTTTTTTTTTCAGACGGAGTCTTGCTCTGTTGCCCAGGCTGGAGTGCAGTAGCACAATCTCGGCTCACTGCAAGCTCCACCTCCCAGGTTCACACATTCTCCTGCCTCAGCCTCCCGAGTAGCTGGGACTACAGGCGCCCACCACCACGCCCGGCTAATTTTTTGTATTTTTTAGTAGAGACAGGGTTTCACCGTGTTAGCCAGGATGGTCTCGATCTCCTGACCTCGTGATCTGCCCACCTCAGCCTCCCAAAGTGCTGGTATTACAGGCGTGAGCCACCGCGCCCAGCCGGCATTCAGTTTTAAAAGGGAAACAGGGCATAAAAGCTTGGAAAATGTGCAGCCTGACAATGCGATAGAAAAAAAAATCCCATTTTCTGAGGAGAAATTCAAGCTGGCTGCAGAAATTTGCATGAGTAATGAGGACCCGAATGTTAATCCCCAAGACAATGGGGAAAATGTCTCCAGTGCATGTCAGAAGTCTTCACAGCATCCCTTCCCATCACAGGCCAAGAGGCCTAGGAGGAAAAATTAGTTTTGTGGGCTGGGCCAAGGGTTCCTGTGCTGTGTGCAGCATAGGGACTTAGTGCCTGTAATCCCAGCTACTTGGGAGGCTGAGGCAGGAGAATCACTTGAACCCAGGAAGCAAAGGTTGCAGTGACCCGAGATCTCACCACTTCAGCCTGGGCTGTGTCTCAATTTAAAAAAATAAAAATAAAAAATAAACAAGGCCAGAAGCAATGGCTCACGCCTGTAATCCCAGCACTTTGGGAGGCCAAGGCAGGTGGATCGCGAGGTCAGGAGATCGAGACCATCCTGGCTAACATGGTGAGACCCCGTCTTTACTAAAAATACAAAAATCAGCCAGGCGTGGTGGTGGTGCCTGTAGTCCCGGCTACTCAGGAGGCTGAGGAAGGAGAATGGCATGAACCTGGGAGGCGGAGCTTGCAGTGAGCCGAGATAGTGCCACTGCACTCCAGCCTGGGTGACAGAGCAAGACCCTGTCTCAAAATAAATAAAATAAAAATGCCAAGGCCAGGCGTGGTAGCTCATGCCTGTAATCCCAGCACTTTGGGAGGCCGAGGCAGGCAGATCACGAGGTCAGGAGTTCAAGACCAGCCTGGCCAAGATGGTGAAACCCCGTCTCTACTAAAAATACAAAAATTAGCTGGGTGTGGTGGCAGCGCCTGTAATCCCAGCTACTCGGGAGGCTGAGGCAGAGAATTGCTTGAACCAAGGAAGCGGATGTTGCAGTGAGCCAAGATCGCGCCACTGCACTCCAGCCTCGGCAACACAGCAAGACTCCATCTCAATAAATAAACAAACAAACAAACAAACAAATCTTTCATTCTGTAGCATTTCAAATTAAGGGGAGAAAAAAATAAATTGGCCAGGCTTGGTGACTCATGCCTGTAATCCCAGCACTTTGGGAGGCCAAGGAAGGCAGATCCACTTGAAGTCAGGAGTTTGAGACCAGCCTGGCCAACATGGTGAAACCCTGTCTCTACTAAAAATACAAAAATTAGCTGGTCATGGTGGCGTGCACCTGTAGTCTCAGCTACTCAGGAGGCTGAGGCAGGAGAATCACTTGAACCTGGGAGGCAGAGGTTGCAGTGAGCTGAGATTGCGCTACTGAACTCCAGCCTCGCGACAGAGCGAGACTCCCTCTCAAAAAATAAATAAATAAATAATTAAGAGGCAGAGGGGGTGGGGCAAAAAAATAATAATAAAATTAAATTATTGATACTGTCCTTAAAGTGGTTATTTTTATAATCCATTATAGTAAAAGTTTCTCAAAAAGCGGCCGAGTGCAGTGGCTCATGCCTGTAATCCATGACTGGGTTCGGCTTTAAAAAGTCTTATCTGAGAATCCTCCTATGGAACAAGTTCCATCAAAGCCAATTTAAAAGCCTACATTAAAAAAATGATTATTCTTGCTGCACTGTATACAAATAATTATGCCAAGTGTAATAAAGCAAACCAGTCCTACCATGATTTGTCTTTAGTAAAAATGGGAAACTGGAGAGAGAAAAATTATGTTTTAAAACTATAGTACACCTGTTGTTAGATTCTAGTCTTGCCTAATATTTTTTCAATTTTTATTGTTTTCTTTTCTTTTCTTTTCTTTTTTTAGAGACGGAGTCTCGCTCTTTCGCCCAGGCCGGACTGCAGTGGCGCTATCTCGGCTCACTGCAAGCTCCACCTCCCGGGTTCATGCCATTCTCCTGCCTCAGCCTCCCGAGTAGCTGGGATTACAGACGCCCGCCACCGCGCCCGGCTAATTTTTTGTATTTTTAGTAGAGATGGGATTTCACCGTGTTAGCCAAGATGGTCTCGATCTCCTAACCTTGTGATCCGCCCGCCTCGGCCTCCCAAAGTGCTGGGATTACAGGCGTGAGCCACCGCGCCCGGCCAATTTTTATTGTTTTCTACAGTTTGAACCAAATTCTAATTTTTCTTAGCTACAAGACTTCAAAATACTGTTTTCATTTTTTTTTCTTCTTTTTCCCCCATTTTTCCTAATTTGGATTCACTGAAAACTAAACTGTGCTTTCTTAATGCCCTGTGAACTGAAGCCAGACAATTTAAGTGTCAGAAGAAAATAACAGCCACCTATTTATATACATAAGCCACTTTCATACCTGCCTACTAATGTATGGACTTCAGAGTAATGTTGCCTATATCAATTTTTCCAGGATTATTCTTTTGTTTGTTGTTGTTTTTCTTTCTTCCTCCCCCCATTTTCTCTTCATAGGACATGAGACTTCACAACCTGCTAAAAATGAGCTTCCAGGACCTACCCGTCTAGGAATAAAGTGTCCTAAAATAGCCACAAGAGATCAGATGAAACGTGAGACCAGAGACTCATTTTCTTCTAAAATGCTTTCTCCAACAGATTTTTAAGAAGAAAAGAGGCAGGAGCAGGTGGAGTGGCTCACGCCTGTAATCCCAGTACTTTGGGAGGCCGAGGCAGGTGGATTACCCGAGGTCAGGAGTTCGAGACCAGCCTGGCCAACATGGTGAAACCCTGTCTTGACTAAATGTACAAAAATTAGCCGGGCGTTCTGGGAAGCGCCTGTAATCCCAGCTACTCAGGAGACTGAGGCAGAAGAATTGCTTAAACCCAGGAGGTGGAGGTTGCAGTGAGCCTAGATCACGCCACTGTACTCCAGCCTGGGCGACAGACTGAGACTCCATTTCAAAAAACAAACAAATAAAAAAATAGTATAACAACTACTTGCATAGAGTTTACATTGTATTAAGTATTATGAGTAATCTAGAATGATTTAATGTATACAGGAAGATGTTCATAGGTTAAATGCAAGTACTGCTTATTTTATATAAGGGACTTCAGTATCTGCAGATTTTGATATCTGGTGTATTGGGGGGTTGGAACCAATCTCCCCCATACTGAAGGACGACTATACTTACTCAGTTCCAGGTACTTTGCATTAATTATCTATAACCAATAAAACAATTCTGTAATGTTATATCTCTTGGCAATGGTAATATAGTGGTAAGGACATGGATTCTGAGTCCAATTGCCTGGATTCAAGTCTCAGCTCTACGTTTCCCTGTGTGAATATGGGCAAGTAACATAACCCGTCTGCCTTATTTTCCTCACCTGTAAAATGTGGATAATACCTTCGAGGGCTGTTGTAAGGAGTAAATAAGACATATATATATATGTATGTGCATATATATATATATATATTTTTTAGATGCAGTCACGCTGTGTCGCCAGGCTGGAGTAGTGGTGCTCACAGCAACCTCTGCCTCCCAGGTTCAAGCGATTCTCCTGCCTCAGCCTCCCAGGTAGCTGGGACTACAGGTGCATGCCACCATGCCCAGCTAATTTTTTTTAGTATTTTTGGTAGAGATGAGGTTTCACCATGTTGGCCAAGATGTTCTCTATCTCCTGGCCTCGTGATCCGCCCGCCTTGGCCTCCCAAAGTGCTGGGATTACAGGCATGAGCCACCGCGCCTGGCCAAATGAGTTGTATTTTCAAGGTTTACAGGGCCTGGCTTATTGTAAGCATATAATAAAGCTTGGCTATTGTTACTATTTACATGCAAGCTGAGCTGAGCATCTCTAATCCAAAACCTGAAATCCAAAATACTCCAAAATTTGATACTTTTTAAGTGCCAACATGATGCCACAAGTGAAAAATTCCACACCTGACCTCATATGACAGGTCTCAGTCAAATGAAGTCAACATTTTGTTTCATGCACAAAATTATTTTATTTTTTGAGACAGGGTCTTGCTCTGTCACCCAGGCTGGAGTGCAGTGGCGTGATCTCAGCTCACCAAAGCCTTGACCTCCTGGGCTCAAGTGATCCGCCCACCTCAGCTTCTTTTTTTTTTTTTTAATTTTTGGAGATGGGGTCTCACTCTGTTGCCCAAGCTGGAGTGCAGTGTCACGATCTGGGCTCACTGCAAACTGCACTTCCTAGGCTGAAGAGATTCTCCTGCCTCAGCCTCCCGAAAAACTGGGATTACAGGCACCAGCTACCACTACTGACTAATTTTTGTATTTTTAGTAGAGACGGGGTTTCAACATGTTGGCCAGGCTGGTCTCCAAATGCTGGGCTCCACCTCAGCCTCCCAAAGTGCTGGAATTACAGGTGTGAGCCACTCCGCCCAGCCACAAAATTGTTTTAAAATATAATATAAAATTGGCCAGGTGTAGTGGCTCACACCTGTAATCCCAGAACTCTGGGAAGCCTAGGCGGGTGGATCACCTGAGGTCAGGAGTTCGAGATCAACCTGGCCAACATGGCGAAACCCTGTCTCTATTAAAAAATACAAAAATTTGCCAGGTGTGGTGGCACACTCCTGTAGTCCCAGCTACTCAGGAGGCTGAGGCAGGAGAATCGCTTGAACCCAGGAGGTGGAGGTTGCAGTGAGCCAAAATCGTGCCACTGCACTCCAGCCTTGCAATAGAGTGAGATTCCATCTCAAAAAAATAAATATACACACATATTTTTATGTTTATATACATAAATACATAATAAAATTATCTTCAGGCTATGTGTATAAAATGTATATGAAACGCAAATGAATTTCTTGTTTAGACTTTCGTCCCATCCCCAAGATATCTCATTATGTACATGCAAATATTCCAAAGTCCAAAAACAAAAACAAAAAAACACACAAAATCTGAAGCCCTTCTGGATAAGGGATACTCAACCTGTATAATGAAGCTGAGATAAAAATTAATGGAGTCTGGTAAAAGAAATTAGAGGAGAGTAAAAAAAAAAAATTTAATGGAGTATCATAACCCAGTATCACACAACTACTAGTGCTACAATTCAGACACGGGGCCCTTTGGTCCTTTCCACTGCTCTCTGCTGCCTTTCTCAAATGAAAAAGAGAAAATGAAAAGAAACTTTCTCCAACTTCCCAGGCCCCTTTGCTTTTTGTCCTGGAGTTGCTCTGGCCCGGGCAGGCTCACCATCATCACTCCTGGGGCTGCCTTTCTAGTCCCGCTCTCTGGAGACCTCTCCAGAAGCCTGGAGCTCAAGTGGGCTTGCAGATGCAAGGTCTGGGGTCCCTCTGTGGAGAACCTGGAAACACCTTCTCAGGGTCCACGGCCCCCACAGCCACTCTTTTCCCTTTTGTCTTGCAGGTTTTGTATTCCTCAGAGCCCTCTTTTTTCCATCTCTCTACTTTTCTCCTTCTACGTTTCTCCTCTCACCTCACCTGTCCCAAGGAAACACAGCATTCTTCTTTAAAACAACAACAACACTTTGTATGTGTGTGTGAAATACAGCAAACATAAACATGAAGCTTAATGGATAATTCTAAAGCACTACTCAATTCAAGAAAAAAATTTTTTAAAGTCCTGGTGTGGTGGCTCATGCCTATAATCCCAGCACTTTGGGAGGCAGAGGTGGGCAGATCTCTTGGACCCAGGAGTTTGAGACCAGGCTGGGCAACATGGTGAAATCCCATCTCTACTGACTGGATGGTGATACTCACTGGATGTTTAATGATACCAACTAATTACTATACTGATAATTCTTTTTTTTTTTTTGAGGCAGAGTCTCATTCTGTCGCCAGGCAGGAGTGCAGTGGTGCAATCTCAGCTCACTGCAACCTCCGCCTCCTGGGTTCAAGTGATTCTCCTGCCGAGTAGCTGGGACTACAGGCGCCTGCCACTGCGCCCGGCCTGATAATTCTTTTAAGTGTGAAAAGTAAAGCCTTTTTCCTTAAAGGCTTAACTTTAATTTTTTTGAGATGGAGTCTCACTCTTGTTGCCCAGCTTGGCATGCAGTGGTGAGATCTCGGCTCACTGCAACCTCCACCTCCCAAGTTCAGGCGGTTCTCCTGCCTCAGCCCCCCCGAGTAGCTTGGATTATAGGCATATGCCACCACGCCCGACTAATTTTGGTATTTTTTGGGGGGGGAGTTTAATTACATGATTGTAATTATACAATTTCCACTATTCGATATTTTGTATAAAACCAGTTACAACTCACAAGATTTTCAAATGTGACAATATGTATCAAACTACATATATATGCAAAGTTTACAGGCCATTAGGCAGCTTTATCCTAAAAATACCTTCAGGAAAATAAACATTCATTCAACCAGTTCTCTTGGCTTTAAAGAATATGATTAGAAATATACACTATAGGGGGTGGGCTCAGTGGCTTACGCCTGTTAGCACTTCGGGAGGCCGAGGTGGGCGGATCACGAGGTCAGGAGATCAAGACCATCCTGGCTAACACGGTGAAACCCCGTCTCTACTAAAAATACAAAAAATTAGCTGGGCGTGGTGGTGGGCGCCTGTAGTCCCAGCCACTCGGGAGGCTGAGGCAGGCGAATGGCGTGAACCCGGGAGGCAGAGCTTGCAGTGAGCCGAGATTGCACCACTGCACTCCAGCCAGGGCAACAGGGCGAGACTCCGTCTCAAAAAAATAAAAAGAAAAAAGAAATATACACGGTAAAAAAAAGTCAAGATAATGATTGATCAATACTGATCAGTTACATTTTAAAACTTTTAATAATCTGTACATGAGTGCAGGTTAGATAAAAGTCAGCAAATTATTTATAGAAAACTGCAGTACTATCATCGGATGAACATGTCTGCTGACAATTCTACCAGGTAATTAAGGAGGTAATTTCCTACACAGTACAGGTGAATTGTCCAGTCTTTAAACATACCTGGAGTCATCTCCACTCAGTGACGTGGAGAATACCCTGATGTGGGGAAATGGAAGAGCAGCTGCTAGCCTCCCCAAGGCAGTTTCAGCGGGAGAGAACATTTAAAGGAACAATAAAATAGGTTTTAAAAGTTGCTTTTGGGCCGGGCGTGGCACTGCACTCCAGCCTGGGCGTCTGAGAGAGACTCCGTTTCTCAAAAAAAAAAAAAAAAAAAAGTTGCTTTTGATAAGCACTGCTTTCCAAAATGCAATAATGATTTTTTTTAATGTAGAAAGAGAAGCAGTGAGCTATGTTAAGAACATACATCCAATGAGTGCACTGTGGCTTGGACGGTGACTGGGAAAAAGACCCCAGGAGAGCCCTCGGGCCACACGCAAGCCCAGGCCATCCAGCCCAGGGAGCACACAGGCTTCGTGACAATGGTTGAGAACTCCTCTAAAACTTGCCTAGGCCCAAGAAAAGAGTGGTAGCAATCACCCCTGTGAGAGGGCTAGAGGGGAGGGGAAGAAGGAGGTGGGGGACAGGCTAAGGGCATCAAGCTCAGAACGGGGGAATTCTGGAGGCTGGCAGAGCTGCGTGTTGCCGGGAAGCACTGGCTACGCCAGGCCATTCCGCTCTTACGAGGCACCGCTCCCCACCAAGTTCTACAAAAAGCCACATCTGTCTGTACTTCCAGGAACCCACTTTTACAGACGTTCTTCCTTCGGACTGTCCCTGACTCTTGATAATTTTGAGTCCCCAGAAAGCTTCAAGGGCACCTAAAAATATTCACTTCTAATTTTAATTACATGGCAAACTGTCCCGGTGTACTTTCAGGGCTATTTAAGGCTCTTAAGTTAAGGGAATCTCTCCATCTGACACACACAGTTTCATGTTCCATAGCAACAAGGTCTTCTATAACAAGGACTCTTAAGTCAGAATCCCAGAAGATTCTGGGTGTTCGTGGTTTCAGTTGGAGGTGAGGGGAAGAGTCCACTCTCATTCAGAGCAGGAAGAACTGTTCATCCTTCAGATCCAGAGACTTCCTGGATTCTAGAGACGGCCCCCATAAGTGTAACACTGTTGCTATGCAAACCGTCCCATCATTTGGTTATTACAAGGAATGCTTCTTCACCAAATCACAAGTTTCCTATGACTAATTTCAGTGAGCCAGTTAAATAGAAGGATTTTTAGAAAGAGCCACAGTGGGCCGGGGGCGGAGGCTTACGCCTGTAATCCCAGCACTTTGGGAGGCCCAGGTGGGTGGATCACGAGGTCAGGAGATCGAGACCATCTTGGCTAACATGGTGAAACCCCGTTTCTACTTTGTATTTTGTAAAAATACAAAAAATTAGCCGGGCGCCGTGGCGGGCGCCTGTAGTCCCAGCTACTCGGGAGGCTGAGGCAGGAGAATAGCGTGAACCCGGGAAGCGGAGCTTGCAGTGAGCCGAGATCGCGCCACTGCACTCCAGCCTGGGCAACAGAGCAAGACTCCGTCTCAAAAAAAAAAAAAAGAAAAAGAAAAATAAAGAGCCACAGTGATAGCAATTCTACGTGGAAACTTGAGCAGGCAACATGAAGAGGCAGTTTATAAATGAAAAAGGACTGTGGTTCCGCTGACACCCTTCCTTTTCTTGGACGAAACACCAGGAGGCTTGTTCACCATGAGGGAGACAGTACCCACAAGAGCCGTGGGGCCCACATGTTTACTTGTTCTGATGGGATGAAAAATTAGCTGGGCATGGTGGTGTGCACCTGTAGTCCCAGCTACTCAGGAGGCTGAGATGGGAGGATCATTTGAGCCTGGCTGGAGGTTGCAGGCTTGGGGTTGCAGTGACCCCAGATTGCACCACTGCACTCCAGGGTGGGGAACAGAGTGAGACTGCTTAGAAAAAAAAAAAGTCTTGTTTTTGCTTCAGAATTATCCAATGGGAAGTGGGAAGGGGAATGAGTTGGGCTAATAAGAGATGAAATAAGATGGGCTGTGTATTGTTAAGAGCTGGATGGGAAGATGGGGCTTAATTATACTGTTCTTCCTACTTTGGTAAGTATGTGAAAATTTCCCTAATAAAATCCTTTTTAAAAACACACATACGGCCGGGCGCGCTGGCTCACACCTGTAATCCCAGCACTTTGGGAGGCCGAAGCAAGCGGATCACGAGGTCAGGAGATCGAGACCATCCTGGCTAACATGGGGAAACCTCGTCTCTACTGAAAGTACAAAAAATGAGCCGGGCGTGGTGGCGGGGGCCTGTAGTCCCAGCTACTCGGGAGGCTGAGGCAGGAGAATGGTGTGAACCCGGGAGGCGGAGCTTGCCGTGAGCCGAGATGGCACCACTGCACTCCAGCCTGGGCGACAGAGCAAGATTCCATCTCAAAAAAAAAAAAAAAAGAAAAGAAAAGAAAAGAAAAAAACACACATACACAACTGGGGACAGTAGCTCATGCCTGTAACCACAGCACTTTGGGACGCCAAGACAGGAGAATCACTTGAGGCCAGGAGTTTCAGACCAGCCTGGGCAACATAGTGAGACCTTGTTTCTAGGGGAAAAAAAAAAAAAAAAGGCCAGGCGCAGTGGCTCACGCCTGTAATCCCAGCACTTTGGGAGGCTGAGGCGGGCAGATCACGAGGTCAGGTGATCGAGACCTTCCTGGCTAACACAGTGAAATCCCGTCTCTACTAAAAATACAAACATTAGCTGGGCGTGGTGGCAGGCACCTGTAGTCCCAGCTACTCGGGAGGCTGAGGCAGGAGAATGGCGTGAACCCGAGGAGGTGGAGCTTGCCGTGAGCCGAGATGGCGCCACTGCACTCCAGCCTGGGTGACACAGCGAGACTCCGTCTCAAAAAAATAAAAAGGCCGGACAGGGTGGCTCACGCCTGTAATCCCAGCAGTTTGGGAGGCCAAGGTGGGCGGATCACAAGGTCAGGAGAGCGAGACCATCCTGGCTAACACGGTGAAACCCCATCTCTACTAAAAATACAAAAAATTAGCCGGGCGTGGTGGCACGCGCCTGTAGTCTCAGCTACTCGGGAGGCTAAGGCAGGAGAGTGGCGCAAACCCAGGAGGCGGAGCTTGTAGTGAGCCGAGATAGTGCCACTGCACTCCAGCCTGGGCGACAGAGCGAGACTCTGCCTCAAAAAAAAAAAAAAATTAAAAAAAATTAAAAAAAAAAAACCACACACGCATACACATTCACTCTTATGGACTGAATATTTGTGAAGTCTTCAAGTTCATATATTGACTCCCTAATCCCCAGTGTGGTATGTTGGAAGATGGGGCCTTTAATCACCACCTAATTAGGTTTAGATGAGGTCATGATGGTGCAGACCCAGGTGAGATCAGTGCCTTCATAAGAAGAGCCCGTTGCCTGGGCACAGTGGCTCACGTCTGTAATCCCAACACTTCAGGAGGCCAAGGCGGGCGGATCACAAGGTCCGGAGTGTTTTTTTTGTTTTGTTTTGTTTTGTTTTGTTTTGTTTTTTTGAGACGGAGTCTTGCTCTGTCGCCCAGGCTGGAGTGCAGTGGTGCGATCTCGGCTCACTGCAAGCTCCACCTCCCAGATTCACACCATTCTCCTGCCTCAGCCTCCTGAGTAGCTGGGACTACAGGCACCCGCCCCCACGCCTGGCTAAGTTTTTGTATATTCCCTAAAGACGGGGTTTCACGTGTTAGCCAGAATGGTCTCAATCTCCTGACCTCGTGATCCACCTGCCTCAGCCTCCGGAAGTACTGGGATTACAAGCGTGAGCCACTGTGCCCGACCTGAGGTCAGGAGTTTTAGACCAGCCTTGCCAACATGGGGAAACCCCGTCTCTACTAAAAGTACAAAAATTAGCTGGGCATGGTGGCACGTGCCTGTAATCCCAGCTACTTGGGAGGCTGAGGCAGGAGAATCACTTAAACCCAGGAGGTGGAGGTTGCAGTGAGCTGAGATCGTGCCACTGCACTCCAGCTTGGGCGACAGAGCAAGACTCTGTCTCAAAAAAATAAAAAAAAAGAGAGACCGAAGACCCAGGTGCAGTGGCACGTGTCTGTAGTCCCAGCTACTCAGGAGGCTGAAGTGGGAGGATCACTTTAGCCCAGGAGTTCGAGGCTGTAGTGTGCTGCGATCACACCTGTGAATAGCCACTGCACTATGGCCTGGACAACATAGCAAGACCCTGTCTCTAAAACAAACAAACACAAAAGAAAAAAGAGAGACACCAAAGAATTTGTTCGCCCCATTCTGCCCCCATCATGTGAGGCCACAGCAAGATGGCCATCTGCAAGCCAGGAAGACAGCCCTCACCAGGAAGTGAATTGGTCGGCCCCTTGATGCTTCACTTCCCAGAGTCTAGAATGTAAGAGATCAATTTCTGTTGTTTAAGCCACCCAGTCTAGTATTTAGTTATCGCAGCCCAAGCTAAGACACTCACACCTTGAATGGCTTCCTATTGCCTTTTTTTTTTTTTTTTTTTTTTTTTTTTTTGAGACAGAGTTTCACTCTTGTTGCCCAGGCTGGAGTGCAATGGTGTAATCTCAGCTCACTGCAGCTTCCGCCTCCCGGGTTCAAGCAATTCTCCTACCTCAGCTTTCCGAGTAGCTGGGACTACAGGTGCCCACCACCACGCCCGGCTAATTTTTTGTACTTTTAGTAGACACGGGGTTTTGCCATGTTGGCCAGACTGGTCTCAAACTCCTGGCCTCAGGGAATCTGCCCGCCTCAGCCTCCCAAAGTGCTGGGATTACAGGCATGAGCCATCAAGCCTGGCCCCTACTGCCTTATTAAAGACCGACATTTCAAACATGCCTTACAAAGCCTCTGCCTACTCTACCCCTGCCTACCTCTCTAGCTTCATGTTACACTGCTCTCTCTCCTCACTCTGCATTCCAGCTGCATAGACCTTTCAGTGTGGGGTCTCCATCATCCTCCCAAGGCACAAAAAGGTCTTTGCACGTGCTATTCCCTCTAACTGGAAAACTCACATATCTAGCACCCCCAACCCTCTAGCTTCCCCTAATTAACCCTTAACTTCAGGTTTTGGCTGAAACATCACTTCCTATTCTTAGATTTCTATTACTAGAGTGACCATATGTCCTGGCATGACTAGCATAGCCTCACTTTACACCTATTCATCTCAGACTAATTTCCCTCCCTCTTCCTCTCAAAAGCATCCCAGTTCAGACAATAAGTTACATGGTCATGCTGGGCACGGTGGCTCACGCCTGTAATCCCAGCACTTTGGGAGGCCGAGGCGGGCAGATCACGAGGTCAAGAGATCGAGACCATCCTGGCTAAAACGGTGAAATCCCGTCTCTATGAAAAATACAAAAAATTAGCGTGGCGGGCGCCTGTACTCCCAGCTACTCGGGAGGCTGAGGCAGGAGAATGAAGTGAACCCGGGAGGCGGAGCTTGCAGTGAGCGGAGATCAGGCCACTGCACTCCAGACTGGGCGACAGAGCCAGACTCCGTCTCAAAAAAAAAAAAGTTACATGGTCATGCTATCCATGAGGAAGTCCCACCACCACATGGGTCAGCTGCCCCTATTACATGCTCTCATAGCTCTGTACAACCTGCCTTCACACACTGAAGTTTGTATTTACACATTTATTTGTGAGGATTAATATTTTTGTCCCTCACTAGTCGGACAAACTTTTTGTCTTTTTTGAGTAAACAAAACTTTTTTTGAGTAAACTTTGATTGCTGGAACTGTGTTTTTTGTTCATTCAGGATTGTATCTGCAACAGCTACCACACAGGATCACATGTCATGTACCTGGCGCATGGCAGCCACTCATATTTTCTGAATGGATGAATTTTTGCTGAATGGATAAATTTCTGTTTGGCAGGCTAATTTCTTGAAATACTCTGTACTTCCTCTGCCACTTGGAAGTATCCACTTCCAAGGCGGAAGCCTGGCATTTGTTCTCCTCAATCCTGAGCTCCTTGAGATTATGCTGGGAGAGGAGGGAAGAGAGAGGAGAGAGGAGAAGGCATCAAAGCCTCTGAGCTCCCAGACCTAGGAAGAACACAGGCCCGCAATTTCCATCAGCAGTGGGATCTGCAGCCGGTCACCCTTGCAGGAGCCCGAAGGCCCTGCCAGGACCTGGAGGTAGGGTTGGGGTTCCACGGGGAACATTAATCTTCTACAAGCCATGTTGCCTGCCACTGGCTTTCAGGTATCAGGTAACCTCTCATGGATAACCAGTACAGACCAGAGACCAGAAAACCTCCCTTCTCGGCCGGGCGCGGTGCCTCACGCCTGTAATCCCAGCACTTTGGGAGACCGAGGCGGGCAGATCATGAGGTCAGGAGATGGAGAGCACGGTGAAACCCCGTCTCTACTAAAAAATACAAAAAAATTAGCTGGGCGCCGTAGCGGGCGCCTGTAGTCCCAGCTACTCGGGAGGCTGAGGCAGGAGAATGGCGTGAACCCAGGAGGCAGAGCTTGCAGTGAGCCGAGATGGCACCACAGCACTCCAGCCTGGGCGACAGAGCGAGACTCTGTCTCAAAACAAACAAACAAACAAACAAACAAAAAACCCCTTCTCTAATTTCCAAAACTAAAGAGCCTCAGATGAGGGCCTGTGTCTTATTCATCTGTGTATCCAAAGGCTCACAGTGGGCTCTTCAAGGTGTTTTTTTTTTTTTTTGAGACGGAGTCTCGCTCTGTCGCCCAGGCTGGAGTGCAGTGGCGCTATCTCGGCTCACTGCAAGCTCCGCCTCCCGGGCTCACGCCATTCTCCTGCCTCAGCCTCCCGAGTAGCTGGGACTATATAGGCGCCCGCCACGGCGCCCCGCTAATTTTTTGTATTTTTAGTAGAGACGGGGTTTCACTGTGTTAACCAGGTTGGTCTCGATCGGCTGACCTCGTGATCCGCCCGCCTCCGCCTCCCAAAGTGCTGGGATTACAGGCGTGAGCCACTGCGCCCGGCTCTTCAAGTTTGTTGAATAGCACTGGAGTAAGTAAGGAGTTAAGCTTCTATTTAAGTCCAGCCCAGCTCCCTAAACAGGGGGGCAACATCGCCACCTACTGGCCCCATCGGTAACTGCAGACAGGCTCTGCAGGAGGGATTTGAGAACTTCGTGGTCCGGCAGAAATAGTGCTTTCACCGCAACCGGATTAGTGCCAGGAGTATTGTATTAGACTATCAAATCTCCTAACATACTCAGGTGGACAAAATAAAGTACTAATTCCTAACTTAGGTACAAAAGGCCATTGACATTGAACTCTCAGTGAAATTTCGCAGTATCTTGCCCCCACCTCCCGCACACCTCTGCTTGACCCATTCTAACAGCCCTCTTCTCCCACTGGAAAAGGCACTCTTCCTTACACGGTATGCACTTTTCTCGCTCCTGGCAAACTGCAGCTGTCTTCAGAATCCTAGGCCACCATCAGCCAAGTCTTTTCTTCTTCTTCTTCTTCTTTTTTTTTTTTTTTTTTTTTGAGACAGAGTTTCACTTTGTTGCCCAGGCTGGAGTGCAGTGGCACGATCTTGGCTCACTGCAACCTCCGCCTTCCGGTTTCAAGCGATTCTCCTGTCTCAGTTTCCTGAGTAGCTGGGATTACAGGCGCCTGCCACCACACCTGGCTAATTTTTTGTATTTTTAGTAGAGACGAGGTTTCACTATGTTGACCAGGCTGGTCTCGAACTCCTGACCTCGTGATCTGCCTGCCTCGGCCTCCCAAAGTGCTGGGATTACAGGTGTGAGCCACCACACCGGGCCAAGCCAAGTATTTTCTTGCTTGTACCCTTAGGGGTGCTACTCTGACCTTCAGTTTGGGACAGAACTCAGCTCAGTGCACAGAAACCATTCCCATGCCTGACTTTCCCCATTAGACACTGAGCTCTCTGGGAGTTCTATGACGAGTACATAGCAGGTTCACAAAGACTATTGAATACAGGTAGCTCCATGTTTGGACATACAGAGACCTGTGTTCTTGTCTCAATGTGCCACTAAGTTGCAGTTTCATCAACCCTAAGTAAATCATTTGATACTCAGGGCTGTTTCCGTAGTGGTTTTCAACTAGGGGCAATTTTCCTTCCCAGAAAATATTTGGCAATGCCTGGAGCCGTTTTTGGTTGTCACAACTAGGGGAAACTATTGGCATGCAGTGTTAGAGGCCAGGGACGCTGCCACACATCCTACAACACACAGGACAGTCCTCAAAAGCAAAGACTTACCTGGCCCCAAATGGAATGATCTACTCGATACCCACCTAACAGGGTTGCAGTAAGGCTACACCGGGCGAAGGGCAAGCCCCCAACAGGGCATTAGGAAGTCTCCTGCCTGTGTCCATGAAGCATGATGCAGAGGGGCATGAGCCATGTGTCTGGTTGACTGAATTTGCGGATTTCAGTGCCAGAGCCCATCAGCAAGGGGTAGGAATTCCAGATTCTTCACAAAACTAAGAAGTTTCTAATAGGACCAATTCCACATATCCATTTTTGTATCAGGAATAAAGATGATAAACGTGAAACAACAAAAAACCATTGCAGGGAAATAATCATTAACATATGCTTGATGCCTTTGCCAAAATGGCATGTTGCACATCACAAGGAAACCAAAGAACATCATTTCCAAAGCTTTTTTTGTTGAGCAAGAGGCAGTTATGGAGTGCTTATAATATGCCAGGGACTGTACTAAGTGCTTTAAATTCTCAGTCCTTACAACAAGCCTCTGAGAGAGTCAAGAATCTACAAATGAGTTGAGATAGTATTCTCTCTTTTTTTGAGACAGAGCCTTGCTCTGTCACCCAGCCTGGAGTGCAGTGGTGCGATCTCAGCTCACTGCAAGTAGCCAGGATAGTCTCGATCTCCTGACCTCGTGATCCACCCGCCTTGGACTCCCAAAGTGCTGGGATTACAGGCCCAGCCAGTATTCTCATTTTACATCAGAAGGTACACTCTGGGCTGGGCACAGTGGCTCACGCCTGTAATCCCAGCACTTTGGGAGGCTGAGGTGGGAGGATTGTTTGAGAGTAGCCTGGGCAACACAGGGAGACCCTGTCTCTACAAAACAAAATTAAAAACAAAAACAAAAACAAAACAAACAAAAAAACAACTAGCCAAGCCTAGTGACTACTGTAGTCCCAGCTACTCAGGAGGCTGAGGTGGGAGGATCTCAGCTACTCAGGGGGCTGAGATCAGAGTATCTGCTTGAGCCCCAGAGGCTGAGGCTGCAGTGAGCGGTGATCGTAATCGCACCACTGCACTCCAGCCTGTGCAACAGAGCAAGACCCTGTCTCAAAAACAAACAAACAAACAAACAAACGCAGACTCAGGTTAACCTTCCTAATGAATACTGTTAGGCAATTTGCTAAACCGCCTCATTTGTGTAACACACTAGCTGCAAAACGTAGCAGACTCAGCTTTGCAAGGCCTAAGAGGAAATGAGTTCTGTCGGAAAAAAGCAAACAAGACTGAGAAGGGTTATACAATACAGAAGAAAAGTCATGATTTAAACAATAAACAGCAACCTCACAAATTATTTATGTTTTAAGGAGAATAAATTAATGGATGTATGTCATATTCAACTTAAAAATGAAAACGGGCTGGGCGCGGTGGCTCCCGTCTGTAATCCCAACACTTGTGGGAGGCCAAGGCAGGCAGATAGCTTGAGCTCAGTTCGAGACCAGCCTGGGCAACATGACAAAACCCTGTCTACAAAAAACACAAAAATTAGCCAAGTGTGGTGGCACATACCTGTGGTCCCAGCTATTCGGAAGGCTAAGATGAGAGGATTGCTTGAGCCTGGGAGGTGGAGGTTGTAGTGAGCCAAGTTTGCACCACTGTACTCCAGCCTGGGTGACAGAGCAAGACCCTGTCTCAAAATAAATAAAATAAAAATGCCAAGGCCAGGCGTGGTAGCTCACACCTGTAATCCCAGCACTTTGGGAGGCCGAGGTGGGCAGATCACGAGGTCAGGAGTTCAAGACCAGCCTGGCCAAGATGGTGAAATCCCGTCTCTACTAAAAATACAAAAATTAGCCAGGCATGGTGGCAGGTGCCTATAATCCCAGCTACTCAGGAGGCTGAGGCAGAGAATTGCTTGAACCTGGGAGGCGGATGTTGCAGTAAGCTGAGATCACGCCACTGCACTCCAGTCTGGGCGAAAGTGGTATAGACGTACAATGGAATATCATGCAGTCTTAAAAAGGAAGGGAATCCTGTCACCTGCTATAACATGGATGAACCTTGAGGACATTGGCTTGGCTAAGTAAAATAAGCCAGCTACAAAAAGATAATATCATTACTGTTCCACTCATGAGGTTATATCTAAAGTAGCCAAAATCATAAAAACAAAGTAGAAAGATGGTTGCCAAGGGCTGGGGAGGAGGGGATATTAGTGTTTAATGAATATAGTTTCAATTTTACAAGATGAAAACGTCCTAGGTATCTGTTACACAGTGGAATATACTTAACACTACTAAACCATACAATTAAAAATGGTTAGTGGTAAATTTAATGTCGTGTTTTACCACTATAAAACAAAAACAAACAAAAATGAGAGAGCATTTTCATTTATCCAAGTAGCAAAGATCAATTTGGTAAATAGTGTTGGCAAGAGGGCAAAGAGGCACTTTGATAAAATGTTGCTGGAACTATACGATTAGTAGAACGATTTTGGAGGGCAATAATGATCAAAATGTTATTAATAAATGCAAATATCCTTTGAACCAGCCATCATTTTTAGGAATATTTCCTACATAAAAACACACAGATACTCAGTCTCATGTATAAGACTACCCAGTGTAACACTATTTGTAATAGCAAAATACTTAAACTTCTGCCCCTAAAGTACTAATTTAAATAACTTAAAACAGAGTACCATATAGCCATTAAAAATGAGCTGCTGTGTTCTGCTATGAATTGAGCTCTGAAAGTTGCAAAACATTGCACTTGACGAACTGCCCCATTTGTGCCAAGAAAAAAAGGAGGGGAGGATGCATATAGTAGCACATACCTAGAAACTGTCTGGAAGGAGACACAGAAGCAGGTTCCAGGAAACAGGGCTGAGATGAAATTTTTTTTTTTTTTTTTTAAATTTTTGAGACAGCGTCTCACTGTGTCGCCAGGCTGGAGTGCAGTGGCACGATCTCAGCTCACTGCAACCTCCACCTCCAGGGTTCAAGCAATTCTCCTGCCTCAGCCTCCCGAGTAGCTGGGATTACAGGCACGTGCCACCACGCCCAGCTAATTTTTGTATTTTTTAGTAGAGACGGGGTTTCACCATGTTGACCAGGCTGGTCTCGAACTACTGACCTCAGGTGATCCGTCTGCCTTGGCCTCCCAAAGTGCTGGTATTACATGCGTAAGCCACTGTACCTGGCCTGAAATTTTCATTTTATACTATTATTTTTAACAAGTATATTTGAAAATGGAAGCATGAAGGTGGGAAATACCAATTCACTTCTTTTCAAATACTCTTTAGATAAGCGGTTTTCAACTCTACCTGTTCATTAGAATCATCTGGGAGCTTTAAAAATACCCTAGTGCCCGGGCCTCACCAGACAGCACCAGGGTCTGACTCAATAGATCTCAGGATGGGCCCCTGAGTATCCGTGTTTCTTTTTATTTTTTATATTATACTAGGGTAAGTTCTAGGGTACATGTGCACAATGTGCAGGTTTGTTACATATGTATACATGTGCCATGTTGGTTTGCTGCACCCATTAACTGTCATTTACATTAGGTATATCTATCTCCTAATGCTATCCCTTCCCTCCCCCCACCCCACATTAGGCCCTGGTGTGTGATGTTCCCCACCCTGTGTGCAAGTGTTCTCATTGTTCAATTCCCACCTATGAGTGAGAACATGCGGTGTTTGGTTTTCTGTCTTTGTGATAGTTTGCTGAGAATGATGGTTTCCAGCTTCATCCATGTCCCTACAAAGGACACGAACTCATCCTTTTTTATGGCTGTAGTATTCCATGGGGTGTATGTGCCACATTTTCTTAATCCAGTCTATCATTGATGGACATTTGGGTTGGTTCCAAGTCTTTGCTATTGTGAATAGTGCCACAATAAACATACGTGTGCATGTGTCTTTATAGCAGCATGATTTATAATCCTTTGGGTATATACTCAGCAATGGGATTGCTGGGTCAAATGGTATTTCTAGTTCTAGATCCCTGAGGAATCGCCACACTGTCTACCACAATGGTTGAACTAGTTTACAGTCCAACCAACAGTATAAAAGTGTTCCTATTTCTCCACATCCTCTCCAGCACCTGTTCTTTCCTGACTTTTTAATGATCGCCATTCTAACTGGTGTGAGATGGTATCTCATTGTGGTTTTGATTTGCGAGTATCCGTGCTTCTAAGTTCCTCAGATGATTCTAATTTTCAGCTGATGTCTTAGGAATCGCTGATTTAGACCAGGGATTGGCAAACTTCTTCTGTAAAGGGCCGCATCCTAAATATCTTAGGCTTTGTGGGCCATTGATAAGATCTCTGTCACACATTCTCTTTTTAAAAGACCTTTACAAATGTAAAAACCATTCTTAGCTCCTAGGTAATACAAAAACAAACCATGGGCTGGATTTGACCCATAGGCCATTTTGCCAACCCCCAATTTGGACTATGCGTAGGCTAGAATATAGCCTGGAAAAGGCACCGTGAGACAAGCTGCTGCCAAAAAGCCTCTGCAGTGAAATCACAGGTCTGGACCCCAGTCCTATAACTGGCACCAAAGTTGTTCTGGTTTGAGTAGGGGGTGGGAGGGGTTTAGACTCACAATAATAAAACTCCCAAGACACATTATAAACCAGCCAGTTTATTATTTTGTAGTAAGATTTAGAACTTTTACCATGCAGACTGAAATATCTGTGTCAGCATGAACAGTACATTTTCTTCCTAGAGGCAGTTACATGGAAAACCAGGTTATTATCAGGTTATTTAGCAAGTATGGAATCCAAACAAGAGGAGACTAATCTTAAGACCTATAACTCGTCCATGAAGGCTTGGGGCACACTTTTCTACCACCAGAATGCCTTAGCTTCCAGAAAGCTGTGGACTCTTCCCTCTCCGTCTTGGTCTGGCTGAGTACCGCTACTGCTCAGTCACTTCCTGCAGCCATACCGTCAGGCCAGCTTGGCCTAAAAGCTGTTATCTCTGGTCACTGGTTTGTGTTGTTACAGCCACTGCTACTAACAGTTAAGGTTCTGAAGGGGGCATGTCAATTGCTCCCAGGTACCAACTAGGAGACACAATAATCCTATTAGTTTGTTCTCCCAAACCCACTCCAGTTTATCAGGTAATATGCTCTGTAAGGTTCTTTCCAACCCCATTAGCACATACATAGATTACCTATAATTTCACCTAATGTAATCTACCTTCCTACTGAGGATTGAGGTTTTAACGTTTGTTTTTTTTCCCCCCACTTTCTTGATCAGTGATTCTCAACCATGTAGGAATTAATGAAACCAATTCTGTATCACCACTGCAACCAAGACAGCAATACCAAGTGATATGTATTTTTCAAACTCATGTCATTTTGTTCTCTATACTGTAAAAAACGAGAAGATGCAGTCCTCAACTTAGAACTCAATACTAGGAAGGGTCAAGTTGTCAAAAAATGTCTTTCAACAGTAGAAAAGTTTGCTTTCAAATTAAAAAACAAAGCACGTATTGCAAACATCGTGTAATGATAAAATTACAGAAAAAAATATATTCAGAATGACCCATGGCATTCACGCCATACCAGAATTTTGCCTGTAACAAAACAGAGAATTTTATCCCAAAAAGTAGGTTAGGTCCATGCTGGCTAAAAACTTCAGTCCCAGACCCAATAAATGAGGATGAAATACATAGTGCATGCTTAACAGACATTGCATATACATCAACAATTCTTTAATGCCCCTCTCTAGGGTTTTGAGGGAAGGAGGGATGAAATGTGGACATGTGCACTCACAAAGGCAGAATTTTCTTCCTATTATAAAAAGTCACACGTGACCCTTTACTATGTTTTGGGCAATAGCCAAGATTTTATCTGTGGGAATCCACCTTTGAAAATCACAACAAAAATCAATAGTAAGTGATTTAATATAAAATATACAAATTTCTCAGTATGAGGACTTTCACAGAAAAGGAAGGAGACAACAATGAAAATGAATTTTCTTAAAAAATAACATTCCCTTATTTTGTCCCTGCTACTCAACACTCAAAAACAAGTCTGTACAAAACTAGGAACACAGAAAAGGACCAGAGAGGATGTTACACTGTAAAGTCTTAGGACCTACTCTAAACTTCTGTCCTCATCAAGACCCTCACCTAGAGACCTGAGGGTTCCCAGGTCCACTGGAGAAAGTAAGTAGTCTCCGATCATCACCCTTGCTTCACCGAAGATGGCCTCAGGTCACTCGCTGTCAAACTTAATAGAATTGACCTGGACAGAGATTGAGCCTCCCCGGTAGCTGCCCCGCTTCTTCTTGGTTTTCTCATGCCGAAAGGACTTGCCTTTGGTGAACTTCAAAACCTGATTGGCTCGCTCTCCCCAGTCTCCGGCTGCACCTCGCTGGTAAGTAGAGAGGGAGATTAACACAGAGGAGGACCATGCTGGAGCCCTGTCACTTTATTCTTTCTACTCCCTGCTCAAGGAAACCTGAACCCAGAGAAGATTCCCACCAACCTGAACCAAGAATTGTCCTCTCTGACACTACCCATCCTCCCTCCCAAGAATGGCACAGATCTCTCTCTCACCTTGGCATCAAAGGAGTTGTCCGCAACTCGTGAATCCACCTCAATTTCCTCCTCCCTGACCCTTCGGAATGGGGATGATGCCCTTTTTTCTCCCTACAGAAGAATGAAGTAGGAAATTAAAGACAGAGTGGTCATGTAACAGTTCTCCTGAGTGATACACATGGGCACATGTACCAGGTCACGCCAGGCAGAGCTGTCAAGATGATCCTAGATTTTTCTACTTTTAAAGAGCTGGCTCCTGAGAAGAAAGTGAGACAACTTACTTTCTTCCTTTTTGGAAATGTGTTAGGGGTCTGAAGCTTTATCTTCTTGGCCTGAGGAGTCTCTGCCTCCTTGGCAGCCTCATTCTGCTTCCGCTTCTTTAATGAACCTACAAAACAAAAAGCCAGACTCAGGCCGAGTACAGTGGCTCACAACTGTAACCCCAGCATTTTGGGAGTCCAAGGTAGGAGGATCGCTTGAGCCCAGGAAATTCAGATCAGCCTGGGCAATATAGTGAGATTCTGTCTCTATAAAAAGTTAAAAAAATGAGCCAGACATGGTGGTGCATGCTTGTAGTCCCGGCTACTCAGGAGGCTGGGGTGGAAAGATCACCTGAGTCCATGAGGTTAAGGCTGCACAAGCCGTGATCATGCCATTGCACCCTGGTCTGGGTGACACAGTGAGACTCTAATAAAAAAAAAAAAAGGTAACCAGTTTCCTGTTCTTCCTCCCAGTTTCCACAACTGGAAGCCCAGTGGTGGGCCTCCTCTCACTACCCTACTCTCAAAGAGTATATCCCATCCTGATTTGGGGGGACAAAACCCAGAGGGCATGTTCATTGGGTACAGACCTGATTTGGAAACTACCACTGCCGCCTTTTTCTTTTCTTCTTCCTCCTCCTCACTGTTCTTAGCTGCTTTTCCATTCTGGGCAGTCAGTGCAGAGGTGCCATTGGCCTTGGGGGCTTGTGGTCTTGGAGAGCCCTTGCCCTTGAGCTTCTCTTCCTCTTCCTCACTGGAGTCATCAGAAGAAGAACTGTTGCTGCTCTCAGCCTTTCCTTTCTTTGCAGAGGCTGGCTTGGAAGGGGCTGCACCTCCTGCTACCTTCTGTGGCTTCTTCTTAACTGCAGACTTAGATGTCTTCTCTTCCTCCTCCTCACTGCTGGAGCTGTCTGAATCAGAGCTGCTGTCCCTACTACCCTGAGGAGCCTGCTTGGCAGGCAGAGATAGAGCTGCTTTGGCAGTCGCCTTGGGCTTAGTGGTGGCCACCATCTTCTTTGTCTTCTCCTCCTCACTGGAGCTGCTCTCTTCCTCACTGGAGCTGCTGTCAGCCTTTCTCGTCAGAAGCTTCTGGCCACCGCCCACAGGTTGCTTGGGGGCTGCAGCTGGCTTCACTGCAGGTGACTTGGTGGTGACAGCTGGCTTATTTGAAGAATTCTTGGTGGTACCAGCTGGCTTAGAAGGAGCTTCATCATCCTCAGAGCTGTCAGAGTCTAGACACAGAAGGGATGGAATCAACAGCTCCCCAAATTGGATTCAGGGGAGCCCTTAGCAGCTGCCTGAGAGCATCTCACTGAACTGAGGGCCTCCATATGCCTTACCTGAGCTGTCTGAAGAGCTCTCTGCTGCTTTCTTTGCTGGAGGTGGTTTAGTGGTTGCTTTAGAGACTACTGCCTTAGTTGGGGGTTTCTTCTCTTCTTCAGAACTTGAATCTGAGGAGAACCTGTAGCATTATGCTGGGTCCAGAGTCCCAACCCAACCAGGACAGCAATAAAAAGAATGCAAAGACACGCACAGAGCCTTAGCTCTGTCTTGCTTTAAGCAAAAAGCAACCGAAGGATGGAAGGCTTTCTCTCTCCCTTATTCCTCATCCCCTCCTCCAGACCCACGCTGAGGGGAGGCTGCATCCCTCTGACTCACCAGACTCATCACTGCTGTCTTCACTGCTTTCCACAGGCTGCTGCTTCTCCACAGCCTTCTTGGGAGGCTGGGTTCCCAGAGACTTCTTTGGTGGGGGAGCAGAAGGCGGGGGGACTGAACTGTAGGGACCTGTTTAAAAAGGATAGTGTGATGGTTTTAGGATATGTCTACAACTTTTTTTGATACTACTTTCTTGTAGAAATGAAGCTTAATTCCCCTTCACTTGAGTATGGGCCAGAATCAATGACTCAGTTCTAACAGAACATGGTGTCACCTCTGAGTCTAGGTTACACAAGGCACTGGAGATTTCTCCTTGCTTTCCTGGATCACTAGTGCTCGGAGAAGCTAGCTGTCATGTCATGAGGACGCTCATGCACCTCTATGGAGAGGTCCATGTGGTTACTGCAGCTGGGCCCTGACCACAGTCACACAGCTTCGCTCCCCATGTCCAGTCACCTGGTTTATTTTTCATGGGTTTTTTTTGCTCCTCTTCCTCGTCACTGGAGGAATCCTCACTGCTAGAACTCTTCCGGGTAGGGGTGGTAGCTGCTTTCACTGGGGCCTTGGCCACAACTTGCTTTTTAGGTACAGTCTGCATTAGAAAGAAAATTGATTACCACAGGAAAATGCTGACCCAACCAATCCTGCCAGGGAAGGAAGACACACACACATCACACCCTGGTCACCTCTGCCCTGACAGAAGTTATGGTCCAGACCTTCTTGGGGGTGGCTGCTGCCTTCTCCTCCTCTGAGTCATCACTGCTACTGCTGCTGCTGCTGCTACTGCTGCTACTGGCTGCTTTACCATTGGCTATTTTAGGTGCTGCTCGAGCTGGAATACCCAAGAAAAAGAAAGAGTAAGGAGTATTAGGGCAAGTCAGGACCATGAAAAACCTCCTTCCTATGAGCAGAGAACTTAGGAGTCCACCATTTTTTTTTTTTTTTTTTTTTTTTTTTTTGGAGACGGAGTCTGGCTCTGGCTCTGTTGCACAGGCTAGTGTGCAGTGGTTCAGGCAACTCTCCCGCCTCAGCCTCTGGAGTAGCTGGGATTACAGGTGCCCACCACCATGCCCAGCTAATTTTTATATTTTTAGTAGACACAGGGTTTCGCCATGTTGGCCAGGCTGGTCTTGAACTCCTGACCTCAAGCAATCCGCCCGCCTCAGCCTCCCAAAGTGCTGGGATTATAGGTGTGAGCCACTGTGCCTGGCCAGGAGTCCACCAATTCTTTCAACTTTAGAGCAGCCATCGAGGAGAATGCCAGCCATGGTTTACCACATCAAAGGATACCTTTCCTATCCCATGGCAGGAATAAAACTGTCTTCTTAGAAAAGATGACATAAATAATCTCAATACGCCCTCTAAAATCTTTCACTTCAACCTCCATTCAGAGAAATAACCTAACCCTCATCACAAGTTACAGAAAAAAAGAAAAATTCTCATTTGTCTCATAGAATGAACATACAAGAGTAAAAATGGCAGTGAAAAGCACAACAAATAGATATTTAAGTGATTACAGTGGAATGGGATGTGTGAAAACATAAAATGTCTATGAAATGTCACAAAATACCAAATGGATACCATTAAAAAAAATACACATTTTTTCTTGCTGCAATAACTTTCTCTATTTACTAGCTCCTATGAAATCTTGTTATTTATTAGTAAAACCTTTAAAATTAAAAGACCAGTAATCAACACCTCCAGTTCAACAAACAGTACCATTTCACCCCTGTGCCAAATCGGCAATTTTAACTCCAGTCCCCAGAGCAATCTGGTCCCCAGCCCAGCCTCTTGGGAACAGAAACAGTACCTGGTTTGGGAGGGGCTTTAGTCTGAGCTTTAACTGTCACAGGTGTTATCTTTGGCTTCTGGTTCTTTGGTGGCTCATCCTCGGAGCTTGAGTCAGAATCAGAATCAGAGCTCTTGGCCTTCTTAGGAGGAGCTTTGGCTGCCTTGGCTTGGGGCTTAACTCCCTTCTGTTAGAAAAGACACAAGGAGAGAAATCAGCAAAAGCTTCCGGGTACCCAAAGGGCATCCTAGGTTCCTTTTATTTTTAGGGGCCTAATGGAGCAGTAAGAGCAAAAGAAAGCTAAGGACAGGATACGGAAAGGGCAAAAAACAACAAAGTTCAGCCACTTGATACACTGGCCCTGTTCCTGCCTTATCCTGCCAAAGCTCCCAGGAAAACACTCTCTCTTATTCTTGGAGCCCTGAATAGTGTCCCAGAAGAACCCAAACTCCTCAAGCAGAATGGGTTTAATTTCCTCTAGATTCGGAGCCTGACCTCAACCTCACACATCCCTTCCAGACCTCATACTTTTATCAGCTCCCTGAAAATCCCCAGATTTTCTTCCTCATAATCACCTATTGTATTGCCGCCATCACCCCTTGGTTACAAGCTAGAGGCCAAGATTTTAGGTTTCTTCCTTTCTAATCCTTAAACCCCTTTTTCTTCCCAAAGCTGCAAACCTGGACAGGCTGTTTCTTTTGGTCCTCCTCATCATCATCATCACTGGACTCTTCACTGCTGCTACTCTCTGATGCTTTGGCTGCAGCCTTCCCAGGAGGCAGACCGACTCGCTTGGCAGGTACAGCTGAACAAACACACAGGTCCCAGTAAGAATCAGCCATGTGAAACAAGCAGGCTGTAAATTCTTTTCCTGGCACCACCAAGCCCACCTGCTACTCTGCCTTACCAGCCTTCTTTGCTGGAGGCCCTTGAACTTCCTCCTCCTCCTCGCTGCTGTCCTCACTGTCACTGGATGAGGCCTTCTTCTTAGCTTTCTTAGCCACTGGTCCATTTGCCTGTAACTTTCGCTCTGGGACCTTGGCAGACCTGCTGAGGTAGATTGGACCAATTTCTAGGGGACTGGAATCTTCCCAAACCAAGAAACACAGCCCAGCCTATCTTGGGGGAGAAAATAGCCAAAATGGAACAGGAAAGGCTTACTTGAGCCAGAAGCTATAGATGTCTAAGAGGGAAGAGGCATTGGCATCCTGCTGTGTCTGTAGAAGAAAAAGAGCTGGGTAAGGAAATTATTTTATCCTGGTTATGCTTTCATTAAATGTGGCCTGTTACATACATAATTACTAAATTTGGTATAAATGTTACATCTTCATAAAACTTTTGCTACGTGCATAAATCAGGAGAAAAATATTCTATTTGTGGATTTCCCAATTTCTGATGTAAAAAACGGGCTACTCCTATGTTTGCGGCACCATCTAACCATCTAACCCCCTGCCTGCCAATCTATATTGATCAAAGTCCTAAAACAAAACAAAACAAAAAATCAGCCAGTCACGGTGGCTCATGCTTGTAATCCCAGCACTTTGGGAGGCCGAGGCAGGCAGATCAAGAGGTCAGGAGTTCAAGACCAGCCTGGCCAACATGGTGAAACCCCATCTCTACTAAAACAAAAATTAGCCCAGCATGATGGCAGATGTCTGTAGTCCCAGCTACTTGGGAGGCTGAAGCAGGAGAATTGCTTGAACCTAGAAGGCTGAAGCAGGAGAATCACTTGAACCTAGGAGATCGCGCCACTGCACTCCAGCCTGAGCAACAAGAGCAAGACTCCATTTCAAAAAAAAAAAAAAATCACTTTTGACTGGGCACAGTGGCTTATGCCTGTTATCTCATGTTATCTCAGCACTTTGGGAAGCTGAGACAGGAGGATCACTGGATGCCAGGAGTTCAAGACCAGCCTAAGCAACATAGCAAGACCCCCATCTCTACCCCTCTGCCAAAAAAAAGGCTCTCTCTTTACTCTAGCAATGTACTATCTAAGAATGTAATCTTATCCATTACTTGAGGGTACAAACACTAATACAAGAAGGTTTTTCCTGCAATGTGGATTATAATACCAAATCATTAGAAATAAGCCTCCAGGCGGGATGCAGTGGCTCACGCCTATAATCCCAACACTCTGGGAGGCCAAGGCGGGCAGATCGCCTGAGGCCAGGAGTTCAAGACCAGCCTGGCCAACATGGAGAAACCCTGTCTCTTAGCCGGGTGTGGTGGCAGGCGCCTGTAATCCCAGGTACTCGGGAGGCTGAGGCAGAAGAATCGTTTGAACCCCAGAGGCGGAGGGTGCAGTAAGCTGAGATCGCGCCACTGCACTCCAGCCTGTGCGACAGACCAAGACTCTGTCTCAAAAAAAAAAAGAAAGAAACAAGACTAGTAAGTACTGTATTGAATGTAAAGAACTGCATTTAAGGGCCAGGCACGGTGGCTCAGGTCTGCTGTAATCCCAGCACTATGGGAGGTCGAGGTAGGCAGATCATGATGTCAGGAGTTTGAGACCAGCCTGGCCAACATGGTGAAACCCCATTTCTACCAGAAACACAAAAAATTAACTGGGCATGGTGGTGCACACCTGTAATCCCAGCTACTCAGGAGGCTGAGGCAGGAGAATCGCTTTAACCCAGGAGGCTGAGGTTGCAGTGAGCCAGTATCACACCATTGTACTCCAGCCTGGGCGACAGAGTAAGTCTCAAAAAAAAAAAAAAATGCATTCAGGCCGGGCGCAGGTACGCTAACACTTTGGCAGGCCAAGGCAGGAGGATCACTTAAGGACAGGAGTTCAAGACCAGCCTGGGCAAGACAGTGAGACCTCCATCTCTCTCTCTCTCTCTTTTTTTTTTTTTGAAATGGAATTTCGCTCTTGGTCGCCCAGGTTGGATTGCAATGGCACTGCGGTTGCTTGGCCTGTGGTGGCTAAACGCCTGTAATCCCAACACTTTGTGAGGCTGAGGCGGGTGGATCATCTGAGATCGGGAGTTCGAGACCAGCCTGACCAACATGGAGAAACCCCGTCTCTACTAAAAATACAAAATTAGCTGGGCGTGGTGGCGCATGCCTGTAATAATCCCAGCTACTCAGGAGGCTAAGGCAGGAGAATCGCTTGAACCCAGGAGGTGGAGGTTGTGGTGAGCCGAGATTGCACCATTGCACTCCAGCCTGGGCAACAAGAGCGAAACTGTCACAAAAAAAAAAAAAAAAAAATTAGCCAGGTGTGGTGGTACATGTCTGTAGTCCTAGCTACCCCAGTGACTGAGGCAGGAGGATTGCCTGAGCCCAGGAGTTCGATGCTACAGCGAAGTATGATTGCATCACTTTACTCCAGCCTGGGCGACAGAGTGAGACCCTCTAAAAGAAACAAACAAACACAAAACAATACACAGAAGAGTACAGGATCAGGCCAGGTGCAGTGGCTCACGGGCCTGTAATCCCAACACTTTGGGAGGCTGAGGTGGGTGGATCACCTGATCAGGAATTTGAGACCAGCCTGGCTGGTATGGTGAAACCCCATCTCTACTAAAGATACAAACATAAGCTGGGCGTGGAGGCGGGCGCCTGTAATCCCAGCTATTTGGGAGGCTGAGGCATGAGGCTGAGGCACAAGAATCGCTTCAACCTGGGAGGCAAAGGTTGCAGTGAGCTGAGATTGCACCACTGCACTCCCGCCTGGGCAACAGTGAGACTCTGTGGTCCAAAAAAGAGTAAATGATCAGAGTCAGTACAGATGGGAACTCACCTTTGGACAAATTACCTTATCTCCCTGAGATTATTTTCTTTTCTATAAAATGGAGATAATACTACACATCTCATTAAGTTATTGAGAGGATAAGACATAATGCATGTTGGCCGGGTGCGGTGGCTCACACCTGTAATCCCAGCACTTTGGGAAGCCGAGGCAGTAGATTCTTGAGGTCAGGAGTTCAAGAGCAGCCTGGCCAACATGGTGAAACCCCGTCTCTACTAAAAATACAAAAAAAAAAAAAAAAAATTAGCCAGGCATGGTGGGGCACACCTGTAGTCCCAGCTACTTGGGAAGCTGAGGCAGGAGAATCACTTTAGCCTGAGAGGCAGAGGTTGCAGTGAGCTGAGATCGTGCCACTGCACTCCAGCCTGGGCGACAGAGCCAGACTCCGCCTCAAAAAAAAAAAAAAAAAAAATTAAATGCATGTGAAGGGCGTAGCATCTGACCCTTAGTTAGCTCTTCACAAAGATTAGCTTTTCTCACATAAAACCATTTCAGAATCCTAATCCTGAGGCCGGGCACGGTGGCTCGCGCCTGTAATCCCAGCACTTTGAGAGGCTGAGGCAAGTGGATTTCTTGAGGTCAGGAGTTCAAGACCAGCCTGGCCAACATGGTGAAACCTCATCTCTACTAAAAATACAAAAATTAGCCGGGCGTGGTGGTACGCGCCTGTAATCCCAGCTACTGGGGAGGCTGAGGCAGGATAATCACTTGAACTTGGGAGGCGGAGGTTACAATGAGCCGAGATCGCACCATTGCACTCCAGCCTGGGCAACAGAGACTCCGTCTCAAAAAAAAAAAAAAAAAAAAAAGAATCCTAATTCTGAAATGTCCAATTCCATCCAGTCCACTGTGAAAGCACTCTCCGCAGTCTCCTTAACAGTCAACTCTAAACAGTTTCATTAAGAAAGCAGTTAGATCACATGGCAGCCTGTCCCAGCTTAAGGAAGTTTTGAGGCTGATCTGATTCTTTGCTTTCGCAGCCTGATTCTGCTAAAAGTGCAAGCCATCCTTCCTAGTCATGCTATCATCCCTGCTGAAGACCCCCCCTCTCTCCTCTCTCAAAGTGTCTTCCCATGCAGGAATGTCCGTTGATGTAGATTACAAACCTTTCACATTCCTGGTTCTCTTACTCTTACATGTGTTTGGAGCATCCTAAATTGCCATAACTATGGTACAGCTTTCACTTTTACAAGATTCCTCTGTACCAGCACTGAGATTGCTACTCTTACACATCATCTTACTGAAACTCACAAAAATCCTATAAAGTGGATGATGACATCCCTGTAGAAAGACTCAGAAAGGTTAAATAAACTGCCCGGGTCACGTATCTAAAAAGTGGCAGAGCCTGGTCCCAAACCTAGGTTTGTTTGATTCAATTAGCCAAAGCTCCAAGCCCACTACTATGCCTACTTGGTAGGGCTGTTGATGACTCTCAATTCTCAGTGTAACTCAAAACAAAACTCTGCTTCTACTTTCATTCATTTTCTTCTTTACAAACGAAAATCCCAGACTTCATTCTAAAGAAATTTCACTTGCTTTTGAATCCCAGTAAATGTGACTGAGGCTAAGGTCAAATCACGGTTTGCCTCACCCAACGAAAAGCCCCCCAGAAGATGCCGAAGAACCAACGTCCTCAGTGGAACAAGACTCTACCTCCCCGCTGCACTCTGCCAGCCATGTGGCTTGGGGCCACGAGGCTCCCACGCTGCCGCCGCTGCACAGGTCACAAGAAAAAAGCAACAAGACTCAGCGATATCTACTCAGACATGGAGGAAGGTAAGCGACCGAGGCCGCAGGCTTTCTCTGGTCACTGCCGAGGGGTCGGCGTAAAGGCCTTGCAGACACTGGACTGGCGGACCCCCAGACTTCCCCACCTGGAAACCTAAGCACGTCAGGGCCTGAAGCCTTGTGGTCATCTCAGCCCGGTCCCCGCCCCAAGCCCGGAACTCACAGCTCCTGTCGCTTTGGCGAACTTATTGGCCACCTCTGAGAGTTGGTTATCGCGCAGGAAGCCGAGCACGAGGGGATACAGGTCGCTGGGAACCACGCGGCGAATGCCGGCGTCCGCCATCCTCCAGGCAATACGCGTCACTACCGTTGTCGACGCAGCACGACTCAGGAACCCAACAGGGGCAGTGGGCGGGCCTGTGTTACGTCATTGCGCCGCGCGGGCGCATAACGGAAAGGGTGGGCTCCACAGGGCAGTCCCACCTTCACCTCAGAGGTAGGGTAGACGGGAAATCTATAAACTCTTTCCGGTCCCACGCGTATCGCCATCTTGGTTAAGGGCGGAGCCCACCGGCCGCCAGCTTGTGGAGGCGGAGCTCTGACGTCAGGGATCACGCCCTCGGCGTGGCGGGAAAACTCGGGACTTCCCGCGCAGTCTTTCTGGGGGAGGTACCTTTTCTCAGAGCAGCGGTTTCCCGCGCCCCTGCTGGGACTCGGATTCCAGAGTAATGAGTGGACAAGCGGGCTCGAACAGTTGTTCTACAAGATCTCCCAACCGCCCCCATGGCGTACTGGCACGGCCAATGGATTCTCGCCCTTCATCTTCACTGCCTCCAATACCCAGGGAGGCCCTTTCTGATACCATCCCAGCCTCCAGACTCCTGCCTCTGCTGCAGAAGATCCTTCGGGTTATCCGTCGTGAGGGTGGGAGGTGTTGATTTCCCAAGCTGCCCCTCCCATCTCCCTTATATTCCGCCTTAGGTCAGCTCCATGAAGAGGAAAGGTGTCATGCACCAAACCTGAATCACACACAGCAACAATCTATTCAAGCTGAAGAGATTGTTGAAAATAACCCTTCTTCCTCCGGGATCAGAGTTCACACTCTGCCTTTGTCATGAGTAACTCCAGTATCAATGCCTTTGTCATGAGTAACTCCAGTATCAATGCTCAGACCTACCAAGTTAATTCCAAGTTCTGCCACATTCCAGATATTAGCAGTTAGCAATCCCTTCAATCCTACCCACTACCCCTTGGCTACCTCCCACTAATGCCGCTCAGGAAAGATAAGGATCCTCATGGGAACACACCCCCCTCTCCTATATAAAATTGGCCAGGCATAGTGGCTCACAACTGTTATCTCAACACTTTGGAAGGCCTAGGTGGGAGGATCCCTTGAGCCCAGGAGTTAAGAGGCCAGCCTGGACAACACAGTGAAACCCCCCTATCTCTACAAAAAATTTTTAAAATTAGCCAGGTGTAGTGGCATGCACCTGTGGTCCCAGCTACTTGGGAGGCTGGGGCAGGAGGATCAACTGAGCCAGGGAGGTCAAAGCTGCAATGAGCTATGATCCTGCCACTGCAATCCAGCCTGGGCCACAGAGTGAGATCCTATCTCAAAAATCAAAAACAAAGCTGGGCACGGTGGTTCATGCCTGTAATCTCAGCACTTTGGGAGGCTAAGGTGGGTGGATCACCTGAGGTCAGGAGTTCAAGAACAGCCCTGGCCAACATGGTGAAACCCTGTCTCTACTAAAAATACAAAAAAAATTAGCCAGGCATGGTGGCGGGTGCCTGTAATCCCAGCTACTCAGGAAGCTGAGGCAGGAGAATCACTTGAACCCGGGAGGCAGAGGTTGCAGTAAGCCAAAATCGTGCCACTGCACTCCAGCCTGGGAGACAGAACAAGACTCCATCTCCAAAACAAAACAAAAAAATTCAAAAACAGAAACAAAAAACTCCACAGTTCCCTCTTCCCCACGCTTCCTGTTCTACCCACATGCATGCATTATTTAAAACATTTGAGCACCTGCTGTGCCATGCAGTGTGCTCAAGCTATTATAAAATGATGAACATAACTGACATGATGAATGTATACACCTGTCGCAGTTTAGAAAACCTTTCTTTGGAACAAGTGTGAGCTTCTCTAGGTCCTTGTTATCAAAATCCCTTCCTGGACCAGTATCATCATCCCATTGTCAGAATCTACATTCTAAAAAGATCGCTAGATGATTCAAATTCCCTTTAAAGTTGAGAAGCACTGTCCTAAATGACTCATTTTAGACAATACATCTGAGGAACCAAGGTTCAAATCCAGTGGGATTTTTGCACCTGACCAGGGAGAGGCATGTCCCTGGACCATGTTCAGATAGGAAAAGTGAATACATTTGGCATTAGCACCATATAAAGACGCACAACAGCAGTTGGGAGTTCTCTCTAGTTGATGTTTATTAGTCTGCATAGTGACTTATGTTCCAAACACTGGGGATCCCCTCAGCCCCTCCTATCTTACATAGGAATGCAAGTTAACTTGTTTCAATACCTGTTATAAAAAAACAAATACCCCTTTTAAAAAATCTGATTCAACATATTTTTTATTTCACTTTTTTCCATTTCTTTATAAAACAGTCATCTCACTAGCAGCTCTCTCCCCTAGAGTAGGGGAAGGGGGTGGAGGAGGTTGGGCACCTCCAAAGGAGAAAAAGGATAGCAGGGAAGGGCCCAAGGTTACCTCCTGAGGTTCTTCTGGGCCTGTTTCAACAATGTGTCAAAGTCAAGAGAATCAAATTTGCTCTTTACAGGTGCTGGGTCAAAGTCTTCCCGGTTGGAGTCTATAAAGGTAAAGACAAACTTCAAGGTCTCTGACCACACTTCCCAACCACAGGGTCTGCAAATGGCTAGCTATCTCCCATCCCAAAAACGGATGGAGTGAAAACTGCTCTAATTTTAAGTCAAAGAGATAGGAGAGTCCCCAGTCCCCATTTCTCCTCTCGTCCCACCCCTTGGGTCTTTTTTTTTTTTTTTTTTGAGACAGTCTCGTTCTGTAGCCCAGGCTGGAGTGCAGTGTTGTGATGTCAGCTCACTGCAACCTCCGCCTCCTGGGTTCAAGCAATTCTCCTGCCTCAGCTTCCCGAGTAGCTGGGATTACAGGTGCGTGCCACCACCTCTAGCTAATTTTTTCTATTTTTGGTAGAGATGGGGTTTCATCATGTTGGCCAGGCTGGTCTCGAACTCCTGACCTCGTGATTTGCCTGCCTCAGCCTCCCAAAGTGCTGGGATTACAGGCGTGAGCCACCATGCCCAGCCCCCTTGGGTTCTTTGTATGTCAAACTAAGGTAAGTCTGCCTAGCCCCACTCACAAAGGGTTAGGAACCCTTCTGGGGAGGGGATGAAGCATTCCAAAGCTTTAGGCCCTCCCTCCACTCACCAAGATCAGAATAGCTCCTCTTGCAGAACTGCCTTCGGCCCCCAAAGCAGAGATCAAAGGGCTGCTCATCTGCCTGCCGCAGCTTGTGGCCACTCTCAATGGCTGCAAATGCCTCCTCAGCATAGCGATAAGTGACGAAGCCGTAGTTGTCCCTAGTAGGAGGAGAGTGAGGCAGGGGCTGGAGTGGCTATATGGGCCCATGCCATAGAGGAGACACAGCATCCCAAGGTACAGAGGTGGTTCTTCTCATTCCCAGTGGCCAACCCTCTGACTGCAGAAATGAAGGTGCCCCATATTGCTCAGCACACCAGAGCAAGGAGGCAAGACAAAGAAACACCAAGGTAGATGAATGGGATAGAAAGAACATCCTGAGCCTGGGGCCCAAGCTTACCCTTGGACACGGAAGTGGATGGTGCACTCCTCAATCTCTCCAAAAACGGAGAACCTCTGTTTCAGCTCTGATCGAGTCATGCGGCCAGGTATCTTTCCAATGAAGACCACCCTTCTTTCTTCCTATGTTTGGAAATGAAAAAAAATCAACACACCATTAGCCAGGGCTACAGCTGCAGGCAGCTCTCTGAGCTCAAGGCTCAGGGGGTAAGCCCCATCCTCCCATGATCTGTTCCTCTACTCACTATTGCACGCTCCTTTTGTAGCACTCTTTGCCTTTGGTAATGGTCATGTGAACGATAAGAGCTGTACCTGACAAAAGAGGGTGTCATCAGCCCCCCAAACATAAGACAATTCAAGACTCAACTCTTAGGCACCTGCATCCCAGGTGCATGGCGCTCCCTGAACACATGCTCACCGCCGCCTCCTGTCACTTCTCCGGCGGGGGGATGGGGATCGTGAGCGGCTTCGAGAACTGGATGATGAGGATGAGGAAGACGAAGAGGAAGATGATGACGAAGAAGAGGAAGAGCATCTTCGAGAACGTCCAGAGGAACTACAGCTGGACCTGAAGGATAAGAGGGCATGCAGGAATGCTGGGAGTGGTTCAGGTATACTCTGCTTATCTCACCCAGGCCCCAGTCCTGCCTTTCTTTTAGGAAGCTCAGGACCAAAGACAAAGCAGAGTAGAAGAGGTCTAGAAGAACAATTTTCATTCAGAGATGAACAAACTGAGGCCCTTCATGGAACTTTAGGTGTACCTGGAATGTTGTGAAGTGTTTTGGAAGAGATCACATTTTCAATTGTGCACTTAAAAATTGAAAAATATTTAACAAATCAGAAAGAGGAAGAACAATAAATGGAGACTCAGGGAGAGGGGTGAGCCCTAGGTCTCACACCCAGCTATCTGTGGTGCTGGGGCCAAGCCTGGGTCTTTTGGGTTACTATTGCTCCCCTACCAGGTCTCACTGAAATACTGTGACCATGAGAGAGGTTAACTGCTAGACTTGTAGTATGGGCCAGTTCTGAAGACATATATCATCTCCAAAACCCAAGAATTCTTCATTAAGTGGGAAAACTTGGTTACTGAGAAAAAAAGATACTGCCAGGAAATAGATGAGGCCATAGTGACACCCAAAGGAACTGCCCCAGACACCTTCCTCAGCAGATGATTAAGGGAAGAACTATTTTCTATTAACAAGTAACCCACTACCTCACATAGCGCCCAGAATACCAAAAATGAAGGCTGATACAGTATGTGAAAAAAATCAACATGGTCAAAATCAAACCCTAAAAGTCTCCCCAAGGCAGGTCTCAAAGAAGCAGGAGACCTGACACCCCAAGCTCCAACAGGGGACAGAAGCAATTGTCTCACAGCTTGCCTCCTTCAACAATCCAGGAAAAGGGAAAACACAAAAGCCAAAGTCAGAAATAGAAGCCTTAGCGCCTGAAAGTACCAAAGTCAACGGGTAAAAGCTTTCAAAGTAAACCACAGAAGTACGTGAACTTCCTAAATGGAGAGGACCTACAGGGCCATCAAAGCTCACCTTCGCCACCTCTTGTGTGGGGGGGAGAGGGACCTGGACCGAGATCGGGATGAGGAAGACGATGATGAGGATGAGGAAGATGCTTCGCTAGTCCGGTTGGACCCAGAGCTGACAGAACGGCTGTTGCGGCCTCGGCGGCCCTGCCAGCCCTGGCTTGAGGGGCTGGCTGACCTGCAGGCTTTTCGGTAACAGCGCATTGACCGCTGCTTGGCTGAGGGTTCAGGGGGAGTCCTAGTGTTCATGTCATTCCGGCAGGGTGAGGCCTCAGGGGACAGCAAGCTGGATGGGGCAAGGCAGGGTGCTGAGGGATCTGCCTGCTCACTGCTAGTCCTGTGATCAAGCGGCTCCCGGGAGGCAGCTATGCATGGGGGCGGAGGGGCAGCTGGGCCCAAGGACAAGACAGGTTTGATGGTGATGTCCTGATGGCGCTTGACATTCCATCGGGAGCCCACCTCTGGAATGACTAGGGCAGGCATCTTTTTTGGGGGGGTCCTGCTCCGGACACAATAGTCATGGTCCCCAGAGCCCACATGGACTCGACTAGGGCCATGGACCCCTTCTTGGAGGCGAACTGCAGCTGGATGTTTGGCCTCCGTAACTCCTTCAGGCTTCAGGGTTCCCTCCTGGGCGGTGGACTTAGGAGATTTGGCTTTGGCCAGCAGTGAGACAGCAGCCAGGGGCTTCCATAACTGGTGGGGAGGGGTAGCTGGAGGGGTGAGCCCTGTGGTGGGGAGGGAGGATGGAGATAGCAGGATGAGATCCGATTCTACGCTTCCAAATACCGTGTATATAGCCTCCAGAGACCCCCACCTCATCTCACAAAGTACACCAAGCAAGGTAAGCAGCCCAACTTTTCCCACTGCTTCAACTGCCCCTTCCCCATGTTCCCCAACTTGGGGACCAGCAAGAGAAATCCAGCCAGCTAGGGTCTTCCTGAAGCCCTCATCCTCTCACTACCCAAACCTAGTAGCCAGGTCCTAGAGTCTAAGCTCTCCATTCTCAGATCCGCCCCTTCCCCCGAGTACTGCCTGACTTCTAGGCTGCATCTTTCCTGCACTCATGCAGTCATCATCTATCGTCTCCCCACTTGCAGCTTCAGAGTCCACCTGTCTTCTACATTCCTGCTAGATGGAGCACCCAAAAACCAATCTGGCAAAGTTTCTTCAATGCACAGGATAAAGTCCAAAGAGCTTAATATGGCATTCGAGGTCCCAATAATCTGACCTTCTATTTACCACTCCAGTTTTATCTCTCGCTTTACCTCTGCCCACTGCCCTGATCAGCTACTACACTCCAGCCAAACCAAGCCTCTCACAATTCCCCAAAACATACCCAGTTGGTTTTGTTTCTTCAGTTCATTCAAGATGCTCTGTCTTCCTAGAATGCCCTGTTCCCTAAATCTACCACCTGATAGAGTTTCTCAAGCCTCAGCTTAGGGGATTAGTTTCTATATAACCCTTCCCTGACTGTCCCTCTTCACATCTCACTGTAATCCATGGTTGTTTTTTTTTGTTGTTTGTTTTTTTTAAAGACAGAGTCTTGCCCTGTCGCCTAGGCTGGAGGGCAGTGGCGCAATCTCAGCTCACTGCAAGCTCAACCTCCTGGGTTCACGCTATTCTCCTGCCTCAGCCTCCCAAGTAGCTGGGACTACAGGCACCCGCCATCACGCCCGGCTAATTTTTTTGTATTTTTAGTAGAGATGGGGTTTCACCATGTTAGCCAGGATGGTCTCGATCTCCTGACCTCGTGATCCACCTGCCTCGGCCTCCCCAAGTGCTGGGATTACAGGCGTGGGCCACCGCGCCCGACATTTTTTTTTTTTTTTAGATAGTCTTGCTCTGTCCCCCAGGCTGGAGTGCAGTGGCACGATCTCAGCTCCCTGCAACCTCCACCTCCTGGATTTTAGCAATTCTCCTGCCTCAGCCTCCCAAGTAGCTGGGACTACAGGCGTGTACCACCACGCCCAACTAATTTTTGTATTTTTTTTAGTAGAGATAGGGTTTCACCATGTTGGCCAGGCTGGTCTCGAACTCCTGACCTCAAGTGATCCGCCTGCCTCAGCCTCCCACAAGTGCTGGGATTACAGGCGCGAGCCACTGCGCCTAGCCCATAGGCTGTAACATAGCACCTGATACTCAACATGCTCATTCGTTTACAAGTCTGCCCCCTAGACTGTGAGTATCTCAAGGCTGGAGATCAGATCTCTATGTCCTTAACGCCTACACACAATGGATTTGGAGTAGGCTCAGCAAGTGTTGCTGCATAGACTAATCACAGGCAGAATTCCCCACCCTGAACCCACCTGCCACGTTGGCCAGTTCTGGGGCTTGTAACCGGTCTAGGGGCCTCTTCTCCTGGGGAATGTCAACGCCGCTGGCGGGGGGGGAAAAGGGAAAGCCTGATTCATTGCCTTCTCAATATCTTATACATTTGCCTTTCTCAGAAATCAATGGGAGGGGGTGGGTGCAGAGAAGAATGGGATGCACAAACTGCCTCCATCATCTTCTTCCTGCACAAAAGGGTCTTATTGACTGAACTACAAATTGGATCTCAACTGAGCCCTGCCCAATTCCAAGAGGCAGGCTGGCCATGACCTTGAATACCCCCCACCTCCTTCACATCGAGTCTCACCTGCCCAGCTCACACCAACCTGAAATCAATGTGGAGGGGAACATGCTTGGCAGAACAGGATGGAGGATCATGAACATGAAAAATGACTCCTAGCCATTAACATCTTCCTCCACTTTAAGTTACACCATTACCAGCACTGAGCAAACTTGAAGTGTTATTAAATGAAAGAAAGAAATCCCCAAAGGTATGACTTGCCAGGAGATAAAAGGCACCTCTAGGACATTTGGAGCCCGACTGGAATCAGCTGGAGGGCAGTGAACATGCCCCGTTCTCACCTCACCACCCAAGACACTGCCCGGTAGTGATAGGCAGAGTAAGGGGTGGGGAAACAGGGAAAGACTCTAGAGCTGACTACAGCGTCCCTGCAACAGAGGCATCCAGTTGACAGTCCTGGAGTGTCAGCCGGCTGCTGACTAACAGCTGTAGGGTAACTCGCTCATGTCTCCATACTTACCCTGAGTTTCCTACAGCCAAGCTGTCAGCAGGAGCCGGAGGAGGACACTCCTTTTTGGCTGCAAAGAAACCATACTAGTTAAAAGCCCAACCAGATGTTCTAGACTGAGGCGGCACAGAAGGGCTTGCTTTGAGACCCAAAGGAGGAAAATCCACTTTGCCTACATATTCCCTGTTGGGATCTCCCCAAAGAGATCTAGTCTCCTCCAGTGGATGCCCAAGTACTATTTTTAATCATGTCTCTTTTCTGCTCAGAAACACCCACATTCCTCCACTGAATCTGAGATAAAGTCCAAATGTATAAGCCTAGCGTTCAAGGTGATCTATGATCTGCCTAACTAGCTTCCTGGCCTCACAGCCTACTCTTGTTCTACAAATCACATTTTCTATTTTGCCTTGTTACCAACTCAGGAATCATTTCTGTAGATTCTTCTCCCCAGTTAGACCATAAGCTCCTTGAGAAGAAGATAGTGTCCTCCATAGCACCTACATCCACGCCTTATACTAAGAAAGCCAGCTATCCATTGCCTTTCAAATGTGCCATATGCCATTCTTCCTATACCTACCCTCTGCCTTTAGTTGCCACACATATTCTCTCTGTGAATTCCTACCTGTCTTTCAATGCCCAGCCTGAAAGCTACTTCCCTCTAGAAAAATGTCCCTAAACAACCCCAACCTGCTTGGATTCCTTTTTTTTTTTTTTTTTTTTTGAGACAGAGTCTCACCCTGTGGCCCAGGCTAGAGTGCAATGGCACGATCTCGGCTCACTGCAATCTCTGCCTGCTGGGTTCAAACAATTCTCCTGCCTCAGCCTCCCGAGTAACTGGGATTACAGGTGCCCGCCACCTCGCCCAGCTAATTTTTGTATTTTTAGTAGATACGGGGTTTCACCATGTTGGCCAGGCTGGTCTCAAACTCCTGACCTCATGATCCACCCGCCTCAGCTTCCCAGAGTGCTGGGATTACAGGCATGAGCCACCACGCCTGGCCTGGATTCCCAGTCTACTCTTTAATACCTTCCTTACTGTATCACTGCCGTCCCTGGCTTGGATTACCGTCACAGTTCAATCTTGTCTCTCTCTTCCAATTAGGGGTCTGCTCCAGTGGCTAAGGCTGTCCCCTCTCACCCTAGTTTAAGCAACTACAGGGCTGGGCCCAAAAAAGTATCACCAAAAAAAGAGTTGGAGCAAAACTACCCATGTTCCCTCACCTTCTGATTTCTCAAACTGCTCCAGCAGACTGGACAGGTCCGATGCCTCAATTCCTGTGGAGGCACACAACACAGGATTGAAAACGAGCCCCTATCAACTTAGTACACAGGTCCCAGGAAGCCCCCAAATCATCTCACTTCTCCCTTTCCACTCCCCCTGCCCTCTGTACTAAGTGAACCAAGGTAGCAGCACAAAGCATGAAGGATTCAAACCAACCCAGGGCTCTGCCTCTGAAGAACCCTCCACAGCCAGGCACGGTGGCACACACCTGTGCCTATAAATCCCAGCTACTTGGAAGGCTGAGGTGGGAGGACCACTTGAGCCCAGGAGTTCAAGTCCAGCCTGGGCAACACAGTGAGACCTCATCTCTTAAAAACAAAAACAGGCCAAGGGCGGTGGCTTACACCTGTAATCCCAGCACTTTGGGAGGCTGAGGCAGGCGGATCACGAGGTCAGGAGATTGAGACCAACCTGGCCAACATGGTGAAACCTCATCTCTGCTAAAAATACAAAAAGCCGGGCGTGGGTGTGAGTGCCTGTAATCCCAGCTACTGGGGAGGCTGAGGCAGGAGAATCGCTTGAACCCGGGAGGCGGAGGTTGCGGTGAGCCGAGATCACGCCACTGCACTCCAGCCTGGGCGACAGAGGAAGACTCCATCTCAAAAAAAAAAAAAAAAAAAAAAAAAAAAAAAAAAAAGGCATGGTGCAGCGGCTCACGCCTATAATCCCAGCACTTTGGGAGGCTGAGGTAGGCGGATCACGAGATCAGGAGATTGAGACCAACCTGGCCAACATAGTGAAACCTCGTCTCTACTAAAAATAGAAAAATTAGCCAGACGTGGTGGCGGGCACCTGTAGTCCCAGCTACTTGGGAGGCTGAGGCAGGAGAATTGCTTGAACCTGGGAGGCAGTGAGCCGAGATTGCACCACTGCACTCCAGCCTGGAGACAGAGCAAGACTCCATCTCAAAATAAAAACAAAAAAACTCCTCCAAAGAAATCCAACAAAGGCCAGCCTCATCAGGGTGGCTTATCCTATTCTAGAGTCCCCCAGCCAACTTGGGGACTACATGGGGGAACTGTGTGTCACTCACCAATCTCACTGATGAAAGCCTGTACCACATCTTCAGAACCCTGAGTACGTGGGGTAGGCAGGAAGGACAGCTTCCTTAGACGGGCTGGGTGGACAGCAGGCAGCTTGGGGACAGTGCTCTGCCTTGGTGTGGGAACAGCCTTGGTAGCAGGCAAGGGGGGCTTCTCCCTGGGCCTGGTCTCTTGGGTCTCAGGCTTTAGCCTCTCTGATGCAGGCTCCTCAACAGTCACACCTTCAGCAGACACACATGCTAGAGCCTTCATCTGGGGACTTTGCACCAGGGCAGACACCTTGTGTTTCGGATGGGGAGATGCAGGCACTGGCTTGACCTCCACCTTGGTAGGCTCTGTCTGAGGAGCTCCATGGCCAGGTAGCCCAAGACTGAGGGGAGGAGCCATCGACAAGGGAAGTACATTTTCAGGAGGGCCAGCTGGAGTGCCCCTAGACTCCATTTTAGGTTGGGGAACAGCTCTCCCAATGGAGGCTGGAGGCAAAGGAGGTGGGGGAACAGTAGACCAGAATGGAGCATGTTGAGGCCCTGGGCCCCATCCCAAGGGCCCATAGGTACATGTGGAACTGTAAGGTGAGACTGGGGCAGGAGGGGGTGCCCAAGGCACACTGCAAGTGGGAGGCACGGCATAGGCACCAGGAGTACCAGACACTAGGGGCACCGTTGGTGGGGGGGGCAGGCAAGGATAGCCAGAAGGGGACACATGAGGATAACAAGGCCAGGATGGCAAGGGGGCATAGTGAGTAAACGGATCAGGTAGTACTGGCCCCATAGACAATGGAAGACTAGGAGGCTGCAAGGGAGGTGGGGGCAGACTGGGGGGCATGCCAAGCCCACCTGCAGGGAAAGGCAGGGCAGCAGACATCGAGGGAGGTGTGGGCACAGCAGGGGACACAGACTGCACAGGAGGGGAAGGTCTCGCCAACAGTGGCATCTCCTGGGATGGCACCTGCTCAGTGGGAGATGAGGCCACAGGTTTGCTTACAGGTGGCTCAGGACTAGGAGAAGCAGGGCTGGGACCTACAGGCACAAGGCAAATCTCAAGGGGTGTTTCAGGGCTTCTCTGCAGAGCTGTCTTCTTGGCTGGGGCTGGTGGGATGACAAGACAAGGGATGTCTGCCAGCCCTGTGGGAGTCTCTGGAAGGCTAGGCCACTTCCCAGTTGGGGGCTGTGGACTTCTCTCTTCTGTTTCTGCTTGGCGTTGCTGCCTTCGTCGCCGGTACTCAGATAAGCTGAGAGGCCGAGGTCTGGCTTCATGGGTTGTAGCACTGGTACCACTTTCAATTTTCAGAGAATCCACAACCTCTTTGACTTCAGGGATGATGGTCTTTGGTGGGTCCAAGGACTCTGACTCCACGAGGAGCTGGGGTGCTGAACCCCCCAGGGCTGATGACACTGCACCACGTCTGGGATCAGTTGGTCTGGACTTAACTAGCACTGGGTCAACTGGAGTCAGGTCATTAGGAACAGGGTCAACCAGTGCTAGATCAACTGGTGCTGGGCCAGACGGGACAGCATCAACTGGTGGCAAGTTATCTGAGATGGGAACCACTGCAGGGTCAACTGCTGCTGAGTCAGCCAGGACTGGGTTGATCAGCACTGGCTCAGCCGGGAGAGGCTCAACCAGTTCTGAGCTGGTTGAAGCAAGGTCAACCAACCCAGGGTCAACAGGTACAGGGCCAGCTAGAACAGGGCCAACTGCAGTGGGATCAGCTTCAACAGAGTCAACTGGCATGGGGCTGGCTTGGGCAGAGTCGACCAATGAGAGATGGGTTGGTATAGGATTGGTTTGGATAGTGTCAGCCAGCTTTGGGTAGAGGTCTAGAGGGCCTTCTTTAGCAGGACTACTTTGTCCAGCACTTCTCTCCAAGTTCTTAGGGCTAGAATTCTCCAAGGCAGCTGCCCAGGCCCGAGCCCAAGCCCGGGGCTTCCCCTTACCCTGGAGAGGCCCAGACTCTTTTTGAAGTTCTTCCTGAGGCTGTTTCTGCAAGTTGTCTACCTGAGAGGTCACTTCTGTACCTACAGTAGACTGCCCGCGAGAAGATGACCTCAGCCTCCTGGCATAGCCTTCCACACAGGCTGCTGGCTGCTCCTTGCTCTTCTTCTTCCTGCCCTTTCGAGCTCTCTGGGAACCTGGTGCTGCATTGGCAGGTGGGTTCTGAGGCTCCTTGGGCACCACCGGCTCCACGACCTCCCTGGGCTTCAATAAGCAGGCTGAGTCCAGCTTCTCCTCTGAGTTCAATGACAACCCCTCTTTCTCAGAGCAGAGGGTTACCTTGGGCACAGCAGCCTCTGTCTCTGACTCCAGTGTAGGCATAAGCAGCTGCAAGGCAGAACTAGTCTCTAGCGAGTCATCCAGGAGCACAGGCCGGGGTCCAGGAGAGACCTGTCGCACCACAACTGGGATCTCCAGGTCATCGCCAGCTGTGGCTGCCTGCCCCACAATCTCCAGCACTACGCAGCCCTCAGGCAGTGTCAAATCATCTGGCTGCTCCTGAAGCTCATCCTCAAGTGATGCCAGGTGGGTGAGGTTGGGCAGGCAGTATGGGTGCATGGCCCGCACCAGCTCACTCAGGGAGGAGATGCTCTCATCACCAGCTGCTGGCACTGCCATCTCTGCTGCTGTTGCTTTATCTTCCTCCTCAGGGCAGGCCAAATGCATGGGGAAGTCCGGGATACTGCTCACACAGTTGTCAAGCTCCCCGGCAAGAATCTGGCCACTGAAGCTGGCCACCTCCTCCTCTTCTTCTCCATCACTGCGCTGCTGGGGAGGTGGGGATTGGCCCCAGCGTGGTCTTGATCTTGGGGGTCTCCAGCTAGGAAGCTTGGGGGAAGAGGTCTCTAAGAAAGAGGGTGGGGAGAAGTCCCAAGAGGGATCTGGAAGAGACATTTCAACCTGCAGGAGAGAAGAGAGGTCTCAGGAGGAGTTTTCTTTGGGAAAGTATTTTCCAGACCTGTCCCCACACACTCCTCCTCCCACCTGGGAGTTTCTGAAACCCTCTAGGTCAGGCTTACCCCACTCCCTCTACTGCTGCCTGTACTGGGCCCCAGTGGGTCAACTGGGGTGATGAGGTCACGTTCTGGGGGTGTCCGAGAGAGAGTAAGCAGCTTGTGCAGCTAAGAGGGAAAGAAAGACCTGAGATCAGTCTATGCTTCAGAGCTATATGAGTAGGTCCACAGGCATGGGTCTAAACTTTGTACTAATCCCCTTCCCCTGGTCCCACACTCACAGAGGAGCCCTCCCGGGGTGACACAAGCAGCTCCGAATCAGGAATGCTGTCAAATGGAGAAAGGTTCTCAGAATCTGCATTGTCCAAGATCTCCGTCAGAGCCGTGAGCAGCGACACTTCATTCTGGTCCTCCAGAGATAACCTGCTCTGCTCCAGAAAAACAACCAGAAGGTCCTACCAACATCCCTAATGACCTACTATGCCACTAAGGACTGGATATCGAGAGAATCAGTCTCCCAGGTTCAACTCAGCTAATGGGGCAGCGAGAAGGATCTGAATACCAGAAGGCATGGATTCCAATCTCAGCTACCATCCACCAGCTCTTGGTGTCAACAGAGACCTGTCAGACTTGACTCAAGCTTGGGTTTCACACATTCCCCTACCCTCAGATAAGATGTGGGATGCTCAGCAGACAACCATCGGCTAGGCTAGAAATGAGCTGAAAAACAGAGATCAGAATCCTCTGGACATGTAGTTCAGGGGCCCAGACAGTGGGAAAGGCCTTGGACTATAGTCTAAGCTAGGAAAGGAATTCTTACATGGGACATAATCTGGCAGCCTGCAGCCTAATTCCCACTTAGAGACAAAAAATACACTTCAAGGATTCAGGTTGGGCACCCAGGAAGAAGCTAAGGTCCTGGGAGAGCAGAGCCATGCCAAGAATTTGAGCTAGAACCTCCCATGTAAACCTCCTGCTTGAAGATTTCAGAGTCCAGCCCCAGCTCACCTCTCCAAGGCTCCCAAAATCCTCAATGAGGGAGATAAGGGAGGCATCCATGTAGCTCTGCATGGTCCCCAGCAGTGTCTCATCCTGCAGCATTAGCTCCTCCATTTCCAGGTCCTTGTCCCTCAGAGATGGGCCCAGCCGAGAGAGACTGACAAAGCCAGAATCACCCGCCTCCTCATGCAGCAGCACCTGGAGCAGAGAAGAAGGTGAGAAGGGTATGAGCTCTCTGGCAGCAGCTGATAATATGCTCCATAAATCAGGTACCCTCCACTGCTGGGGCCAAACTCAGCAGCAGCAACACTGTCGCCAAACTTCTGGGCTAGCAGAGCAGAGAGAAGCACAACCTATGAGCAAAAACCCCAATAAGGATGGCAGTTTTCAGGGACCTTCTGGGGCAGAAAAATGTTTGGGCTCCAACCAGAAACAGCTAGAGTCACAGATTAAAACCCGGGAGTAAAAACATCAGGAAAATCAAGATTGTTCAGAATCATCTACTGGCAGCAGTGAAGATAACAGTCTGAGGGGCACACCAAAGCAAAAGAGGTCAGCAAGGAGACAGCTTCAGCTCCAACAACCTCACCTACCTCAAATCCCATTTAGTTCTCTGCTTAGTGCAAATCCTACCTTCTTCAAGAAGACACCCCAGCTTCCCCAGCCCACGGTGATCTCTCCTCACAACTCTAAAATCACAGACTTTTCTGCAGCATTAACTTTTCTGGTAATCACACCCCACCCCCTACCCCCATCCCCATGACACTCATGGGTTCGGTCTCCTGGGTTCAAGCGATTCTCCTGCCTCAGCCTCCGGAGCAGCTGGGATTATAGGCGCCCACCACCACGCCCAGCTAATTTTTGTATTTTTAGTAGAGACAGGGTTTCACCTTATTGGCCAGGCTGGTCTCAAACTCCAAATCTCAAGTAATCCGCCCGACTCAGCCTCTGAAAGTGCTGTGATTACAGGCGTGAGCCGCCACGCCCGGCCGACACTTATTTTGAAGGCCCAACAGTGAGACACTCAACCTCTCAATGGTAATTCCAAGGGAAGGGCCTCTTCTCCACTCCTACCAGATGAGAGCAAGTGAAGAGAAAGCTTGATTCCCTAGATGGAAAGGCCCCGCCCCACACTCCTCTAAGAACTAGCAGCATTTACGGCCTCTCGTGTCAGGCATCAAGCAGCCCGCCCAGACCTGTCAAGAGTGTGGGTGTGGGCAGGGCCGGAAGGGACCAGAATGGTAGTGGTGAGGCCAGAGCCAGGGGGATCTCCACTACAGTAGTCCCCCCTTATCCTAGAGGGATACATTCCAAGATCCCCAGTAGATGCCTGAAACCACAGATACTACCAATACATTGGTATGTATTGATACAAACAATACATACCAACGATGAAGTTTAACTTATAAATTAAGCACAATAAGAAATTAATAATAAAATAGATTAAAACAATATACTATAATAAAAGTTATGCGAATGTGGGCTCTCTGGCTCTCAGAATATCTCACTGTACTGTACTCATGTATTTTTAGACCCCAGTTGACAGCAGGTTAACAGAAACTGTGGATAAGGGGAAACTACCGCATAGGAAACATGAAGTAAAAAGGCCTGAGAACAGGATCACATACAGACAGGCCAGACCTTCCCTTTCCTCTTCTGCAACAAAGTGAAATTCCGCACCACTTCCAAAAGAAAAAAGCAACAGGTGTCTTCCACACCCCCACCCCCCACACCCCGGCAATATATACCCTCCTAACAGAGCTGAGTACCAACGCCCAGGAAAAGGAAAGGCTGGTTAAGGACGCGTTAGGAGGCCAGGCCCAGAGAATAAGCAAAAAGTGGTAGGTTTTAGGCACTAACTCCTCCCAGGCCTTCACAATCCTATAATTACAAACCAGCAGCTGAATAGCACCTGGCTCTGCAAACACTCCAGGGTGAGCCAAGAGGCTGCAACTCCATTTGCTCTGCCACCACCTACCTACCAGAGCCCCAGCGACTAAGCTGGAATCTCAAGACAATGCCCAGCTCTCTATGAACCACTCATCTTCACCTCCATCAGGTGTCCAGTCAGAGACACACCCTCACACCTGACCTCACCCATCACTCAATTCCCAAACAGCACAGCTCCCAGAGTACCAAGATCATCCGAGTGCTAAGCCCAGGCTGAAAGTAAGCCAGCCATCAGCACCTCTAACTTCAAAAACCTCCCAAGTAGCTTTCACCCACCAAACCTGCTCCCTCCAGGGTTCAAAAACAGTCAGAAACTTTTTAAATATGTATCTGATCACTGCCTGAGACCCTCCCTAAATCCCTTCAATGGCATTTTACTGCTCTTAGCATTAGGTTTAAACTCTTTAATATAGCTTACAGGCCGGGTGTGGTGGCTCACGCCTGTAATCCCAGCACTTTGGGAGGCTGAGGTGGGTGGATCACTTGAGGTCAGGAGTTCAAGACCAGCCTGACCAATATGGTGAAACCCTGTCTCTACTAAAAATACAAAAATTAGCCATGTGTGGTGGTGCTTGCCTGTAATCCCTGCTACTCAGGAGTCTGAGGCAGGGGAATTGCATGAACCCAGGAGATGGAGGTTGCAGTGAGCCAAGATCACACCACTGCACTCCAACCTGGGTGACAAAGCAAGACTCCATTTCAAAAACAACAACAAAACAACAAAATATATATATATATAGCTTACAAAAGTCCTGTCTTCCCCACCAGACCTCTGCTCCAGCGTGTCCTCTCCCACTACTCTGTAGTACAGGTCTCGGTTTCTCCAATAAGCCATGCTCTCTTCCTCCTTGAGGGCTTCACTTTTCCCTGATTAAAGGTTTTCCACAGTTTTAACATCTCAGCTTTAAATGTCCCGTCTCAGACTCTGCAAAGTAGATCACTACTGCCAATTACATAATCCCAAATATCCTGCACTTTTGTCTCATTCATTATTATTTATCATCGGTCTATCCTGATTAAAACATAGATCCTGAGGGATAAAGACCATGTTTATGTGGTTTACCAGTTTGTCCCCTGTGCCTAAACATAATGGTATTTCAATAAATAACTGGCTGACTGACCAGCTCACATATACCCATCTTTGGTTTTCGGGGGAAGGGAATGACAATCTCTCCATGAGATCCTCTCCAATCCCAAATTACTACTTAACTATTATAGCTGGATCTTGGATCCTTCCTGACTCTCCCTGTGCTATTTGGGAATTCAGTGATGGGTGAGGTCAGGTGTGAGGGTGTGTCTCTGACTGGACACCTGATGGAGGTGAAGATGAATGGTTCATAGAGAGCTGGGCATTGCCTTGAGATTCTGGCCTAGACCCTGGGGCTCTGGTAGGTAGGCAGCACCAGCCCCAAAAGATGTGACCTCTGAGAAAGTAGGGGAGAAGGGATCAGCGCTCCCAAATTCTTGCCCCAGAAACCATTCTCCCCTGGGCAAGGGCCTGGATTGGTCTGCCGGACCTGATATTACCAGGCAGCCTGCAGCCCAACTCCCACCTAGTAACACACAAAAAATGCTGTCAAGGACTCAGCTTAATTGTTTAAGAGAGGTAACAGTTCAAACTAATTCCTGCCCCTTCTACCCTGGGTGGAAACTTTTAAGAAGCCCTCCACTGTAGAGTAGAACAATAACACTTTTTGAAGGCCAAGAAAAAAATATCTAACAGAATCCTCCTCATCCAGTGTATGTTCAACTGTTGAACATGTTGAACAGTTCTCAAACCGCCTCCAACTTTTCCCATCCCCAGCAAAAAATCCGAAGAGCCTTAAGTACGGACCACCCCAGTTTCTGCGTGTCAGATTACAGGAGCATGCCTTCCCAAAAGAGATGCTGGAGGAAAAAGTGAGGAGAGGATTCCCTTTCCCTTTCTTAACCTTGTCCCAGGTGTATGTTGACACTCCCCATACCCCTTGAATCACTAATAAGGCAAGACTGCAAGGCAACCAAAACGCCAATGCCCGTGACTCACAACCCACCCCAAGCCGGTCAGACGGAAGCGCCACAAACTCACTCCTCCACAACCCTTCAGCCTCAGCCCTCTACCCTCCCCATCACACTCAGCCATCCGCAGGGAACAAACTCCCGCAACATCTGGAGAGTCCTTCACCATCCGCAGTGGAGAGACGTTGCGGACCCAAGCAGCAGGGAAAAAAAAAACCTCCAAGGCTCTGAACAAAGTTGACTCTAGCAGCCCTTACCTTCCTTCCCGGCCCGGGCCTCCAGCCCCGGCAGGAGATGGCGGGACCCGTGGAGACACACCCAGTTCGCGTCAGCCAGGCTCCAAGGCCGATACTAGATGCCCGACAGCCTGGGACGGGAGCCACGTGGACGTTCCTTCCCCGCCCCCACGTGGACCCGCTGCCTGCGCCCCCCTCCACCAGGAGCCCGACCCACGTGGATGCCCGGGCCGCCTAGAGGGGGAGGGGAGGCAGACAAGTTCTCCCGGGAAAATTGCTCCCCCAACCCCACGTGGCTCCGAAAAGGGAACTGCGGCGCCGGGCTCGGGGAGCCTCACTGGGCATCCTTACATGGAGGTCTCAGCCTTCGACCCCAAGTCCGAACCCCTGACCCCCAGCCGCGGGTTATGTTTCCGACACCCCGCTCTCCCCCTCCGGCGTCCCCCAGGAATGGCCGTAGAGACGCTGCCTCTGCCCGCCTACCCCCAGCAAACGGCCTAGGGCCCACTTGCTCCGGCCCGGCTCCCGCGGCCACCCGGCATCGACTCTCAGGCGCTTCCTCTCTTTCCTGTGGCGTCCACGTGTCACCGCCCGGCACACACCGCTTTGCTGCCTGTCGCGGGCCGCCAGCCAACCTCTCACCTGCTCGCCGCCGCTCACAGCGCCCAAAGTCCCATACGGCGCTTGGCTTCGACTTCCCCAACCACTGCCGCGGGCTCCCCCGCCAGGGTCCGGACCGGGGCCCCCACTCGGGGGCGGCGCGACTCCGTCTCTCCGTCCCCGGCGCGCCGCCATCTTGGCCCCTGAACACCCAGCGCTGCTCTGATCGCTGGCGCCGCCTCGCCCAGCCGATTGTGGGAAAGGAACTACAACTCCCGAATGACACTGCAAGACTACGAATCCCAGAGAGCCGTGCGGCGAGACCCACTTGCACCCTGGAAGAAGGCCCTGGCCTCGCGCGAAGGTTCCTGGGAGTAGTAGTCCCTTTAAGTGGGGACCGTTTGGCACTAGCTGCAGGCATCCTGTAGGGCTTAGTTTTGCGTTACACTGGGATACCGATTTAGGGAGCGCTCAGCAGTTAGGGGGAAAGTTAACATTTGCGTATTTTATTGTCGTTAACTTGTCCAACTGTTGGAACGTCCTCTTTGACGTTCTACCTGCTGTACGTTCCTTTCACCTTAGTCCAAGTGGGGCCAAGTGGGCCTGTATATGTTTTGAAACACCACCCCCTAGTGGGCACTTGCGCTCCAAGCGCTAATCCTCACCTAATCCCATATTGCGGCAGTACTGCAAACTTAATCGGAAAATGTCGCGTTCTCCGCCCTCTCTGCTACTACTCAGAAACTTACGTTGCCTTCTCTATCAAATTTGTTTCTTGCTGTTTCAGGTCTCCTTGCTGTTCCCTAAAGACAACAGGTGTTCTCCTGCCTATATGTCGACCTGGAATACTTGAACCTCAAAACATTTCATGCCTTATTTAATCTAGGAAAGGCTTTGGTTGTCCTAGCCAAGAGGGATCCCGCTCTGCGTTTCTACGGTCCATCACTGTCTCTACTCTTCATTCATTTGCCACTTAAAAGCTACTTCATATTTGCTATTTTTAAATAACTTTTTACAAAGCACAAAAATTATTTCAAAAAGTACAAGACTGTTTAGAGGAAAAAAAGTAGTAGGCCTGCAAATTATAGTTCTACTGCCCAGATTTAAACCCCTTGTTACTTTTAGTGTGTATTCATTGACGCTTTTTTCTATGAATGGAAAAATATATAGGGGCACAAATTGGTGATTTGCTTTTTTTATGTAACAATATGTTAATCCACTCACTAGCTAAATATTTACTGAGCCTTTAGCACCAGTTCTATTTTATGAATGTATTGTTATTTAAATTATATTGAAGTTGTTTCTGGCCGTGGCTCGGTGACTCACACTTGTAGTCCCAGCACTTTGGGAGGCTGAAGTGGGTGAATCACTTGAACTAAGGAGTTTGAGACCAGCCTGGACAACATGGCAAAACCCCACCTCTACCAAAAATTTAAAAATTAGCTGGACATGGTGGCACACATCTGTGGTCCCAGCTACTCGGGAGGCCGAGGCAGGAGGATTGCTTGAACCCAGGAGGTGGAGGTTGTAGTGAGCCAAGATCATGCCACAGCACTCCAACTTGGGTGACAGAGTGAGACTTCTTCTCAAAAATAAATAATATTTAAGTTGTTTACAGTTTCTCACTATTACATATTATTATGATGAACACCCTTGCATATGTCATGTACATGTACCTTTGCACTTTTGTGCAATCTTTCTGTGGAATAGTTTCCATGAAATTCAAGTGCCGAGTTAAACAATGCATGTATTTGAAATACAGTAGAAAATTGCCCTTTAGAAATATTGCATCACTATACATCCCCACACATGTTCATGAAAAGAGAGGACCTTTTCTGGACCTTTTCTTAGATGTTCTTTCTTTTTTTTTTTTTTGTTAGACAATAGGGTTTTACTCTGTCACCCAGGGCTGCAGTGTGGAGTGCGGTGAGCAAGAGTGCCGTGGCAGATCATAGCATAGCTCACTGTGATCTCTCAAGCTCAAAGGATCCATCTGCCTCAGCCTCCAGAGTAGCTGGGTACTACAGGTACACACTGCCATGCCCAGCTAATTTTTTTTTTTTTTTTTTTGAGATGGAGTGTCACTCTGTCACCAGGCTGGAGTGCAGTGGCGCGATCTTGGCTCACTGCAACCTCCACCTCCCAGGTTCAAGTGATTCTCCTGCCTCAGCCTCCCGAGTAGGTGGGACTACAGGTGCCCACCACCACACCCAGCTAATTTGTTTTTGTATTTTTAGTAGAGACAGGGTTTCACCATGTTGGCCAGGACGGTCTCGATCTCTTGACCTCGTGATTTGCCTGCCTCGGCCTCCCAAAGTGCTGGGATTACAGGGGTGAGCCACCACGCCTGGCCATGCCCAGCTAATTTTTTGGGGGTTCTTGGGGGGTCTCACATCTTGCCCAGGCTGTTCTCCAACTCTTAGCCTCAGAAGATCCTCCTGCCTTGGCCTCCCAATGTGTTGGGATTACAGGTGTCAGCCAGTGTGCCTGGCTGTTTAGTTGTTTCTTTTGTTTTGTTTTTTGTGTGTGAGATGGAGTTTCACTCTTGTCACCCAGGCTGGAGTGCAATGGCGCAATCTCGGCTCACCGCAACCTCCGCCTCCCAGGTTCAAGTGATTCTTGTGCCTCAGCCTCCTGAGTAGCTGGGGTTACAGGCATGTGCCACCACGCCCAGCTAATTTTGTATTTTTAGTAGAGAGGGGGTTTCTCCATGTTGGTCTGGCTGGTCTCAAACTCCTGACCTCAGGTGATCTGCCTGCCTCAGCCTCCCAAAGTTCTGGGATTACGGGCGTGAGCCACTGCGCCCAGCCCTGTTTAGTTGTTTTTTTTTTTTTTTTTTTTTTTTTTGAGAAGGATTCTTGCTCTGTCACCCAGGCTGGAGTGCAGTGGCGCGATCTCGGCTCACTGCAAGCTCTGCCTCCCGGGTTCATGCCATTTTCCTGCCTCAGCCTCCCCAGCAGCTGGGACTACAGGCACCTGCCACCACGCCTGGCTAATTTTTTTGTATATTTAGTAGAGATGGGGTTTCACCATGTTAACCAGGATGGTCTCGATTTCCTGATCTCGTGATCTGCCCATCTTGGCCTCCCAAAGTGCTGGGATTACAGGCATGAGCCACAGCGCCCAGCCTAATTGTTTCTTAATTAGTTGTTTCAGGTGAATTAACTTTGTCTTCTCAAAAAGGCTTTAAAAGCCACTAATTTGGAAACTGAGTCTTGTTCACAGTTTTCTGTATAAAATAGTCATATGAGGAGCAACAATAAAGTTTGAAATAAAGTTGCCTATGAGCAGCCAGCAAGATTAATACAGATGGCATAGTTTTTCCTGTGTGGAAGATGCATACTCTAAAAGATGCTCTAAGGCTGGGCACAGTGGCTCACGCCTGTAATTACAACACTTTGGGAGGCCGAGGCAGGCGGATCACCGAGGTCAGGAATTCAAGACCAGCCTGGCCAACATGGCAAAACCCTGTCTCTACTAAAAATACAAAAATTAGCCAAGCGTGGTGGCGCCTACCTGTAATCCCAGCTACTCAGGAGGCTGAGGCAGGGAGAATCGCTTGAACCCGGGAGGCAGAGGTTGCAGTGAGCCAAGATCACGCTGCTGCACTCCAGCCTGGGCGACGGGGCGAGACTCCATCTCAAAATAAATAAGTAAATAAAAATTAAAAAAAAATAAAATGCTACTGGTTTATGGTGATAAGGCTTTGAGAGGAAGACTAATATAAAAGAAAGCGGAACGTTTTGCCACTTTTTTGCTTTATTCAGCATCTGAAGAAACAATCTATTCATCTAAGTCTGGTGTCTCCATAAAATCTACTCAAAAAAGGTAATATATCTCTGGGTCTTCAGTGCCACCTGAACAGGGGTGTTGTGACTACTAGTCCTTAAGTGCATTCCTAATGACCATGAAGGAAAACCTTAGAGCCATAGGCCACCAAAAACTGGGAACCTCCAATCGTTTGTCCTTTTCTGACTCCATGCTCGCCAAAGACTCATCTGATTATAATAACTGACTTATAATTTTCTGTGGAGGTCAGGCATGGTGGTGCACACCTGTAATCCCAGCACTTTGGGAGGCCGAGGCGGGCGGATCACGAGGTCAGGAGATCGAGACCATCCTGGCTAACACAGTGAAACCCCGTCTCTACTAAAAAACACAAAAAAATTAGCCGGGCGTGGTGGCGGGCGCCTGTAGTCCCAGCTACGCGGGAGGCTGAGGCAGGAGAATGGCGTGAACCCGGGAGGCGGAGCTTGCAGTGAGCCGAGATCGCGCCACTGCACTCCAGCCTGGGTGACAGAGCGAGACTCCGTCTCAAAAAAAAAAAAAAAAAAAAAAAAGACTGCCGCTGGCCGGGCATGGTGGCTCAGGCCTGTAATCCCAGCACTTTGGGAGGCCGAGGCGGGCGGATCACGAGGTCAGGAGATCGAGACCATCCTGGCTAACATGGTGAAACCCCGTCTCTACCAAAAATACAAAAAATTAGCCCGGCATGGTGGTGGGTGCCTGTAGTGCCAGCTACTCAGGAGGCTGAGGCAGGAGAATGGCAGGTGAACCCAGGAGGCAGAGCTTGCAGTGAGCCGAGATTGCACCACTGCACTCCAGCCTGGGCGACACAGCAAGACTCTTAAAAAAAAAAAGAAAAAAAAAAAAAGACTGCAGCTGTGGGCTTAGGGGCTCCTATTTTCTGTCTCTCTCTGTCTCTCTTGCTCTCTCTTTCTCCCTCTTTTGGATCTCTTGCTCTGGGGAAATCAAAGTGCCATGTTATAAGCAGTACTATGGAGAGGCCCACATGGCAAAAAAATGGAAGCTTTTAGAGGGGCGGGGTGCGGTGGCTCATGCCTGTAATCCCAGCACTTTGGGAGGCTGAGGTGGGCAGATCAAATGTGGGAGGTCAGGAGATGGAGACCATTCTGGCCAACATGGTGAAACCCCGTCTCTACTAAAAATACAAAAATTAGCTGGGCGTGGTGGCACGTGCCTGTAATCCCAGATACTCGGGAGGCTGAGGCAGCAGAATCGCTTGAACCAGGGAGTCGGAGGTTGCAGTGAGCTGAGATCGCACCACTGCATTCCAACCTCATGACAGAGCAAGACTCTGTCTCAAAAAAAAAAAAAGCAGCAGCAGCTTCTGACCAAAAACCAGTGAAGAACTGAGGCTGGCCAACAACCATGACAGTGAGCTTGGAAGCAGATTCTCCAACACCAGTCAAGCCTTAAGATGACTACATCCTGGCTGGCCATTTGACTGCAACCTTGTGAGAAATCTTAAACCAGCTAGGTGCGGCAACTCACACCTGTAATCCCAATACTTTAGGAGGCCAAGATGGGAGGATCGCTTGAGCCCAGGAGTTCAAGACCACTCTGGGACACATAGCGAAACCCCTGTCTCTAGAAAAAATTTAAAAAATAGGCTGGGCTCGGTGGCTCACGCCTGTAATCCCAGCACTTTGGGAGGCCGAGATGGGCAGATTGCCTGAGCTCAGGAGTTCATGACCAGTTTGGGCAACATGGTGAAACCCCGTCTCTACTAAAATACAAAAAAAATCAGCTGGGCAGGCCGGGCGTGGTGACTCTCGCCTGTAATCCCAGCACTTTGGGAGGCTGAGGCAGGTGGATCACAAGGTCAGGAGATCAAGACTACCCTGACTAACACAGTGAAACCCCGTCTCTACTAAAAATACAAAAAATTAGCCGGGCGTGGTAGCACTTGCCTGTAATCCCAGCTACTCGGGAGGCTGAGATGAGAGGATCACTTGAACCCAGCAGGTGGATGTTGCAGTGAGCCGAGATCGTGCAACTGTACTCCAGCTGAGATTGCGCCACTGCACTTCAACCTTGAGACAGAGCAAGACTCTATCACAATGTATTTTATTTTATTTATTTTTTTGAGACGGAGTCTCACTCTGCTGCCCAGGCTGGAGTGCAGTGGCGTGGTCTCAGCCCACTGAACCTCTGCCTCCCAGGTTCAAGCGATTCTCCTACCTCAGCCTCCTGAGTAGCCGGGATTACAGGCTTGTGCCCCCACACCTGCCTAATTTTTGTATTTTTAGTAGAGACAAGGTTTCACCATGTTGGCCAGGCTGATCTTGAACTCCTGACCTCAGGTGATCTGCCCACCTCAGCCTCCCAAAGTGCTGGGATTACAGGCTTGAGCCACCATGCCTGACCTCTGTCTCAATTTTTTTTTAATTTATATATATATATATATATATATATATATATATATATATATATATATATGATAAAAAACCATATTCCTTGGTTCTCCAGAAATATGATTTAGTTCATCCAAGGATGGTGCCTTCTCCATGGTTAACAAGTTTCCTGGGAATTTCTTACATACTTTGAGAAACTGCTTTGGCAGAAAAATGACTGATGTTTGTAAATAATGATGTTGATGATGATAGCAAATGGACAAGAGGGGAGGAGTCACGTGTCAGGGCAAGGGACGATCTATAAAAATTGCTGTAATCATTCAACAAAAGTTACAGTTCACGGCTGCGGCTGGGTGTGGTGTCTTACACCTGTAATCCTAGCATTTTGGGAGGCCGAGGCAGGCGGATCACCTGAGGTCAGGAGTTCAAGACCAGCCTAGCCAACATGATGAAACCCTGTCTCTTCTAAAAATATAAAAATTAGCTGGGCATGGTGGTGGATGCTTGTAATCCCAGCTACGTGGGAGGCTGAGGCAGGAGAATCGCTTGAACCCAGGAGGCAGAGGTTGCACTGAGCTGAGATCGCACCACCGCACTCCAACCTGGGCAACAGAGCAAGACTCCATCTCAAAAAAAAAAAAAAAAAAGTTATAGTTCACAAACTAGGTTCCAGGTACTCTGTTAGATGCTGGAGGTTTGGCCGTCCATAAGACATATATCATCTGCTGTCTGTTTGGAGAAAGATTCATCCTTTTTTTTTTCTTTTGAGTCAGTCTCACTCTGTCATTCAAGCTAAAGTACAATAGTGCAATCTCAGTTCACTGCTGTCTCAAACTCTTGGGCTCAAGTGATCCTCCCTCTTCAGCCTCCTGAGTTTCTAGGATTACATGTGTGAGCCATAGCATCCAGGTCAAGATTCATCCTTGAAAGACAGAGTGATGCCAAGCCGGGCGCGGTGGCTCATGCCTGTAATCCCAGCACTTTGGGAGGCCAAGGCGGGTGGATCACCTGAGGTCAGGAATTCGAGATGAGCCTGACCAACATGGTGAAACCCCTACTCTACTAAATACAAAATATTAGCCGGGCATGGTGGTGCATGCCTGTAGTCCCAGCTACTTGGGAGGCTGAGGCAGGAGAATTGCTTGAACCCGGGAGGCGGAGGTTGCAGTGAGCCGAGATTGTGCCACTGCACTCCAGCCTGGGCAACAAGAGCGAAACTCTGTCTAAAAAAAAAAAAAAAAGAAAAGAAAGAAAGACAGAGTGGTGCCAATAACTAGTTGAAGGAATTTCAAGGGTGAGAGAAATATAAGAGAAAATATAGAAGGCCAAGGTCAGCAGAGGGAGTTGGATGGGAGCGGTTCTAGGAGTTGGGACAAACAGGGGGCTTACCTCTATTGGAATGAGTCTAGCCAGTTGCTTCTGCTGTCTGCCTTTTTGTAAGGCTCCTCTTCCCTTCCCCTTTCCTAATCTTAATCTCTTCTCAGTACCTCCTGCCTGTGTCCAGAGTCCATCTTGCACTAATGACTAGTATTGAAAAATACTAAAAGTGGCTGGGCACGGTGGCTCACCCCTGTAATCCCAGCACTTTGGGAGGCTGAGGCAGGCGGATCATGAGGTCAAGAGATCGAGATCATCCTGGCCATCATGGTGAAACCCCGTCTCTACTAAAATACAAAAGATTTGGCCAGGTGTGGTGGCTCATGCCTATAATCCCAGCTACTCAGGAGGCTGAGGCAGGGGAATTGCTTCAACCCAGGAGGCGGAGGTTGCAGTGAGTTGAGATAGTGCCACTGCACTCCAGCCTGGTGACAGAGCAAGACTCTGTCTCAAAAAAAAAAAAAAAAAAAATTAACTGGGTGTGGTGGCACACACCTGTAGTACCAGCTACTTGGGAGGCTGAGGCAGGAGAATCGCTTGAACTGGGGAGGCAGAGGTTGCAGTGAGCTGAGATCAAGCCACTGCATTCAGCCTGGTGACAGAGCGAGACTCTGTCTCAAAAATAAATAAATAAATAAATAATACTAGAGGCTTGGTGTGGTACGGGCCTGTAGTCCCAGACATTCAGAAGGCTGAGGCAAGAGGACTGCTTGAGCCCAGGAGTCCGAGTCCAGCCTGGGCAACACAGCAAGACTATAAAATAAAAAACAAAAAACAAGGGCCAGGGTCAGGCAGTGGCTCATGTCTGTAATCCCAGCACATTGGAAGGTCAAGGCAGGAGGATCACTTGAGGCCAGCCAGAAGTTCAATACCAGCCTGGCTAACAGCAAGAAACCTGTCTCTACAAAAAATAAAAAAGTTAGTTGGACACAGTGGTGTGTACCTATAGTCCTAGCTACTTGGGAGGCTGAGGCAGGAGAACTGCTTAAGCCCAGAAGTTTGAGGCTGCAGTTACCTATGACCATATCACTGCACTCCAGCCTGGGTGACAGAGCAAGATTCTGTCTCAAAAAAAAAAAAAAAAAAATGGCCAGGCACAGTGGCTCACGCCTGTAATCCCAACACTTTGGGAGGCCGAGGCGGGTGAATCACTTGGAGGCCAACATGGTGAAACCCCATCTCTACTAAAAATACAAAATTAGCCAAGTGTGGTGGTGCGCGCCTGTAATCCCAGCTACTCCGGAGGCTGAGGCAAGAGAATCACTTCAACCCGGGAGGCGGAGGTTAAAGTGAGCTGAGATTGCACCACTGCACTCCAGCCTGGGCAACAGAGTGAGACTGTCTCAACAAGAAAGAAAAGAAAGAAGGCCGGGCGCGGTGGCTCACATCTGTAATCCCAGCACTTTGGGAGGCCAAGGCAGGCAGATCACAAGGTCAGGAGTTCGAGACCAGCCTGACTAACATGGCGAAACCCCATCTCTACTAAAAATACAAAAATTAGCCAGGTGTGGTGGTGGTGCCTGTAATCCTAGCTACTCAGGAGACTGAGGCAGGAGAATCGCTTGAACCTGGGAGGCGGCGGTTGCAGTGAACTGAGATCGTGCCACTGCAATCCAGTCTGGGCGACAAGAGCGAGACTCTGTCTAAAAAAAAAAAAGAATAAAGTTTAAAAATAAAAAGCTAGAATGCCTCTGAATTGATCATTTAAAAATGGTTAATTTTTAGCCAGGCATGGTGGTGCATGCCTATAATCCCAGGTACTCAGCAGGCTGAGGCAGGAGAATCACTTGAAACCGGGAGGCAGAGGTTGCAGTGAGCTGAAATTGCGCCATTGCACTCCAGCCTGGGCAACAAGAGCGAAACTCCATCTCAAAAAAAAAAAAAAAAAAAAAAAAGGCCGGGCGTGGTGGCTCACGCCTATAATCCCAGCATTTTGGGAGGCCAAGGTGGGCGGATCACCTGAGGTTGGGAGATCCAGACCAGCCTGACCAACATGGAGAAACCCTGTCTCTACTAAAAAAAATACAAAAATTAGCCAGGCGTGGTGGCAGGTGCCTGTAATCCCAGCTACTCAGGAGGCTGAGGCGTAGGGAGAATTGCTTGAACTGGAGAGGTGGAGGTTGCAGTGAGCTGAGATTGCACCACTGCACTCCAGCTTGGGCGACAGCGCAAGACTCCGTCTAAAAAAAAAAGGTTAATTTTATGTTATGTGAATTTTACCACACACATACAGAGGGAGAGAGAGAGAATACTGGGCACTTACACCCATCCATACAAATCAGCTAAGCCTCCAGTCCTCCAGGACATTGTCATTAAGTTAAAGACCCCCCCTCCACATAGACTCCACCCCCTTCCTACCACATCCCTTCTGTCTGCCAGGTGTCTGTGACCTCTCTTCCCATTTTTGCCTATACCACAATTCCCAGAGATGCTCCAAAGATGTTCTCTTCTCCCTCCCCAGGTCTGATCCACACTAGAAGTAAGGCAAGGAGTGGAGCAATGGGTCAAGTGCTTGTTAGCTCTGTTACCTTGGCAAAGTTAACTAACTTGCCTAAATGGAGTTCCTGTAGGAGCCCCAATCACTTATTTTAACCACCCATTCAACAGTACTGAGATGGTATTTCCTTACCGGTAACTGGGCTATAGTGTCAGTGGGAGTGGGAAGGGTAATCTTCCCAGAGAAGGTGAAGCTAGAACTAAGGTGTTAAGGAAGCATTAACTAGTAGGTGAAGAAGAGGGAGAACAGTGTTTTACAGGCAAGTTCAAATTTATTATCATCTCTGAACTTCAGTTTTCCTACTTGTTCAATGGAGGTAATAGCACCTTCTTCCAAAGGTCCTCATGAAAGGTAAATGAGTCGGCAAGTGTAAAAGGCCTAGGGCAGTGCCTGGCATTAGTGCATGCTCAAGTAAGGCAGTTTTTTCTTCCTTCCTAAGCTTCTACCTTCCACATGTGTAATCTAGGAGAGGGAAATCTCAGATTCACAGGAGGCAAAGACCTTTATAGGGTGGGTTGTAGTCCCCCTGTCCACCCAGATGATCACCATTGTGTTGGTCAGCATGGAATCTGACCAAGCTAGTTGTTTGGAATGAGTGGCCTTAGGCGTAAGTGGTCACAGGATTGGAGGAAGGCAAATTCATGGACAGAAAAGAGAGAAGGAGGTCAAGGTAGGTATTCCCCCTCCTCCAAACCATCTCAAATTGTCCTGCCAATCCAGCCCCCTCCTCTCTTGGAATTGGATAATCTTAAAAAAAAAAAAAAAAAAAGGGCAGAAAGAACACGTATTTACAGGACTGCCTGGCTGACACTGGGCTACGTGACTGGGTGTACATTGTCTAGTTTGATACTCACCAAGCCATAGGTTACAGAGGATAAAGCTAGTGTCCCAGGTGGGGTGGTCAGTTGTCTCAAATCACTCAGGTATTGAGGAGCGAATCTTGCGTTCAAACCTAGGTATCCACAATTTCGGGCCAGTGTTCTGTTGCCTTATGTTCTCTCTACTCCCTCTAGTGCTGACCTTTGTCTGGGAGAATGCAGGGAGGGGGTGCACTCAGGCAGGGGATGCTGCCAAGGAAATACTTGTGTGAGTGTGGATGGCTTCAGTCAGGTCCTCTCTGCTCCTGGTGGGGGTGGAGATGGGGAAACCTGGGGGTGGGAGACTCCACAGTGTACAAGCTCCCCTATCCCCCATCCTAAGCACATGGTGGGGAGGGTCTCCATTCCTAGGCAGGCCTTCTTTTCAATCCCTGGACTCTGCACCGTTCCATCATTTCATGCTCCCTCAGCAAAAACCTAAGGTGGAGAGAAGAGGTCTCATAAACACTTTAAGCCTCCGCATTTGTAACCCTCCCCCAGCCAGTCAAGCCAGCTGTGCAGACTCTGAGCCAGAGTGAGGGAACCAAACAGCCTTCTCAACCAACACCCCTCTAAGTAACAAAGAGGAGAACCCCCTACCCAGTCAGGGCCAGACGCCCTAGGGAGGAGACACTAGTCCAAGTCTCCATCGTCTATCCCTGGAGCCCATACTGAAACTTAAGAAAGAAAAGCTAGCAGCTGGGGACCCCAGGAGGGAGGGGGTCAACTCTCTACTCCAGGCGGCTCCCCTCCCTTCCCTCCTCCTGGCTAATAGGTATTTCCTGTTTATGAGGCAGCTAAAGCTGAGCTTTTGGGAAGGGATGGAGATGGAGCCCCTCCCCTCCTAGGGCTGGGTTGGGGAGTCCTTGAAGTGTGACTGAAGGTTGGGAGGCTCCTCCCAGGGGAAGGAGTGTTCCTTACATTGACCATCCACATCATCTCCCATCCAACCCCCCACGGCCCACAGCCTCTGCCTCTCTGGGTTAGGGGGCACTGGAGGGGCCTGTTTCCTGTTCTCATCTCCGAAGCCCTCAAAGGACAGCAGCTTCCAGGCAGGGGGGTCGGAGGCGGTGGGGTTGGGCGGTTGGTACGGAGGTGAAGGCACCAAGGCTGGAGAAAGGGGGGAAGGGAAGAGAGTGTCTTGACTGATGCGTCAGTCTGCAAGAAGGAAGGATGGCCTCCTATCGCCCCTCCGTAATCCAATCTGGTGGTCATTCCGCAGCCCCCTCCCCCCAGCAAAACACAGATCCCAAGCCCTTAGGCGGAGGAGGGCGGGGACCCCACTTAATTAACCCTTTTAGTTCTAGTCCCAACTGGTTTCGCAGGCAAAGGAGGAGTGGTTAATTTAGGGAAGGGGTGAGTTGAGGGGTTGCTACAAGAATTAAGAGAATGCTTCTTTACCCATCCAGCCTAGGGTAGGGACGCGAAACAAGGGGCCTCCAGAAGAAGGCTGGCGTCTCAGCAGGGAGCACGGACAGGGGGTCTGCAGTCCCTTTTCCCTCCCGGAGCGCGGCCCGGGGTGGAGAGAGATACACCACACTGCCCACCCCGGCTCCGCCTCCCCCAGCCGCGGCTCCCGCTCCGGCTCAGCCAGACTCCCCATCCGGCGGCACCCGGAGGACGGACACCGAGCGCGCGGCTGCGCCTCCAAGCCCTCCCCTTCGCCCTCCCTCTCTGGGGTCTCTGCCTCCGTCTCCTTTTTTAAAAGCTGCGTCACATGCATGCCGTTCCCCGAGCGCTCCCAGCCCCTCGCCGCCCGCCCGCCGCGCGGCGCACGCACGTCGTCGCTTGCTGCGCGCTCTCCCGGGTCACTTTGACACGGCTCTCCCCTCCCACTAGCAGGACAATTAGCATATTAATAAAGCCCGGCCCTGCCCGGCTTGGGCTGGGGAGCCGGCGCCGGCGCGAGGGAGCGCGAGCGCGAGGGCGGAGAGGGGGGCGCTCGGCGACGGCGGCGGGAGCGCACAGACACGCACACGCACACGCGCACACACGCACACACGGACACACACTCCGCGGACTCACACCCGCGCGCACACACGCAGAGGCCGCTCGCCTTCCTGCCTGGCTTCCTTCCTGTCTGCTCCGCGCCTGACAGGCCCCTCGCCGCAGCCAGGGGCCGCCCGCACCGGGCCGAGGCCGGGCCGGGCCGGCGGCGAGCGCAGCGGGGGCCGCGGGCGGCGGCGGCGGCTCATGCCCGGCCTGTCCCCGCGAGGGGCGGGCACCGTGACTCGGCTGGGCCCCCAGAGGCGGGCGATGTGAAGATGTCAGTGGGCTGTGCCTGTCCTGGTGAGTGGGGCGTGCGGCCACTCGGCCCCTTCCTGCCCAGCCGTCCCTGCGGACCCCTCACCCCGTGTTTGGCGAGAACTTGTGTGGGGGGCGTCGATGGCATGGGGGAAGCCGGGGGCTGGAAGGGCTACGCGGGGCCTCAGGCTGGCGGGTAGCGTTTTCCCCAACTGTGTAAATGCGCAGCAGCCCAGAAACACGGGGAGGAGACGCTGGGGGTGGCTTATGTGTATGTTTTTTTGGGGGTAGGCTAATTGGGGAGAGGTTTGGGGGGGGCTGAAATTCTCAGAATTCCAGGTTGTTAGCCAATCAGAAGTGACTCTGGACTTTTGACCCCCCCCCTCAGGTCACCATAGAGTTGTGATTGGCTGGTTTGGGCTGCCCCCCCTTCCCTGCTGCCCATTGCCTCTTACCTATCCTGTGACATCCCCCCCATGCTGTTTCTGAGGACCCTGTTTGCAGGGAGGTATTGATTGCGGCCCATCTTGCCCCCCACCTTCAACTTTTCCTGCCTGTTGCCAGGGAAGGTTGGCCCTCCTGAGGCACCGGAGGTACTCCTAAGAGGTGCCAGATAATTGGACCCTTGGGTCTGGCATCTCCGCCCTAGTGGGAGGGCAGGCTAGGAAATAGAGTGATTTGTGGAGAGGTAAGCTGGGGGAGCAATACTTGACCCAAAACTGAGAACTTGAGAGAGGACCCAGGCTCAGATCCCTGCCTCCCCAAAACATATCAGCTCTTGCCAGGGATAGCCTAGGTCTGAGTTTTTTTCCTGGGGGGCAGGTGGGGGGGGCGGAGGGCGTCTACCTCACTGCCAGGAGGAAAGAGAGAAGCCATGCGACTGGAGAGGTAGTCTACAGAGGGCCTCACGGCACACTGTCTGTCTCCATCCCCGGGACTCTGGGTCCTGGAATTGGCCCTCCTGCCCCAGACTGGAGTCAGCTTTCTCCTGGAAGTCAGTGTCCCTGAATGTAGCCCGCTTTGGCTACATACTTCACAGCTGGACACCCACCACTCCCCCACAAATCCCCAAGGGAAGCTGCCAGTGCGGAAGCTTCCTTGAAAATCATGTGACCCAGGCCAAGCTGGGCTGGGCACACACTTCAGGTGCCTGCTGAGGCTGATGTCTAAGGGGCATGGGTCCCAGAAGGAGGAATAAGAGAACCTAACAATCCTAGAATATCCGAGTATGGGAACCACTGGCTCCTGCTGCAGAGGGTTGGGGAGAGGAGAGGGAAGAGCTTGCCAAGCTGGAATCCTGTCTGGCCCCGTCGTCCCTCTTTCTACCAGCTTGGTGTACATGTTTATGTTGTGGATTTTCTCCTTTATAATTGACCCATGCTGGGTACCCCTTTCAGATCCATCATGTTCTTAGCCCACCCCAGGGCCCTGACCCTCCATCAACACACATGAGCAGAGCAGTTAAACTAAGGATCTGAACAAGCTAGAGGGATGAGTCTTAAATTGTGATTCTTAGTTCCTACAAATAGTGGGTAAGCGGGTATGTATGTATGGAGGGGTTGTCAGGCTGGAGGTGGATGGGAGGTTGGCCCTGAAGTTGGGGCAGGGTGCCTGGGTCCAGTGGGAGGAGAGAGAAAATCTCTTCTTCTTAGTCTCTGGGAGCAGCATGGGAACAGGAAGAGGGCCCAAGCCCAGGGGTTTGTGGGTGGGTGGGAAGACAACTTCAGTCAATGCCCCAGAAGGCATGTTCCTTTTGTGTCTGGTGGTCTGACTGAGGGAGAGAGGGCAAAAGATAGGGAAGAGTGGGGAGTCTTTTTCCAGATCATGAAGAAGTCTTATAGATTGATGCCAAAGAGGGTGGATGGAGGTTAGACTTCAAGGAGAACCACATGGGGAGGGCTTCAGAGTAGACTGGAGGTGGGGAATAGTAGCAGTTGAGGTTAGAGAGGGGACCTGGCTTGCAGCTTGCTTGGATGGGGGAGCACATGCTTGAACACAAGGAAGGCATGGCAGCATGTAGCAGTCCAGGCCCAAAGATTTCCCCCACCTTGAGCAGCCCTGGGGTGAGGGCTGAGGCGCCCTGGCAGGCCGCCTGCCGCCTGCCTGCCTGCCTGTCTGAGTCTCTCCTTTGTGTTCTGCTGTCTCCGGGCTCCTCCTCCTCCCCCAGCCCGGCAGAGACAGCACATGCCCCACACATGTGACTGAGGGAAGCCAGAGCGCACACAGACCCACACACATGCACACGCAGAAGCACCACAAGATACACACATACACATGCCCAACACCCATATTGCTCCTGGGGTGAGGACCAGCTTCTGGGGCTGGAATGGCTGGGAGCAGGGAGAGCCTCTGACTAAGGGGCATCACCCTGAGCAAGAGGCTGAGGGGGCCAGGGCCTGTCTGGGGCAGCATGTGGCTCAGAAGGGTTAAGGCAGGGAGGAGTAGGGGGAGGGGAGGAGGCAGCAGTGGTGGCGGCTGGGAGCCAGGAGAGGAGGATGGCAGAGCGCCAGGCCAACGGGAGGCCGGGCACAGACAAAGGAAGGGGGGCAGGCACACTGGAGGCCTGGGTCAGGGAGCCCCAGGGGCCCGGGCAGGGGGCAGTGCTGGTACCTCATCCTGTGGGCTGGGGCTGGCTGCTGTCCTTTGAGTCCCCACCTCCAGGAGGAGTACTTTCCCTCATCATCTTTGTCATTATTTGCTGCTCCCTCCACCTCACCACCAATTCTAAGGCCTTCTAACTCAGACTTGCTCTTTTTAGCTGGACCTGTTCTGCCCCTGTGCAACTGGGTAAATCTGGTCAGAGCAGAGAAAGGAGCAGACTTGCTAGAGAATAACTAGAAGGCCTGTTTTGAATGGTTTGCCAGTCGATACATCTTGGCATTTAGGGGCCCCTCCACCCCACAGCGAGACTGGAGGGCCCTTGTAGTCCCTCCTGTCTGAGGAGACAGGGTGGGTGTGGGGTTCTGAGCTCTGGGCTGGAGGCAAAAGCCAGAGCACATTTCCCCCTCCCCATGAGGACAGTGATTTGAGGCCTGGAGGGGGAAGGGAGTAGGAATGGCTGCAGGGCTTGGCTTGTATCTGGTGGGTTTAGAAGTGCAGGGTTCAACCCCCCCACCCCCCAGCCCACCCTGGTCATCCTGTCTCAGTGGGTTCTGTTAGGATCTCACTGTTAGGATATTTGGCCCTATGTGCTATGAGGATCTCTTGAGGTACTGCCTGTGAATGCACTTTGGAAAGTTTAAAGGCAGTGGGGGAGAAGTGGGACTACCCCAGAGTTAAGCTGTAAATTTGGGAGTCAGTGGGAGTGTCTTAAGTCCTGGTGATAGGCTGTATGTTGCAGGGTCTGGCTGAATGTTATAGATTTCAGTATGTTTGTGAAAGCTGGGGTTTATTCTATGGCCAGGCTGTGATGAGGAATGGTACGCAGGCTTCAGAGAGGGTGATTTATAGGTTAAGTCCTTGCATAATAAATGATCGGGGTGTGTATGTGATAGGCTGTCACAGGTTTAGGGGTTATAACACAGTTTTGGTGTGTGTATTGAGGTCAGGATGCGTGTCATAGGTCCCAGTGTGTATGACTTAGACTGTGTGTGTGTGTATATATCCAGGATTTGGGTATATTTAGGATTTGAGATATATCACAGGTTGATGGCCAGACGCGGTGGCTCACATCTGTAATACTAGCACTTTGGGAGGCCAAGGTGGGTGGATCACCTGAGGTCAGGCGTTCGAGACCAGCCTGGCCAACATAGTGAAACCTGTCTCTACTAAAAATACAAAAATTAGCTGGGTGTGGTGGCATGCACCTGTAATCTCAGCTACTCAGGAGGCTGAGGCAGGAGAATCGCTTGAACCCAGGAGCTGGAGGTTGCAGTGAGCCGAGATCGCGCCACTGCACTCCAGCCTAAGCAACAGAGCGAGACTCCGTCTTGGAAAAAAGATATATCACAGGTTGAAATGTGTATCAGGTAGTGATTTATGTGAAAGTGAGATGTGTTATTTATGTGGAAGATGTTCACAGAGCCAGGTGCAATATTACTGCACAGTTAACTAGTGAGTATGTCATAAGAAATCCTGTCCTTGGAGTTATGTGTGAATATAGTTGGGGGTAGGAGACAGGAAGTAGAGAAACAGACACTCAAATTGCAAAGAAGGAAATAGAAGGTTCGTGCTCCCCCTTCCCGTGTGTGTGTGTGTGTTTGTGTGTGTGTGTGTGTACTATGTATTTTCCTTTTCCTATTTGTCCACGAGTAAGGTCTGGCCCACTACCCAAGTTTTAGAAATATTCCCTCCTGCTACAACAAAATTACCTTAGGAAAAAAAATAGAAATATCTGCTCCCTTGGGATGCCCTGCTGGATGGGAGAACAGGTCCTATCCACTAACCACACGTTTTTTTTTCTGGGGTGGTGGGGAGGATTCAGCAGCAAACTAAGCTCCTTCTGGGGACCCTTGGATGGCCAAGTTGGCTTTCCCTAGCTCTGACAATGCCTCTTTCCCTGGCACCCACTTGTCTTCAGTGGTGGTGGGGAAGGGGGCTTCCTGTTAAGGGGGATCTAAGTCAAGGCTTGGAATTTAGCTGGGTTGGGGGCAGGGAAGCCTGGAGTGTCCCCCTTCCTCCAATCAGTGTTTACAGTCTGATGTCAGAATGTGTGTCTGTCAAAAATAACCCCCTGGAGCCTCTCCCCCCAGCTGCTCCAGGATTTCACCAGGGGAGCCCAGGCTGGCAGTCCGGGCCAGCCTTCAACCTGAGCGATCACAGGGGCGAGAAAGATTTGGGGGAGGTTTGGGAGGTGCTTTGAAGATCTTGGAGTCTGCAGAGAGGAGCCCGCCCTCCTCCATCTCTGCCAGTGGCTTTGGCCCACCTGCTCACTCCTGAGCACCGTGCCTGGGGCTCGGGGGAGGCGGGCTGCATTTCGTTCCTGGCCCCCACAGGCCTCTCCTCCATCCAGGTCTCTCCTGGCCCAATCTGATCCGTCCCCTGTCTCTCCCAGTCTCTGTCTCTCTTTTGTTTTTCTCAGCAGTCCCTCCGTCCCAGCCTCCCTCCCTCCCTTGCTCTTCCTCTTTCCTCTCAGGGAGGGGGCGGGGCCGGTGGGGGCAGCTCCACCCTCCGCCCGCCCTGGGGCCTCATTCTGAGAGAGGCTCGGAGAGAGCGAGCGGGGAGGGAGGGAGGCAGGGAGAGAAAGGGAGAAAGGCAGGCAGCCGGCGGGCGCTGCGTGTGTGTTTGAGTGTGCGAGTGTGAGTGAGTGTGAGTGCCGGGTCCTGCCTCTCCTGGTGCCCCCAGCAGAGGGGCCCGGTGGCCTGGGGAGGGCGGGCGGGCTGCTCGGAGGCAGAGGCAGCAAGAGGCGGCGGCGGGGAGAGCCGAGAAGGAGGAGGAGGAGAGAGGAAAGAGCGGAGCAGCCATTGTTGAGGGAAACCTTGCAAACAAAGAAGGCTCCGGACTCCCCGCGGCCCCCCGCCCCCCAGGCCGGCCCCCTGGCCCCCGGCCCCCGGCCCAGTGGCCATTGTAACTTTCCCCCGGGACAGCGGCCGCCGCGGGGCGGGCCGAGGCAGTGCGTGCGAGTCTTTGTGCGGCCGGCGGACTGGAGCTCCCAGTCGGGCCTGCCCGTCCCACTCGGGACATGAGCTGCTGAAGTTGTCCCCCCGTCAGCCCTCACCCCTGCCAGGACTCCTCTGGGCTTGCAGTCGCTCCCCCGTACCTCTCCTGGCCCCCTCAGTTCTCCCAGGTAAGTCTGGGCACCCTGCGAGCCTGTTGGGGGTGGGCGGAAGGCCCTCAGCCCGGCCCGGGCCTGATCTGCGGGCTGGGGGAGAGGTGCCCCAGCCCAGAGCCGCCGGGGCGCTCAGGCCTGCTGACCTGTGGCCAGTCCCTAAAGGGAGGAGGCCTGCCCTCGAGTCAGCCTGGTTACCATGGCAATACCCAGCTGGAGGTGCCCCCCTCAGCCCCGGGATGCAGCTTCCACCCTGAGAAAACTTTACTAGTTCTGGGCTCTTCTCTCCCCCTTCCTAAAGGCTTCCAATTTGCTAGAGGTGGGAGGGGGGCTATGGCTGACTCCAGGGCTGGATGACACATCTCCTCCGTCCCCCCACCTTGCTGCCTCTACTCCTGCTGCTGGGGACAGGCAGCAACAGGGACAGATGGTCTGGGTGATGTCCCTCCCCTTCTCTACTCACTCCCAAGCCCTTGTGCTGGAGCCACTGGGAGTTGTGGCTCTGGAGAGATGCTGAGTTTGTGTCCATTCACTGGAGGTGTAAATAGAGGCCCAGAGCTTTGGGCTCTAGCTCCTCAGAGCTATTTACCCAGGCCTAGACAATGCCTGTTCATTCTCTAGAGAGAGAAATGGAGGCTCTGAGAGTTTTTTTTTTTTTTTTTTTACAAAATTGGAGAGAAACCCAGGCGTCCTGCCTCCTGTCTCTTCAGGTTCTTGAGCTAACACATTTCAAGTGGCCCGGAAACTGAGGAGGCAGGGGTGGTTAAGCTATGGGAGAAAGGATGGCCTAGTTGGGGGATGAGGGCCAGGTCTGAGAATCTACTCTTGGGTTTATTGCCCAGGCCTGGCCTCTGGTGGGCTGTGTGAGTTTGGGCTTCCTGTGTGGCCTTAGTCTGCCTGTCTGTGGATTGGGGAGACTTGGTGGCTGGGTGGGGACTGTCTTTCTGGAGACACAGGCTCAGTCCAGACTGGCATGTGAAGGCTGTGTGTGCTGTTCTTGGAGCATATGGATGTGGCCCGTGAGAGCTCGTGCATGGGGTGAGGGCCTGTTGCGGGCATCTGAATCTGCCTGGGGCTGCTGGGTTCCAGCCCTTGATAGGCATGTTAGGGCGAGCTGAGGGTGAAAGCCTGCTAGGCAGGATGAGGCACACGTGTGTGCAGGCACACACAGGCTCTGACTTGGCATCTTCAGAGACTGTGCAGTCTGGGACCCTCCTTTTGCCTGCATTGTGAGGACAGGGCTCTGGGGAGAGAATTAAATGACACATGTTGGCACAGGGTCTTCTTTTGTCTCTTCCCCCCAAAGAAACAAAATAGGTTTTGTATCTAAGTTGGGGAGGAGATCTAGATACAGCCAATCTAGCTACCCTTCCAAATGCAGTCGAGTTTTAGGGACCCAAGGAAGCAAATGTGATTGGAGTCAGATGAACTTTTGGGCCTGTGCCTCAGTTTCCCCTCCTATCTGGTGAGAAGGGGAAACAGAGTTGCAGGGGTACCTGGCTCATACCCAACTATGAATTTAACACTTTTTCCAGTCAGAAAACAGTATTCCAGGAACTGTTTGCTGTTAGGTGAGGTGAGAGAGAGGACATGTGCACATCACAGATACACACTAGTGAGACCCCTGTCTA